>NC_000007.14:45694787-45997817 GCF_000001405.40 Homo sapiens | reverse complement strand
CAAGATAAGTGGGGTACAACTTTGGATGCCATGGAAGCCACAATGCCCTTGGAGAAAAATCTGAACTAGGCCATTTTGGATCTTCATGCCCTCAGTTCTGGCTACACAGATCCCCATCTCTGTGACTTCCTGGAGAGTCACTTCCTAGATGAGGAAGTTAAACTCATCAAGAAGATGGGTGACCACCTGACCAACCTCCACAGGCTGCACAGGCTGGCTGGCCTGGAGGCTGGGCTGGCGAGTATCTCTTTGAAAGGCTCACCTTCAAGTACAACTAGGAGCCTACTGAGCCCAGGGACTTCTGGGGGGCCCCTTGCAAAGTAACAGGGCTTCTGCCTAAGCCTCTCCCTCCAGCCACTGGGCAGCTTTTTAACTACCCTGGAGCACTCTCCCAAGCCTTGGATCAAATTAAAATAAAGCTTTTGGAAGCAAAAAAACGAAATTTAAAGTCTATTTTGTCTAATAATAGTGGAGACGTTCCAGATCTCTTTTGATTAGTAGTTGCATGAAGTATCTTATCTGTCCTTTTATTTTCAGCATTTTTGTGTCTTTATAGCTAAAATAAGTCCCTTTTAGATAGTATATAGTTGGATCACGTTTTTTAATACATACTGAAAATCTCTGCCATTTAATTGAATAGTTTGATTCATTTATATTTAAAGTAATTACTGTCAAGGAAAGGCCTCCTTCTCTCATTTTGCTATTTATATTCCATAGATTTTGTATATGTTTTTCTCAATTCCTTCATTATGGATTTGTTTTTTGTGTAATTGATTTTTTCTAGTCCATTTTTGTTCAATTCCTATTTTCTTTTCTGCATAGTTTTTAATTATTTTCTTCACTTTTTTATTTTCTTTATTTTCTACCGCACAATCTGGAGATTGTAATTAACATATTAAATTTATAACAATGTAGCTTGAATCAATACCCTCTTAGCCTGAATTGTGTACAAAACCTCTGCTATTATACAGCCTCATCCATCTCTTTATGTTATTATTGTCACAGATTTTGTCTTTACACATTGAGTGCCCATTAACACAAATTTATATTATTTTTGGCATTTGAATTTTAAACCATATAGGGGAAAAAAGAAAAAGAAAAGAGAAGTTACAAACCAGAAATACAATAATATTAGCTTGTATATTTATCTCTGTAGCTGCCTTTACTGGTCTTCTTTAATTCTTCATACAGCTTTGAGTTACTGTCTGGTGTCCTTTTATTTCAACCTCAAGGAATACCTTCAGCATTTCTTGTAGGACAGGCCTACTAGTGATGAACTTCTTCAAAGTTTATTTATCTGGGAATGTCTTTATTTCTTCTTCATTGATTAGTTTTGCCAGACAGAATTCTTGGTTAACAGTTTTTTTTCTATCAGCACTTTAAATATATTGTCCCACTTCCTTCTGCCCTTCATGCTTGCTGATGAGATGTTGACTCTTATTCTTATTTAAGATTCCTTGTACAAAAACATGACAAGTTGCTTCTTACTTCCTGCTTTCAAGATTCTTTTTTGGCTTTTCCTTTTGAAAGTCTAATTATAACGCGTAATGGAGTCTTTGTGCTTTTTTGGTTAAAAGTCCATTGAGATTCCCTGATATGCTGATTTATGTTATTTCTCACATTTGAAAAATTTGGACCATTATTTCTTGAAATAACTTTTCTGCTTCTTTCTCTCCTTCTTCTAGGATTTCCATTATGCATATAATGGTACACTTCACAGTGTCCCACAGGTCTCTTAAGGTATGTCCATTTTTCTTCATTTCTTTCCACTTCTGCTTCTCAAATTGAATAATCTACATTGAGCTATCTTAAGTTTAGTTTGAAATTTTGAGGATGCTTTCTTCTTTCTGTTCAAATTTTATGCTGAATCTCTCTAGTGAAGCTTTAATTTCAGATTGCATTTTTTAGCTCCAGAATTTCTGTTTGGTCTATTCTTATATTTTCTATCTTTGTTGGTAATCTCTATTTGTCTAGGCATCATATTTATGGTCTCCTTTGTCTATGGTTTTTCTTTATCTCTCTAAGCATATTTAAGATGGTTGATTTAAAGTCTTTTTATAGTAAATCCAATGTCTGTGTTTTCTTAGGGACAGTTTTGGTTCATTTATTTTTTCCTGTGAGTGGGTCATACATTCTTGTTTCTTTGCATGTGTTGTAAATTTTTGATAATTGAACATTTTTAATATCATAATCTGTAACTCTAGAAATCATAATCTTCTTCTCCCCAGGATTTGCTGTTGCTACTTGTAGGTTGTAGTTGTTTAGTGACTCTTCTAAATTCTTTTTATAAGACTGTTTTCTCTGTTATGTGTAGTCACCAAAGTTCCAGTTCTGTTAACTTACTGGTCAGCTGGTGATTTAACAGAGGTTTTCTTAAATGCCTAAACCCAATGTAACAAAAAATACTTCAAGTCTTTGTGGACTGGCTACGTGTTTGAGCATTCCTTTAATGCTTAGCTAGGCCATTTACATTTGCTTAATGTCCACTTTCAGCTTCACGGGAGCCTAAAGACAGGAGCCAGAGATGAAAGTTCATGGTGTTCTCCAGTCTTTTCTGAGCATGTCTAGTCCTGGGCATTTGTGTGGACTTCCAGGTTATCCAATTATGTGGAATCTATTAAAATACTTATTCTCACATTTATATTCTTTCCCTGACTTTTCCTAACCTTTCTAGTCTGTCTGCTGCTTTTGCTATCTGTTATAACCTTCCCCAGGCAGCAGCAGTGAGTATGTTTGCCTTAAATGATTTCTTTAAATGCCACTCAGGAGGCTGCTTCAGGCCTGAGAAAGTTCAGAGGCATGTGAAACATAGGGAATTCCCTCACCAATCACTCGGGGAGCCACCAGACAGACATACAATCATAATTGTTTGAGACTAAGTGCCTCCTCTGGGGCCATCAAGTTATGTCAATAACATGGGCAGCCAGCCCCACAGCTACCACCAAGCTGGAAAGTGGTAAATTGTATAGGTAAGTTAAAGCACCACAATACTCTTTTGCTGAAATTTAGGAGCTTCTTTCTTTGTGAAACACTTCTTTTATTGTTGTATATTTTTTATTAGATTCCTTAGTTTTAAAAAGTTAACCTAATAGTTTATGCCAACTTTATTGTTGCTTTAGTGAAGAAACAGTTTTAGAGTTCCCTACTCTGCCATTTTCTGCTTCTGACTGACATTTTCAAAGAACCACAGGCTATTGTGTTAAGAGGAAGCAATAGAGAGGATTGAGGCTGGGAAGCTAATGGCAATAATGAGATGAGACATGAGGGTGCCTTAGATGGGGAACAGTGGAGGTGATAAGAAGTGATTAGATTCTGAGCATATTTAGGTGGTACAGCCAAAGGATTTGCAGATGGATTGGAATGCAGGCAATGAAAAATGTGGAGTAGAGAGGCCTAATAAAGGGGAAGGATGAATTTGCCATTACTGTGCTGGATTCCTGAAGAAGTTTTCTGACTGGTCTCCTGGATTCCATGTTCAGTCTTCTATAATCCATTGTCAACAGAGTAGCTGGAGTGAACCTTTCAAAACTGAAATGAGATGATGTTACTCCTCTGCCCAGTGTCCCATCCCAAATATTTACAATGGCCTACAGAGTCCTAAATAACCTGACTCCCTGCGACCTTTCTGTTCACATCTCCTAATTCACTCTGTTCCAGCTGTGTTCCTCTCTGGCCTTACTGTTTCTACAAATCACCCTACAGGATTCTAACTCAAGGCCTTTGCACTTATGTTCCTTGATATGCATGGCTCCCCCTCCATTTCTTTATGTCTCTATATAAATGTCACTTTATTGAAGATGTCTTCTTGTCCACATTCTGGAAAAAAAAAAAAAACAGCAGATTTAGCCACTCCAAATGTCCTGACACTTCCTATTATCTTCTGCTGCTGTATTTTCCCCACAATATGTGTCTATAGTAAGTTCTTTATTTCATGATTTACCCTCTGCTCACTCTTGCCCCATAGAATGTAAGCTCCATCACCATGAGTCAACTCTGTTTTCCTCATATCTGTGTCACCAACACCTTGAAAAGAACCTGGCAAGTCAAAGAACAAAGTTAATATTTCCTGAGTTCAGAAACTGAGATATGCAGTTTTGTGTAAGACACAATCATTATGTTGAGAGATTCCACAGTTTAGGAGGGAAGAGAAGCAAGTAAACTTGTGACTATATGCAGTGGATGGGTCCTGTATTTCAGAAGAATACAGAGGAGGGATGTCAAAGGGATAGTCCCAGGACACACTAAACCACGTCAGGGCTGCAGCAGCAGAGGGAAAAAGCAGTCCACCCCCCAGGCTCCATCAGAAGGATTCTGCCATAATTATTGTTTTCAGCATAAGGCTTTATTGGAAAAAAAGCTTCTGACTCTTAGAATAATATTTAGATGCTACTGGTCTGCCCAGACCCTGTTAGTACATAACGCATATCAGTTTAAACTAATTAATATATTACGCCCCTTGCTCTTGGGCGAGCTCTGCCATAACCAGCTGAGAGGTCACAGGGCATGACTATCTAGCTCATCAGCTCTGAAATGAAGATGTTAGAGGAGATTGCCTTGGTAGTGGCCTTCAGCTCCAAATCTGTAGTCTGTAGTCTGAGTCCAGAAACATTTGTCCCAAATGAAATTATATCCATCCTTATGACATAAAACAGTAAAACCACGAATTTATTAGCTACTTTATTTTTCCCAAGACATTTTCAGACATCTCTTTGCTTTTGTTATCATTCTTTGTAATAAGTTTAATGAGCAGATGTGATTTATGCCATGTGTTTGTAACAGCCCGAACTTTGATATTGCATTTTTCATCACTGGCTTCCTTGCATTTGAGATATTTTCACCAGGTTTAGAAAGACTCTTTTCTGTTTTGTTTACAACAGATGCTAGAGAAGTATAGCCAAGAAAGAAAAGAGTAATGAGACTTATCTCCATATCCTCCCATCGGTTTCTCAACTAGATCTGAAAAATGCTACAGGCAGCCATACGAAGAGCACCGGAATGCAAAGGGTTGGTTCTCTCTTAAAGACACACAGTCTTGGGGTCGTATTTTTCAAACTGTAGTTCATTCATACAACAGCTTTTTTGAGTAATTGTTACAGGGTGAAATGCAAAAACAAATAACACGGAAGTCCCTACCATTAAGAGGCTTACTGACAGACTTGAAAATAGGAATTGTCACTATTTTAAAATACCATGCTAGGAAATGGAGAATGTTTCCTAATGGCTATGAGGTTTTTTAGAGGGGAAGGGGTGACAAAAATATTCTAAAAATAGACCATGTTACACATGATCAAAACTCTGTGAATATACTAAAAACCATTCAATTGTCCAATTTAAATGGGTGAACTATATATCAATTACATCTCAGTAAAGCCATTTGAAATAAATGTGACATACCAGGAATCTGCACAGAGCTTTGTGGGGGCACTGAAGATAACCATGGCCATCCTTTGCAGGGTGGAGGTAGGAAGAAGTAGGATAGGAACATCTCAATACAAAAGTCAGACTCAGACATTCAAGCGTAACCCCTCCACATGTGTGTCGAAACACATCTGAAACTCAGCATGGCCAAAGCCAAACAACTAATCTCTCCTCCAGACTCACTCCATGTGCAGGTTCCCCATCTCAACAACTGTGATTTCATCATTCCAATTGCTTAGGACAATGTCATTGGAGTCATTCTTGACTTTGATCTTTCTTCCACAGCCCACACCTAACCCATCAGCAAATCCTGGTGACTCTCTCCTTAATATAACTCCTATCTCCACTGCCACCCTGCACTTGGACGGCTATGACACCTTTCTCACTGGTCTTGCTACGTTCAACTTGTCTTCTGAAGTCTATTCTTGATACAGCAGCCCAAGTGATACCTTCAAACTGCCAGTCAGATGGTGGTACTCCTCAGAATGCTGAGAAGTTTCCACCTAGTCTAAGCAGAAGTCCTTCTGACCTGGCCCACCACAGGGCTGGTCTCACGTGTATCTCCTGGAGGCCACCCACTCATGGTGTGTCTGCAATTCCCGCCTTCCTTCTACTCCTTTCAGTTAGTGATATTTGTGACTCTGCAATCGTATCACTGGTGGGACCTCATTAACTCATGAATTGGGTGACTTTGCAAGAAAAAGAAACTTTTCAAGAGATATATTACCATTTCTCAAAGAACAGGCTACAAGAAGACTTTGAGATGAGCTGAAGCAACCTATATCTGGAAATGAATCACTGCAGCCAGAAGAGGTCAAAAATGACAAAACAGAAGCCTGGGAGCTGCCTGCCTGGCCCAAGGTCACAAAGTTCTTTAGGGGCTGGGTCAAGTGTGCTGGGGGATTAATTACCATTCTTTGCACTGTACCATTGCTTTTTGAGAATGTGCAACTCCCTTTTTCTAATCCTGGCAGCAACTTCCTGAGCTGTGCCTTGGTTAGTTAGGGTACAAAGAGAATCAAAACATTATACAGAGAGAATAAACAGATGGGTATGTCCTGTTTATTCTGCCCTATTGCTTATCCTGCATGGCTCATGGTTCCCTGAGCACACTCTGCCCCCTCCTCTCCTCTCCCTCAGCCTGCTTCTGGCCCCCAGTTACCCCTCTCATTGCCACTGTCACTGGCATGTTCACCCTGAGTTCTACATACAAATCAAACATAGTGCATGAAGTTTTTGCTAGATATAAAACCAGAAATTTTTGGAATCTTCCTATGAGATTATTATTTTCAATGTTATTAATACATTGGTTAATTGGATACCTTATTTGAGAACTTCAACTTGAATGGAGAGTATTTGTTGTACAGTTTGTGCTTCCATTTTTTAGGTGCAGAAATCCAGCCTTCCTTGGTCATCCAAGAGATACAATTGAAGGCTCATGCTGTCCAATCCCCCCCTCTCCAAAGTGGTAGAGCTGAGGGCTTGTCTGTTCCTTCATATGCAGAGGATGATCCTGATTTTTGGGAGGAGAATGCACTAGATCATCATGGATAAATCAAGCTTCATTGATAAAGGAAACACCCTCCTGTTAATGCTTATTATGTGGCGTTTCAATCCTTTTTGTATCCAGATTAATCAAGGTTCAGCTCTGGAAGTTGCTGATAAGATTAGAACGAGGGAGTTCCGTGTTTGCAAAAGTTTTGCAGATGGATCTGAGATATGCTAATGTTCCAGTCCTCTCAGGGACGCTTCCTACCTGTGGAAGTGGGTAAGCCCCTGGGATCAGAGCTCTTTTCCTAGCAACACTGCAGATGCCGAGAGGCTGACACTTTGTCTTCTCCTCCTAGGTTTCTGGGACTCCATTCTCCTGTTAGGAGGACAGGACAGTGACTTTAGACATGATGCAAAACCTCAGAACAATGACGGCATTCCAGGCTCCAGAGAGCCTTTCACAGCCTGGCTAGCTGTGGCATTCTGTGCTTTCCTGAGGATATGCCCTGTTCACCACAATCTGACTTCAGAAAATCTCATCTCCTCCCCAATGCATTTGCAAACTGCCTCCCAGGAGTGCCCTGGGGACAGAAGCACTCACTATTCTGTGATCTTTCTCAGTAGCAGAAAGATTCTCAGGACCCTTTTATTCTAAGTAGCATAAATCCCATTCAAACTGGCTTAAGCAAAATACAAACAAAAGTTATACTGCAAGCTCAGGTGTAGACTTCAGGAACAGCTCCATCCAGGAACTAAACACTATCAAGTGTGTGTGCAGTCTGTCTCTCTCCAAACCATAGTTTTGCCAACTTGCATTTTGGCTTTATTTCAGGCTCTAGTTGGACTCATCTGACAGAAAGAGCAGTCCTCTCCTATGTCTAAGATTGGTTTTAGTGAATGAACTTGGATCCCTATGTCAGAAAGAGCAAGCATGCTGATTGCTGATACAAAGGAAAGGTAAATTCTCCAATAGACACTTACATCAACTTAATTTTCAGGACGACCCTTCTGGACCCTTTCTATTGTCGTCTTGGTGTCTGCATCACTGATGCCCCTTCACTCGTGCTGGGCTTCATGCCTTTGCTGTGTTGTTATCTGTTAGCTGTGAGCTCTGATCTCAACATGACCTTGGCTACACTCTTCAGGTTTCTTGAGGCTCTGCCTTCATAGCTTTATGTTATCCCAGGTTCCTGCCAATCTCACAAGCCTGGTTACTGATGGGTCAGAGTAGCCATAATAACTCTCATTGTACTGATCCTGCAAGGATCTCAGCCACCGTAAAGGGTCCAGGTTCCTGGGGGTGTCGCCCTTGGTGTCTGGGACACTGCCTCATCACTGTCATGTCTTAGATGCATCTGTCACCATCCCCCGAGCATCTCGATTGCCTCCAGCCACCAACTGGCTCCACCTCTTTGGCAGGTCACCTGCTATTGCCTACTGGATGGAGTGGTCTTTTTTAATAAACTTTTTATTCCGGAACAGATTTAGATTAAAAAGTCACAAATTTAGTAAATAAAATTTATGAAAATAGTGAAGAGAGTTTCCATGTAACCCATACCCAGTTTCCCCTATCATTAATGTCTTACATGTGTATGGCACATCTGTTATAATTAATGAACCAATATTGATAAATTACTCAGGTTCCCTTGGTTTTTGCCTAATGTTCTTCTCCTGTGCCAGGATACCAAGGACATTTAGTTGTCATATCTCTTTTGGCAGTTCTTGGCTGTCAGGATTTTTCTGGTTTTTGACAACTTTGACAGTTTTGAGGAGGACTGGTCAAGTATTTTGTAGAATGTCTCCAAAATAGGGTTTGTCTGATGGTTTTCTCATGATTAGACTGAAATATGGGTTTGGGGAGGAAGCCCACAGCGGTGAAGGGCCTCACATCACATAAATGGTACACATTGTCAGTGTGACTCATCACTATGGGTGTTGGCCTTGACCACCGGGAGGAGGTCCTGTTAGTTTTTCCACCATAGAGTGCCTCTCCCTTCCCATTTTCCATGCTGTGCTCTGTGGATGGAAGCTGCTCTGTGTGCCCCAACGTGAGGAGTGAGGAGTTTGCTCCACCTCCTGAGGCGATCATTAACATCACACACACATGTACACCTGGCCCCCAGACCCCAGGGCTATGGATTCCTCACGTCCCTGTCACTCCATGAGGTGCAATGACTAATTGTAGAAGGTGTTCAGTAAGCATTTGTGGATGGGACTGAACAGTTGCATTGCCTGGGGAATCTTTGCTCCCCAGGTTGGCTGACACCCAAAGGTGAGCCGTGTCCCTGGATGTCCTTGAATGCCCCACGTCAAAGCTGGCTATGGAACAGCCAGAGAGTGCTCATGAGCATCCTTGGCACCAGAGTGGACAATCAGACCTCAGAGAATGTGCGCTTCCCAGCTAAATTCCGCAGTATCTTTTGCTTCCCCCAGCTCAGAAGAAAATAGGTCCATGCTTATAAACTAGGAAGGACTAAAATGGGCTTAACTTTCTCTCTGGGTTTGAACTTGTGTCATGGGTAAGAAGAAACTCAAGTGTCCTGTGTACTCTCCAACATCAAAGGTCAACCTCAGCTGCTCTCACAGGTGACCCCTGTCAGATGTCTTTGACACATCATTGAACCGTCTTGGCTGAGTGTGGTTTTAAAATCTGTACATGTGTCCCTATTCCAGGCCGCACAGTATTTAATAGAAATAAAAGTGACTTCATCGTCTGCCAGCCTAGGTTCTCCCTAGACTGGAGGCTGGTTCTCCCTAGACTGGACATGCACAGGGTCCTTTGGGGAGCACCCCTGGCTCAACCACTGGGGCTGCTGCCTCCAGGCTGAGGGGCCGGTGTGGAGCTGCCAGCAGGGCAAGGAGCCCAGTGACGCCAGGAAAACGCACACACTGGAGGGAGCCCGGACATGCCTGCTTCAGCTTCTGACTTCACTCATTTTAACACTGGGAAAGTTGTTTTTGAAATGCCTCCGAGGGTCTAAGGTAAAAGCGCTTATTGATCATGTGAGGGTAAACATGCCATAAAGCACCCTCCACCCCACGGTCTCTGCACCCCTGCCCCTCCCCCTGTATGTCCCTCTGCAGTAGACAGGAAATCACATGTCCAGTCAGTAGAGGGGATGGGAGGACAGGGCACAGCCAGGCCTGGTGACCTCTAGCCCTACAAGTCCTGTGACCCCAGGCAATTCCAGGAGACTTCCTGAACCTCAGGGTCCTCTGGGACCCAGGTGAAAGCAGCTGTAGGTGTGAACCCGTTTGTGAACCGCAAGCCTCACACCTGGAGCTGTCCGTCGCAGGGACTTCCCACAGCTTAATTTCACCTTCTCCAGCCTCCCCTCCCCTTGAGGTCATCTCCCCAAGCACCCCTGCCACACCATGCTCTGTCCTGTGGGGCACCCAAATGTTTCCGGGCCCCAGGTCATGTATCAGAAGCCCGGAGTTCCATCTTTAATAGATCATTGCAATCCAGGCTCTTGCATGCCCCACTTCCCGTTTTTTTTTTTTTTTTTTTTTTTTTTTTTTTTTTTTTTGCAACATGCCCCAGTTCCCTGCTACCCAGACACACCATCTCTGAGCTGGCTTCAGGATCCTGCATGCCCCTCGGCTAGGCACATGGCTCTGTGCTGCCCTTCGGAGACACACTTCCTCTCTCTGTCCACTGCCAGTCCCATCCAGCCCATCCTGTCGACCATCGGGACCACCGATGCAGTGAAGGAGCTGGTCCATCTCCTCTGCCACCTCCAACCTCCTGCACCTCCCCTCCCCACTCACCCGCAACCCTGGGCTCGGGACCAGGCTCCCTAGCACGGGCACATCCTGCTGACAACGGTTCTCATTGCCCGTTCCAGCCACATTCTCAGTCCTCTTCAACACGGAGCCACTCTCCTGGAGGAAGAGGCACTCTCCACACAGCATCACCACACCTGGTCTGCATTGGCAGTCCCAACCTGGCTCTCCTATGGGTGGCTCCAATAGTCCTCTCCTCCCAAACTTTCCCCAGGTGGCAGGGGCAGGGCAGGGCAGCCAACTTCCCATGGGCTTCTTTCATCCTCTGATGGGTATGACCAGATTGTCTACCAACTGGGCTAAGTTAAGATCCAAGGACGTAGTGTCAGGGGAACAGTCTCTAAGGCTGAGAGAGTGACGCAAGTGCCAGTGGCTATGGCATCATGATTACAATGGGTGTGATCACAGCACAGCAAAGGAATTCAGAGTCTGCAGGACCAGGGCCACCCATCCTGGGCCTGCCTTCTATGGGCTATGCAAGGTGGACACACACTTTACCCTTCGGGCCTCCATTTCCTCTTCAACGTGGGAACAATGATGTGTCTTTCACAACATGGCGGGAAGGAACCATAGAAACAACACAGAGGATGATCTGATATGTGTGGCACGTGCCTGACACACGCCTGACACATGCTTGGCTCACACCAGCATTTAGCATTTTGCCATTTTTATTTTCTCCAAAAGTTGTGTTTTTCCAACAAGAAAATCTTGAAATCTAAGCTGCTGGGGGCTCTCTTTCTGAGCAAATGTGTGTAGCTGCACCAGGGGACAGGGATGAGAACAGCAGAATCCCAATAAAGGGGCTGGGGGCAGGGGTCAGTGTCAGCCACTCACAGGCAACCCCAACGGCAGAGTCTCAGACAGGACTTGGCCTCACTAGGGCTTCATCTGGGGCTTTTGTGTTGAGCTCTGGGGCCTCTCCCCCAGGCCTCTGGTTCTGCAGAAGCAGCAGCCTGCCCTTCCTGTCGTGGCTCCAGTCACAGCCTCTGAGCTTCAGCTAGGGTCCTTTCTGCTCCAACATGGATGGGCACCAGCACAGCAGACACAGCCCTCAGATGGCTCAGGCAGCAGAACTTTGCAACTCTGGCCAATAAGCTTCTAGGGAAGCAATGTGACTCAGAGGCCATCAAGCAGCTCCACACTGCCTTCCTAAGACGATGTGGTAAGAGTGTTAGGTACTTATTTCCTGGTGAGAGCACGTATCTCTAATTAGTTTTAAGCCAATAGGATGTGCAAAGCCTACAACTTCAAACATCAATTCAGTTAACATTTATTATGTGTCTCCTATGGCCTGGGAACTTTCATATATATTTTTGCTAATAATCTCACTGATCTTCACAGAAACCTCATAAGTTAGCTATTAATGCTACATTCATATGGTACATAAGAAAACTAAGGTTTTCTCCCACCTGTTGAGGGAGAGACTTAGAGCAAGACCTAGGATCTTTCGGATCCCATGTCTGTGCTTTTCCCATAGGACATGGGGTGGCAGGTCCTGGAGGGGCAGAGTGTCCTCCTAGACACCTTTCTGGGGTCCTCTCAACAGGTGGAGAGATAAATATTGGTATTACCATTTTACGAATGAGGGAATTCAGGAGCACAGCGGGGTTTTAAGTACCACATGTGCAGGTAGCATTTTAATCTGTTTCTTCAATGTCCCAAGAAAAAAGGGCTCCTTTGGCCACCTGTATCCAACAATCTTGTCATCTGCTCTAAAGCTCCCAAGGAGACTGGTGCGCTTCTGGATGGATACTGAGCTTTCAGAGCTGAAAAGGACCTCAGCCAAGACCCCTGGTGTCCTGCCCCTGCTGGTGCTTTGTGTGGCTGAGGGAGACAGGGCAGTTTCCCCATTTTCAAAGGTGACATATTCTACCACTTTCATCACTTGAAACATTGGAGATTCCAGCCCATAGCTGGGCAGGGCAGAGCAAAGACACTACAGAGAAGACAGACCACTCCACAGTTTGAAGTTAGGATAGGCAAGCAGCATCTCAGAAAGAGGTGCCACAGAGCAAGTGAAGAGCCCCAAACACAGACTTGAATCTCAGGGAGAGGGCCGGGAGCAGGGAGGAGAGGAGATATCAAGAACAAGACAAAGCAGAGGCTGACAGGACTGATTCAGCAGGCAGAGAAACAAGGAGCCCTTCTCAGGCCAGGAGAGTTTACTGGGCCCATGAACGGCAAAAAGAGGAGGAGCTGCACGTGCCAGCTCCCCAGGTCCCTGTTCAAGACAGTGCAGAAACAACAGCAACAGGAATGAGGGATGGGACACCCTGCCACCCTGTGGCAAAGCAGCTCTATCACCTGTAGCTGTGCCCAAAGGGAGGTCTCGTCAGAAGCCAGGAGGCCATGAGAAACTTTCACCACAGCCTCCTCAATCCCAGGGAAGCAACTGAGAAATGGCAGCTTCTCATAAGCCTCCATGATCAATCCCATGGTCTAAGAGGACCACAAGACACTCTGCAAAGATTTGGATTTAGCCACAGTGACAGTCTTGCCACATGGCCTGGTGGATATATGCAAGATTTCCAGGGTTCCATGGAGGAGCCAGTCCCCTCCAGTTGGAAACTGGTTGGGGGCAGTTGTGGAGGCACGGAATGGAGGCAGGTAGACAGTAGACAGCAGTCAACAGCAAGACTGAAAGGTGAGAAGCCTCGGTCAGAGCCAAAGGACAATGAGAATGAAATCTCTAACCTTAAATCTCTGGGGATTTTAAGCAAAACAATCACCTAATCAAGTTTGCGCTAGGTTTGACTGTTATTTTTCCTGAAAGCAGAAAGATCCCTAATGAAAATTAACATTTAAACCATTGCTTAAAATGGAGAGCAGTTTCATGTTGGATAATATTAAATAACAACAAATTTCATATTTGGCTCTGTCTGAAGTCCTGACTAAATTCCATTACTCAAGAAGCTAATAAAAATATTTTTTAAGATTTTCTTACCAAGTTATGATTTTTCTCAGACTCCCTTGGACTTCCTAAGTTCCTGGTAGTTTCATGCATTTGTCTTTTACGAGATATCGACTTTTCAGCAAGTATTTTGAAAAAGAGGGGGTTTCTCGCAGAGGAAAAGGTTCAGAAGCTATTAGCATGGATTTTAGAAAAAGAAGCTGAAAATTCTGGCAGGAGAGAGAAGGTCAACTTCGTTCAATATTTATTTAGTATTGCAAAGTCAGTTCAGACTTTGGAAATGAGAGTTTTGGAAAGGACTCTATTCTTAGAGCCTCCCTTGGGACTTCTGCTCCCACAGCCAAAAGCTCAGGACCCCCAAGGGCACTAGGAGCCAGGCGTGGTCAGGGGATGGTGGCCAAAGTGCTGCATCACTCAACCAATCCCATGAGGGCAGCTGTGGATCAGCCCGGCTGGGGGCTCCCATCCCCATAGAAAACTGGCCAGGGCCCCACAGTGAAGGGGATCAGGTCGGGGCCAGGGTTGCTTCTAACCAAGTTGCCCCAGTTAATGTGGCAGAGCATAGGACAAACACAGCTGAAATTAAGAAGCAAGCTCTATCATCAGGCCCTTTTTCAGACAAGGAAACTGAGACTCAAAGCAGCAAATTGTCCACTTACAGCCCCACAGGCTGTGGGTGGCCTGGATTTCTCCTGAGGATGTGCCACGCAGAGTTTCCATGAGTGGCTGCCAGGTCCCTGAGCATCTCCCCCAGGCACAGCACAGGCTTGGCCTGCGCCTCACAGCTGAACTCCCTCCCTACATTGGACCCCCAGGGCCAGGCTAGAAAGCCTTGGATTTGTGGGACAGACACACACTCCACAGCCAGTATTTTTGTAAATAGAAGTAGCATCAACCCATTTCTGGCAGATGGTACCTGGACAGCTGGAGTCCTGTTTGGTTTCCTTTGCAGAAATCTACTGATTTCTGATGGTGGACAGCCAAGGAAATCCAAATTCCCATAATTTAGACAGAAGAGCCTGAAGTTGGCAGGCATCAGATAAGACTGAATCTCCGTGTTCCCATCTAAGGGTAAAATTAAACTTATCTTTGTTAATCAGCCAAGAGCCACTAACACCCGCTACAAAAGCGCCTGCGGGGATAAGCGCAGATGCAGGAACGGCAGCCCCTGGACCTGGGTAGAGGCTGCAGCAGAGGGCTCTGGGGACAGTGCCTTCCTCTCAGCTGCCTGCCAGGCCGGCAGGCACTAATTATTTTCAATAAAATAAATGTCATAAAATCTTTAACGTTGTTGGAAAATAGTTAGCAAGGAGATAATGGGTTTTTTTTTTTCTGCAACTGCTAATGACCCAGCATGAGAACATTTCACCCAGAATAACTTGTTTTCTTTATATTTCTTCTTAGTTTCATGAAGTCAAGATTCATAATGTCAGAAAGAAACATTTTAAAGGTGTTATATGCATAGACTGAGAAGAAACAAAGCTCAACTCCTGAGTTTTATGGTTGACACTCAGATCATTTTTGCGTATCTGCTTCTCAAATCCGTCAGCGGCCATCAGGTATTTGTGTCCCGGCTTCTCACCAGGATCACCTGCAGAGCTTGCCAGCGACCATGGCTAGGCCCCAGGCCAGGAGCTCCCACATTGTTCAGGGGATTCTAAAGTGCACCCCAAACCCCAGCAGCCCACTCTGGCTCCCCCATCCTTCCTGGGCACATTCCCTTCCAAGCACACAGGCCTCATTTCTATACTTAAACCTGCTGAATTCATTCCTGCCTCAGGGCTTCTGCACACCCTCTCTTTCCCCTCTTCAGGCCCGTCCTTTGCCCCTTCCATTGCTGACACCTTCCCATTATCTGGGTCTTAAATCAAGTGTCTTTCTTCCCTCTCATTCGTTATCACTTTCCCTTCACAGAATTTATCATGACCTAAAACCATCTTGGTTATTCTGGTTTGCATTCATTTCATTTTAATATATTGTAACTACTTCAAAACTTAAGTGAAAATATGCATACTTAATAGGGTCAGTTTTCTTTTGGGGGTGATAAAAATGTTCTGCAGTTAGATAGAGACCATGCTGGCACAACACTGAGAATGTAAAAGCCGCTGAATTGTACGCCTCAAAACGGTTAAAATGGTGAATTTTATGATATGTGAATTTTACCTCAATTTTAAAAAATACTTCTTTCATGACTCTTACACAAGCATATTTCAAATTTCTTTTTTTAATTGGCATATAATAATTATACATATGTATGGGCTACAGAGTGAAGCTTCCACACATATAATGTATAGTGGTCAGATTTGGGTAATTAGCTTATCAATCATCTCAGATATTTTGAGTTCGAGTCAAATTCTTTCAGGCATGTCTCTGATTAGGAGGTTCTTTTATTTCCCTGAAATTCAAAACTGGACATATCTATTCAAGAAAATTATAGAAATTATTATATTGCTACTTATCTTTATGAATTGGAATTTTTTGGAACCACATGAGGAAGATCAAGATAGGAAAATATTGAAACAACTGAAAGTATCCAGGTTGACCAAAATGTCCTTTACATTTTTGTTGACTGGCTTAATTACAAATAAATAAGCATCGTCAATGAGAAATTATAAAGAAATTTACAAAATGCTGTCTTTAATATAGAAATTTTATATATTTGGACTTCATATAAGATCTTGTTTGAGAAAGAATACTTTTGCTGCTAAGGAAGTTTGAATATTTTTGAGCTAAATCAACTTGAAGGCCCTAACATCCTGCAAACCTGACACAAGTTACTGGACCACGTGCAGGTCATCCCCCAGAGGCTGCTCCCGGGGCTCCTGGAGGAGACTTAAATGTTGCCCGGCACCACCTTCAACACAGCAGCGTATGTGTTCTCCACACCTGAGAAGTATTTCTCCTTAACTCACTGAGTCAGAGTTCATAGGCTTCCCTCAGGAGGGGTAAGACCCACCCCACTCCACCCTATCTGGCAAGAATCCTTTGTGTTTACAGCACAGTAGGAATGCAGGCATGGAGGCAACCTCTGAGCTGACTGCAAGCAAAGTCCCAGGGAGATGATGTGGGTTGGCAAGGAAGGAAGAGGCATGAGGAAGCCATCAGGGTGGAAAGGAGCAGCCACCGTGTCCCTTCAAAGAAAACTCCCAGCACTGGTCCTGGAAGGGACTTTAGCGGCGTCTTACCCACTACTGCCCTACTATAGACTGAAAATAATGAGACTCCGGGGAGAGAAGGGTTTGCCCAGAGCCCCACTCTCTTCAGTACAGGATTGTCCTAGTGGATAAAAAAAATTGCAGAATCCCTCTCCTGAGTCATTCACAATATGTTCTTGCCTTTTGCTAGTGCTTTGTCTTCTAGAACTTTCCAGACAGCACCCCACCCCTTCCTTCAGAAGCAAGGTTCCATGTTGTCTCAGTTGTGCCTGTTTCCTTTTCCAGAATTTCATTGCAATTTCCCCCATTTCTGTAACGTTTGCTCAGACTCTGTGTTGTTTAGTCAGTTGTTAGGAATCTCTTAGACTCCTGTTGTCAGTGAGGAGCCAAGCAGACACACTTGTAGACGCAACACACAGAGCAGACCCAAGTTTCTGCCACTAGGGCTGGACCACACAGGCACCTTCCCTTCCAGGCTGCAGGGTCCCCCATTGGCAGTGGCCTCGTCTCCAGGACTTTCCTGCTCTAGAACTCAGAGAAGAAGCTGCCACACCAATACTAGCATGTGACAAATAGCAGCAGACAGGCTGAGCAATTAAACAGACCCCAAATGCTTGTCAGTGGGGCTGGGCCTCACCGAGGACCAGGTAGACTATCCAGAGCATGGCCTTGCCCACCACTCAATTGACAGCTGCAGCTGAAGCCACGTGGAGGATGTCTGCCCTGTGTGGCTGAGGGAGAGTCTGAGGGTCCCCTCTCCTGCCAGGCTCCCCTGCATCAGGATACAGATGTCCAGGGGCACATGTAGACAGCCATCAGACCACCTCACGAGGGGCCTTGGGGATGTGCCCGAGGTGAGCACCTGAGTTAACTGTGTTAGCCCACTGCCAGGTGTTGGCTGTGTAAGCTGGGTTACCTGGCTTAGCTATATTACTTGAGTTAACTCACTACCCTGTGTTACCTGTATTAGCCCATGACTCTGTCACCTGTGTTACCTGCATTAGCTCACCGCCCTGTTACCTGAGTTACCTGCGTTAGCTCACTGTCCTTGATGGTGCCTCTCAAAGCACCTGTGGTAAAGGGATCCAGGTGTGTGTTTTAATATCCATTCCATTGAAAACTGTTCCTCTTGTAAAATAAGTATGGTCCTAGAAAAATGAAATGAAGACAAAACACAAATCCCATTTTTTGTTAGATTCAACAGATATGAAATTACTCTGCCTAATTGCTGTAAAGTTCACATTGATTTACTCTCAATTTCTGTTCTTCCCTGTTGCGAGCCAGTGAGACACCCAGCCCTGGTCAGCCGGCCACATCCAGGAGCCTGGTGTGGCCCTCAACCAGTCCTCACCACAAACCTAGGATGCTGGCCCTGCTCCTGTCCTACAGATGGGAAAACTCAAGCCCAAGATTGTAGAGTCTCAGCCCAGGCCTTTGCCCTGCCAAACACCTGGGCACACCTGTGAGCCTAGCTCCTTCCTGACCTCCAGCATGATCAGGGACAGCAGGGACAAAGATCAGAGACGAAGATGACCCAACATGTGTTCTCCCTTGAGGAGGACCACAGATGCCTGAGATCAATGGGTGGACAACCCATGACTGCATCATGGTGTGACAGAGAAACGGTTGGCAGGCCACATGCAACCACAGAGCAGGGAAGAAGAGAATCCTCCCTGCCAGTACAGGGAGAGCCCCTTTCAGCCCCTGGCTCATGCCCCAACCTGGAGACTCAGTTTCACCTGCTCAGCCCTCTCCACACCTGACCTCGAGTTCCACAAACAGAGATGATGATTTATGTGTTTTCACTTCCATCCCCCTTCCCACCTAGCAAGGCATCTGCTCATAAGCAATATCCACAAGAAGTTATTTAAAGGAAATAATCAGCAGAAGAGAAAGTTGGGATGCAGTGGCCTCTTCAAGTCCCCTGCACACCCCCACCCATGCATCCTGTCACAATGACTGTAGTGTGTGAATTCCTATTACTCCCTTTACAGAGGAAGAAAAGAGGTACTCTTGCCCAATATTTTCTTGGGCCTCTGGGCCATCCAGGGCCACAGCCATAGTCCAGGGGTTGAGTTTTGTCTATGCAGCCTCCCCTACTGACCATGAACTCCTCAGGGGCAGGAACATGCTCATCCCTGTCCCATAACTCCAGGCAAGTGGCCCACCAAGGGGCCAAGCACAAGACATCTGCCCTGATATCGGTTGTTCCAGAAACACTAGCGCCTTCTGGGGCCCCATTCTTGCTGCCAAGACTTAAGTAGTCACAAAAACCTACTGTCCCCTATCCTGCTGGTTGAAAGAAAGTATTTAGGGCAACTCAGAGACACTAAGGAAGGAAATGCTTTTCAAACTTTGCAGACTGTAACATGCAAAGGGTTTGAATGTCTCATAGTGAAGTTTTTGTTTTAAGGAACCTGAATATAAAATTAGGAATGAGCTGGAATGCTGTCTTGGACTCCTCGGAGCCTGGAATTTCTCCGACCTTCCCCATAATTGGAGCTGCCCCGTGAGTCTGAACACGCACCCTGTGTGGACGTGAGTTCACTCAGTGAAAAGCTCCCGCTTGCTTAACTCTCACAGCTCACCTTTAAGTGTTTGCGTGGGTGACTTCTTCTGTTGCCCAGACAACCACACTGTCACCGGGCATTTAGCTGTTGACACGTTAGGCATGTTTCACTGCATAGTGAATCAGCATTCTCTGTCTCTGGAATGAAACGAGGAAATTAAACATCAGAAACTTCTAAAGTGGCAGGAGGGCTGAAGTAAGAAATGCACAAGAGGTGACTCATCCTACTTTGATTCTGTGCCTTGGCCACAGACACAAGTTAACCCTGTAATGCCCACTTGGGAACAGTGGCTCCCGGCTCTTAGGCATGCCCAGCCCCTGGCTGCAGCAGGCTCTGACAAGGCTCTGGTGAGAGATGGCAAATACAGTGCCTTTGGGGCCAGCAGACAGCATCATTGCATGGAGAGGTGAGAAGTGAAAAATGCCAGCTCACCCTAAATGCACTCAAATCCCTGTCTTTTCCTCAGTACAGGTCAAAAGAATGATCCAGATTCAGCTCAACTGTGATCCCTGAGATATTCTTTCATGAAATAATTCTTGTAGCCAACACCCTATTGGGACAACCCTTGCTGATTCTGAAAGGTTGTCTATGTCCCTTATTTACTTCCAGCTTCATAATGTCATAGAGATTCTAAGGTGGGGATTCCCATTCATCCCTTTACAAGGGAAGAAAGGAGACACTCTTGACCAAGATCTTTAGACAGACAGCAGAACCGTATAGTTGACTCTGAGATTAAAAACCCAGTGCTCTTTACTCAATAAAATGCTGCCTCTCTAGTGAAATAAGTTAATGCACCTTTATAAATCACCTTATTTTGTGGTTACTCCTTATTTTGAGCCTTATTTCCAGTGGGTTCTCTGGCTGCTCTACCATGTAGTCTTGTTGAACTCCTCATCTGGAAGGGCCACATCTATCATGTGGGGTAAATGAGATCATTTCAGACCTTGGAGTCATAGACCATGAAGAACCTTGGAGGTAAATGGAGAAGAGTAAAGGGCACCATCATTGCTGCCCAGCCCCATCCACCGCACCCGGCACCCACCACCCTGCACTAAGTCCGAGGACAGCAAAGAGGCCAAGTGCTCCTCTCCAAGGGTGTCCCATGTCTTTCTGGGCACCAGATAGTGGGGCCTGTGGTTAATTCCCAGAATGCTGAAAATGTAGGGTTGTATGAAGATAAAAGAAAATAATATGTGTCTAGTATTATGTAAACTGCAAAGAGTAACATCCAAGGAGGGCGTTACCCCATGAGAAATCAACAGACTTGCTACAGCCCATACACAGTATCTGAGGGCGGCTTTGCTGAGGGGCTGGGGTCCTGGGGAGCTGCACCACTTCCAACACCCAAAGCCACCAAAAATTTCCCTCCACTTTGAGCTTTATCTTCCTGTGTTCCCATAGCGTTATGAAGAGAATCCAGAGATGACACCAGCCTTGCTGAGTGCACCTGGTGATGTTTGCTTTAAGGCCAGGGGGTCTTTAGAGAGACCATGACTCATGCTGGGGAGTGGAGCTGAGAGAACAGGGGGTCCCCATCCTCAAGGAGCCCCACACAATGGCAGCTGCAGACATGGAAAGAGAAAGTTATGAGGAAAACAAAGTAAGTTCTACAATAAAGCTCAGAGCCACTTGTCCTTTAACCAGACTGGCTGAGCTGATCCCAACAGGCTGGTGAAGAAAGGAGAGCCCCACCTGCTAAGAAGATTCTGGACACCAAGACCACGGTAGTATTTGAGGATGACCCCTGGGATGCACACAGGGACATGGGTTGCACCTAGAGGGGACGTCAAGGATTCCTCAGGCCCTGGGAGTGTCCAGGAGATGGATGAAGCCCTCCCAAGGTTGGCAGAGCAAGGGCTCCCACCCAGAGCCCTTTCCCGGGTGGATGGAGGAGCCCCTATCACCTCCATGTGTCTGTAGCATGCAGCTCTTCACTTCCCCACCCAGGACCTTTGATTCCCATCTGATTAATAAGGTTAAATTAGCTGGTTCTCTAAGGGGACTCCTGAAACCCCATCCTGCTGGGAAATCCAGATGTAGAACCCAGGGCACTGCATGGGCAGCACCAGTGCCTATCTCCACCTCCCAGCCCTGGTGAGGATGGCAGGGGAGGTGCTGGAACATCCTCCTGGGGCCATCGAGCCTGTCATGCTGAGGCTGGGCACTGCCCTGCTGAACATTCCCAGTGCCCTCAGTGCCAAGTTCTTGGGGGCCCTGGTGGATGCTCCACTCCACACTGATGGGCCTCGAGGAGAGGGAAGCATCCTGCAGAAGGGACACGTGGAGTCTCCCGGAGCTGCCCTGAGACCAACCTCAGGACCCAGCCTCTGGGCTGACCCAGCTGAGTGTCCAATCTCACTTCACACAGCCTCTAAAACCACAAGCTCCTGCCATCTCCCTCACCTGCCCAAAGAGGCTTCAGCTTTCTTTCTTCCTGGACCTCATCCAAACCCTCCCTCTGGGCATCATCCTCAAAGTCTTGGTGCCTCGGTGCTTTGAAGGGAAGTGCAAATGTCATTGGCAGCCCCCAGCCCTCTCGGGAGCCCAGTGGTGCCGCCCGTGCAGCTTGCTGGCCCTGGAAGCTGAGTGCTTGGAGCTGCTATGTGGACACTCCTGTAGGGAAGAGGGTGCCCCATTCATTTGGGATGAGTCTTCACATCAATTTTGTTGTGCCCAGCCTTCACCCCACCTGAGGGGTGCCTGAGGACAAGGACACTGCTACATTTTGAGTGTGTCCCCCAAAAGTTCATGTGATAGGAGGTGGAACCTAACAGAAGGTGTTTGGGTCTTGAGAACTCACCCTCATGAATGGGTTAATGCCATTCTCACAAGACTGGGTCAGTTCTCACGGGAATTGACTCACCCTCACAAGAGCAGTTTGTGACAGGTTGAGGAAGCCTCTCATGGCTGGCCTTTTGCACATACTTGCTTCCCCTGCTGCTTCTCTGCCATGTTAGGGTGCAGCACAAGGTCCTCATGAGAAGCCAGCCCCATGCTTCCTGGACTTCACAGCCTCCAGAACCATGAGCCAAATCAACCTCTTTTCTTAAGTGTTAGAGCTCTTTTAGAATTTGTCTAGCAGGCTTTTCAGGTTTTGCTGGAAAGCAATCCCCCAACCAAAAAAAAAAAAAACCCTCTTTTCTTTATAAATTACGTAGTCTCAGGCATTCTGTTATAGCAACACTAAATGGACTAAGACAGACACCCTTGAGCAGAGATAGGGGCTCCTGCCATCCACTAGCTCTACCATGTCTGCAAAAACATTACTACATTTCCTCATCTTTAAAAAGTAGATACAACCCCACTCGAATGATGACTTCGAGAATTAGGATGCGTGATGCTGATGCCGGGTGAGCATTCAGTCTGTGGTGCTGCCTCATCTACCCCTGGAGGGATCAATATCACACATAAGCTCAGCCACCTGCCTCAGGGCACATTTTAAAAGCTGTCAGTGTGTTAAACGCACCCGTTTCATCGTTGTTGTCTCAGCCTTTGAGCACTGTGCTCCATGTGCCTCATGCACCTCCAAGGAGCCCAGCCATATCCTTCCCCGTCAGCCCCCCATGGTCTGTGTGTACCCACAGATCATGCTGTTCCCTTCCCCATGCACTCAACATCACTTGGCTCTTTAGGGACAGTTTTCATCCCCTCTTCACTCCTGCTGTCATTCCCAGAACCAGGCGCCAGTGGGCACAGAGGAGGTGCTGGAAGCCCATGGAAATCTGCCAGTGCATTCAAGGTGAGAGCAGGGTCAACTCAGGCAACAGGGCTCTGAATTTAAACCTAGGGAGAAGAGCACCGAGGGCGTGGGCTGGGCTCAGTCCCCAGGCAGGGGGAGCTATGTGGCTGGTATGTGGGGGTGTAGGATATTTCTATTCTGGGACCTTCTCCATGACTCCCTATGAATAGGAACTCTGGGAGGAGAGAACTTCCCCAGCCCTTCCTTGGGTGCTGCCCCCACGGAAAAAAGGAGCATCACTGACCATCAGAGAGGTGACACTGACATTGACCAGAGGGTTTAGTGTGAGTAGCATGGAGGCAGAAAAATGCTGAGAACCATGTGTCAGCACATGGGCTGTTAAGGAAACCCCCGGAGGGGGAGAGCACACTGACTCTAGTAACTAGGGAGCATTTGGAGATGCTGCATAGCAAGCAGACACCCCCATCCCGGGAGGCTGAGCCACCTCCTGATGGTCATCACTGTGCTTTACACAACAGGCCGATTGTGTGGGGGTTTCCATTTCCTGCCTGGGATGGGCAGCGGGCAGCTGCGTGAGGGCTGCCAACTCTCTGAAGCTCTATCTAAACAAATAAATAGGCTCTCCAGAATGAAAGGGGCTTTGTGCATTGTTCTGTTGACTTTGGGAAAGGAAAGCACAATTAACAAATGACCACAGAGGGGACACAGGGGGCAAGGGATCAAGTTGGTTCTCCAAGGCCAGACCCACGCCCAGGAGACAGTAGTGGATGCTGGAGAAGCAGCCGGTGGAAGCGGCAGCATCCCATCCATCTCCAAGGCAGGCCTCCCTAGAGGATCCCGGCAACTTTAAGTCTCCAGTTCCTCCTTGAGGGTGTAAGGACAGCCACGGTGCCTGTGGACGGCATTGCTGAGAAGATGGAATCACATGAATAAAATAACTGTGCAGTGGGTGCCTCCCAGGTCCTGATCCTCAGCAACTGGCTCCTCAGGATCCCCACCTGGCCAACAACCTAAGGGTTCGGTTCTGGCGTGAGTGCTGATAGGCCCTCACTTTTCTGAGTCTCCCAAAATCTACGTCAATGTCAAATGGAAGTTTTAGTCATAGTAATAATAACACTAGAACCCACTCGAAGGTGCTGCAGTGTAGTTTAAATGAGATGCTGCAGCATGAAATTTTCTCTAGAGTAAAAATGTAAAGCATTGCATTTATTTTAAATAAAAACGTATTACAGAACAGAATACAAACTATGTGTCCGTTTTTGAGATGAACCGTGATAATTCCAGCTCTGTGTCCACTCCCCCAGGGTGTACAGGGAAAATGTTCCAGAATATTCTGTGCTTAGCTCAGGACTCTGTGAGGTGGGGGAGCTTCTGGGGGTGGGGGAGCCCCAGGACAGCAGAAGCTGCAGTTGGTGTTTCTCAAGGCCCCTCGGGACCGTCTGCTGTGGGTGGCATCCACGTCTATGCTCTTTTCCGAATGAGAAAAGCGCAGGTGGAAATGGGAAAGGTGCAGGAAGACACCGAGTGGAAAGGAAATCAGGCAGCTCCTTCAGAAAACAGGAGAGTTACTTCCTCTGGCTCAGCCCTCTTCACTCACACCCACATCCTGGGTCTCACCTCCGAAAAGACTCTTGGTCACAAGTGACCTGGGGTGTCTGCCCAGTTCTGCACCGACACCAACAGCCACCTGCCCTGTCCCAGCTTCTGTCTTCCCCCTCCACTTGTCTTCCCCAAATGCAGCCTGACCACGCCCTCACTTGTTCCACAGCTCTCCAGGGCCCCATAAACCAGCCATAGGGCTGCCTGCATTCCCCCTGCCCACAGGGGCTTGTGCCTCCCCAGCCAACTAGCACCTGACATTCCTACATCCCAGCCGCACAGTCGCCCTGCCTGGGGACTGAGCCCAGCCCACACCGTGGGTGCTCTGTTCCCACGGTTTCCCTCAGCCCCAAGCTGTCACCATCATCCTCTGTGGCCGTTCCACATCCTGGGCTGGACCTTGTCTTTGGTCTCACGGACCTTGGGTCCAACCATGCAGGAAATGAACAAAAGATGCTTTCTCATATCAGGAAGATAACAAGTGAGGCCAAAGATCATAAATCAGAGGGTAGGGGAAGGGAGTGGCAGCCAATGTGAATGGGGTGTACTGAAAGGCCTTTCCTAAGACTCAGGTGTTTCACATGGCTATGAGGTCTGAGACCCCACCCAGCTGGGAATATCTCTTGGGCCCAAATCCCATGTGCCCTTCAGGGCCCAGCCCAAAGACTACACCCCTCAAATTCATTGTTCTTTTTTCTTTATTTATTTATTTCTTTTTTTTGAGACGGAGTCTCCCTCTATCACCCAGGCTGGAGTGCAGTCGTGCGATCTCAGCTTACTGCAACCTCTGCCTCCCGGGTTCTAGTTATTCTCCTGCCTCAGCCTCCCAAGTAGCTGAGATTACAGGTGCACACCACCACACCTGGCTAATTTTTGTATTTTTGGTAGAAATGGGGTTTCACCATGTTGGCCAGGCTGGTCTCGAACTCCTGACCTCAAGTGATCCACCTGTCTCAGCTTCCCAAAGTGCTGAGATTACAGGCATAAACCACCACACCCAGTGAAATTCATTCTTCTTAACCCACATTTCACCACAGTGAGACAGGAAAGGATGGCACCCAGACGCTATTGGTGCACATAGCGTAACCTTGGGAAAGCCAGAGCTGGCTGGCTTAGGGGACAAGCCCCTGGCCACAGGGGGATGTTCTCCAGTATTCTCACTCTCATTCGTGCACTCAACAAGCAGTTTCTGGAGCCCACCCATGCCAAACGCTAGGGATACAGTGTCCTGGACAGATGGGCTCCCCGTGGTGCTGAACTCTTTGTGGAACAGACAAAGAGGGAACAAAGCAAGTAAATTTCAAAGGCAGGTACAGATATAAAATGATGTAAGTACTTTAAAAAGAAATCTCTGGGACCTGATGATTCAGAGTGAGGAGGGTGACTTCCCTCAGGGACATACCAGGGAAGGCCTCTCTGAAGAGGGCTGGGAAGGGACCCTGAGGGAGGAACATGCTGCAAGATGGGTCTAGGACACCCAGGGAGCAGGGAGGGAGGCAGGCAGGAGCCAGGCCTGTTGACCACATGAGAGTCGAGATTTCATTCTAGTTTCAACAGAAATCTTCCAAAGAGCGTACCACAAAGGAGCAATGCTGTAGCAAAAGTTTGGGGGAGAGAAGGTAAAAAGAGTGGGTGAATTGAAGGACTGAGCAATAAAGGAATGGGCCTAGATATAAAGGTGAAGGCCCACGTCTCTTGTTTATGTGTTTCTCCTGGTTGGTGATGGATTCACTCTCTGAGGGAGGAGTTCTTTCATCCACCCCAAGGCTGGAAGCATCTCCAAATCGATGACCTTGCGGCTTTAGGACCACAGAGAAACATATATGCCCCACGCCAGCTCCAGATGCAGTCCCAGGGAAGGATTGCCTTTGGCTTGGGATGGGTCATGTGCCCAGGCCCAGACCTTAGCAAACCATGCTAAGGACTGTAACTGGCAGCTCACACCCAAAACCGTGCTTCTGGAAGGTAGAGAGGAGTGCCTTGAAATAAAGGGGTCATTTTTCTGTGCAGACAACATTGCAATCTCCCAGAAGTGCTGATGAAACTGAGCTCTGAAGGGAAGAAGAAATCTGAGTTTCCAAGGAGCAGAGGTTTAAGAGACGTGGAGTCTGTAGGCAGACAGCTTTCACTGAATTCAAATGAGAGATTGAACTAGGATAGTTTCTCACAGAAATAGGAGAAACAGACTGGATAAAGGAAATGAAATAAAAAGCAAAGTAAACAGAACTGGAGGAAGAAATGAGAGCTTCAAAAACTTCAAACTGAGAAGGGCAGAGGAAAAGAGAAGCCACACTCAGGATCCAGGTGAATGTGGATGGTGCCCACAGTTCCTCTGTCTCAATGTCAGCTCTCAGGTCAGCACCAGGAGCTCAGTCATTTCCATGTGCAAGAGCTGAGACCTTCAAATCTAAAAGAGGTCTTGCAATCTGTGCCCAACCGTGCTCATTCTGAGTGGAATGAGAATTCCACACTCCAACCCAAACCCAGTGAGCCTTTAATGGCATATTCTTAAGCGGCAGACTTGGATTCAGGGCAGGAAATGCCATCTGAGCTTATAAAGCCTTCAGCAGAGGAATATCAGCTCTAGAAACCCCAAACAGAAGCAGGCCTGGCCAAGCTAGAGACCTACAGATGCAACACACCATGGGCTAGAATTTTTAGCACAAAGGGCACTTTTATCACAAAAGGCTAGAAAAACAGTCCTGTCCATTTTTAGAAGTCTATCAAAATATCCTGTCAAAATGAAACAAAATACAATAATAAAAAATTCATAGCAGCAGGGCATGAAGATGAGGGTCTAAGGCAGCCCAGGAGGCCACCCACACACCAGTCTCCGAGTGTCCTTGCCAAATCTCTCTCTGGACATTCCCTCAACCCAACCAATTCTCCCCAAGTCCAAAACACAGCCTCTGCGCATCCTTCCCAACCTCTCCTCTCCCTCACTCTCTAGCTTGCAAACTCCTAGTTACCTTCAAGGCCAGGCCCAAGTGTCACTGGGTCTCGGCAGCCTTCCCAATGCCCCAGGCAGGCACAACCACCCCCTGCCTGGGCAGCCACACCAGTCTCTCTATACTGCTGATCTCCCAGCCCTGACCTGAACGAGTACCACCTTTTGCCATGTGCCCTGCTGAACGTGGGCTCCTCCCAACTAGGGCTCTGTGCCTGGGCTCTGGCCCGGAGCCCCATACACTCCAGACTGGGTAAATGTTGGATAACTATTTGGTGATTGATACAAGGCTTCTGACACAAAGAGAACTGCCCAGAGGTTATTTTCCATTCCCCCAAAAAACTCCAAAAGAACAAGGGTTCCAAACCACTCTTTTCCCTGCTTCCAAAAGACTTTCTGAAAATGAACCCAGCATCTGGAAATTAACTCACTGTGTAACTGTTTCTAAATAGGACAGGTGGACCCCAAAGCGTCTTTCCTCATGGGCTGTCTCAGCTGCCAGGGCAAATGTGTCAATTGCTGTCCTATAAAAGCACGAGGCCACCTCAATTCCAGAAATAAGCAGCAAGGAGCATTGAATATGCAGCGGCCACAGGAAGCGGCAGGACTATACGAATGGAAGCTTCCCACGTAGATTGGTATGTTTCAGCTGATTGGCAGGTAGATGACCAGGTTAAGCACTAAGCGATAAAGCGCACACCCACTGGCTTTTGTGATGTGCATCTCTCTGTCCCTCGGGAGCTTGGATGTTTCTTTTTGGATGGGCCCAAGAGGGTAGCAACAGTTGCTCACTCCAGAAGATGGCAAATACTTGCCCACCCTTTGTCACTGGCCTTAGAGTGACTAGAGGACATAATTAATCATTAAGACACTCCTTCCTGCCAGCATGGGCAAGCCTTCAGAATTCTTCTCCACTCGCACCATGGAAATTCCCTGTCACCCCTGGAATAAATTACTTTCTGTTAAGTGTAGAATCCAGGCAGGTAAGCAAGGTCAGAATGTTAGCCAGGGATTCACTTTGCGATATTTATGGTCCCCTCAGATTTAATGGTATAATCTGATATATATCCAAACAAAATGATATCATCTGATATGAAACAAAATGAGTGCACAGAGGGGTAGAAAACAATGTGTCCTTAATTCAGTTTCTCCAGAACACTTGGCATCCGCCCTGCCGGCCTCGAGGAAGGAGCGCAGCTCCGTGAAGGGTGGGGACATTCCCACAAGAGAGAAAGCAGAATACAAAACAGGACACAGCCTCATCTCTTTGCAACTAAATTTTCAAAATCTTCCATCTAGATGACTCTTAGTTGAGGAGATTCTTCATCTAAAGAGAACTGAATATTCCTCACGTTTGGACGTTAATCAGAAAAAGGCAAATCAGAAGGGAGAGAAATCCTGACTTGGGAAGGTCAGCATGCAACAGATACTACCCCAGATCTCCAACACCAGGCACAAGGATTTATAGCTAATCAGACGCTTAATACAGTCTATTCATCAAGTTTCTGTAGCCATTGGACACTTACCATACCTGGGCAAAGGGGCAAAGGGGGAAAGTTTGAAAGATGAAAGAGATGTGTGTCCACCCACATAGAAAGAGCCGGGACACGTTGTGGAAAGCAAGTTGCTACATCAATAGAGCCCGCCCTTGGCCCATTTAAAGGAAGGGCATGGAAGCAGCACTTATGGAGCCTGCAGGGGCTCACCAGGCAATGGCTCTGTTCACCTCCGCGGGGAGAGAGGGCTGGGAGGGCAGGTGAGCGAGAACCAGCACATCTGAGTCTGTCTATTCCTGTGTTGTTGGAATAGTTTCTCTGAAAAACAAAAAAGGATCAGAAGAGACAGAGAGAGAGGGAGAATATAAGCTCCTTCCCCTAGGCCCCGCCTGTCAATCCAAGGAGAAGGCCCTACCTGGAGGCCCAGGATTGTGTGCCTTAGAGGATGTGGGCACTGACCAAATGGGTTCTTGTCAGGTGAGCAGCAGGCACCAGGGGTGGGAGAGGCAGGAAAGCCAGGCCCACCCTCAGGAGAAGGGTGGGAAGTCTCCTGAGCCCTGGGGAGCTCCGGCAGGACACCCTTACCTTTGGGTTTGCCATCTTTTCCAGTCTGTTTCCTGCATTAACTGGCAGGATCCCCCTTTGCTGAGATGACACAGGAAAAAGAACAGCCACAGCCCTCACTCTCTGTGGCCTGGACTGTGAGGACCTTGGGGGTGAGGCAACCAGGCCCGCCCAGGGAGTGGGAGTCAGGCTGAGCTCCCCAACCCTTGGGAATGGGCAGGCATCTCACAGGTGCTCAATTCTTCTCTCATACCATTTTTTTATCTGTTAGAGAAAGGCACCAAAAAGAAGCTTGCCTGGGTCAGAAAAGCAAGCGTGCCCCAGCAAATCCCCTCTCCAGCAGCGACGGAGAGCACAGGACAGCAGCAAGGGGCAGACCTGGCCACCTCCAACTTCCACATTTGAGGGTCAGACTCAGGCTGGGGAAGACCACCTGCCCAAGGTCACCTTGTTCAGGTTCAAGTCAGAGCTAAGGGCTCAGTGGGTCCATTCTGAAGGGGAAAGGCTGTGAGTGAGTCTCAGGGAGGCTGGGATTGCCCTGGAGTAAACTTTTGCAGCGTTCTATGCATGATTCTGAGCCAGGGGATCCCTTCTAATCCACCTTTGGGAGGATACAGCACTTCTGTGTTGTGGTTGGAATAGGAAGACCACAGCCCTGGAAGGTTAAGAACTTACTCCTTTTCCCAGTTTATGAATGTATGACCTATTTATGACCTATGAATTTATTAATCTATTCTCTTGGTTCAAGTCTGTTCTCACTGAGAATTTGAGGCAAAGTCTTTGGGGAGACTGGGCCAGACCAGCTATGGAGAGGCAGCAGGAAGGGCTTGAGAGAGCACCCACAGTGGGAGGGAAGCCTGACGGAGTCTTCCATCTTATATATAAAAATATAAGTAAACTTACATTTTATATGACCTTGCCCTAGCTCTTTGAGGTCCCAATTCCCCTGGGTCAGGAAAAGATCATCCCTGAGAAAACAGAGGTCCTCATGGTTGACCATGCTGCAACTTGGAATGAGGCTCTCCTTGCAGGACAGAGGGGGCAGCACATTAGGCCTGGATCCCAAAGTGCAGAGATTCCTTTTGGGAAAGTTTAGGGCCAGATCCAGATGTGTGGTTCTACCAGCAGCCGGTTCTAGGGAGGTAATGTCATCCTCCGTATTCAGCTGTTTCCCCCAAGATTTTATAGAGTACATATTGGTAGCATTAACAAAGTGAGCTGTGGAGTCTACTTTTCGGGAACAGCCATACAATAGTTGGGGCAAGTCAGCGTACAAGACAATGGCCTGCATTCAGGCAAAGGGAGGCCAACCCAGAAAGCCCCAGAAACTCTGAAACATCGCAAAATATAAAGGAGACCCCCAGATCTGCGAAGGGCTGAGGAGATAGCAGCACAAGTCCACACATTCTTGAAGGAGAGGAGGGGATCTGGAAGAACAAAATTGGAAAGGAGCATCGCACACAGACAGCTAGCAACATACAGAGAAATACTCAAACCCTACTAGCCATCAGCAAACTGCAGGTTCACCTGACATCCCATCCAGAGGTTTTATATCCTCAAACCACAACCAAAACATGTAAACCCATTGAGTCAGCCGGGCTGCACCAGGACGGACTCTACTTCAGAGATTTCTGTAACTTCCTGCTTCTGGTAAAGCTGAAAACGCCCTCATGATGGATTTTCTGATGGTTTTAACCCAATGCTAACAACCTTCCTTGGAACAGGCACTGCTGAAAACAGTGCAAAGTCACCGCCACTTCCTGGGATCTTAGGGGGTGTTTGGTTTTTGAGCAAAACTGTTTTCTGAGATTCACACTCAAGACCTCATGGGGATCTTACAAAGGGGACAAAGAACCAAAATGTGTCCTGTCTCTAACTATGCCAGGCAGGCAGAGGAAACAGGCCAGGTTCTAACAGCAAGAGGTTGATAAAAAGGCTCAGTTCTATGAGACAAGACAAGGTGTGTAACATCGGTTTTATAAAATGATGGAATTGATTCACATACTAAGGACTTTTCTGACTGAAAAATTTTGATAGTGTGGATTGCTAAGTATAAAATAACTTTTCCTTGATGTATTTTTTGTTTGTTTGTTTAAACTGGGAAGTTGGATATGAGTATGCACTTGTAGAAACATGTGGTCATGCGCGCCCAGACCTGCATGGTGGGTTCGAACCGCAGGGACAGACCCAGGAGATGGACCTTCTTTTCTAAGGACCGAAGCTGTAATTAAACATTCCTTATGGGCTCTGCAGGCTCCAATGATAAAGGGTGTCCTAGGACTCTCAGGGAGAAAATATCTCAGGACTCCTGAAGGCTTTGCCAGCTCCATAGCTCCAGGGAAAAGACTCTCAAAGGAAGTCGAACTAGATTTTTTTTTCCTTTTTTTTGTTTGAGTCAGGGTCTTTCTCTGTCACGCAGTTCGAGTGCAGTGCAGTGGTGTGATCACAGCTCACTGTAGCTTTGAACTCCTGGACTCAAGGGATCCTCCCCAGTTAGCCTCCCGGAGGAGCTGGAACTACAGGCACATGCCACCACACCCAGCTAAGTTTTTTGGTTTAGATTTTGTGTTTTGTTTTGCATGGAGAGACACAGTCTCACTATGTTGCCCAGGCTGGTCTTGAACTCCTGGCCTCAAGTGATCCTCACACTTCAGCCTCTCAAAATACTAGTATTAGAGGCATAAGCCACTGCACCGAGCCCCAAACCAGGCCTTTAAGCATTAAAGCAAACATATACAGAGTGTGTCTTCACTCTCCTGTGCGCTTTGTGTCCTTGCAAATGGAGAAGGACTTAGATCTGCAGACCACACAGACACTGTGCAGACCCAGAGTCAGGGTGCCGTCTTTGCAAGCTGTCACCCCAGATGGGGTCCCATCTGCTAGCTAGGGGTCTGCCCACACAGGGCCTCTCATGGAGACCAAAACCCAGGCCCAGCATGGGGTTGGATGAGCAGAGCCACACAAATGTAATGACACACTTGCGGAGCCACATTAACCAGGTGGGGAAGAGGCAGATTCACCCCGAGGCCCAGCCAGGAGGGCAGAGCAGGGGAAGAGAGCGTGTCAGCGGGAAAGACCCCCAACCCCCAGCATTAGTACATTGCCTCTGAAATTCTGCCTTTGCTCCCCTATGTGGGCCATGCCCAGGCAGAGGGTAACAGCCAGCCTAATCGTCAACCTATGAGACCAGGCCACTCAGTCCCACTCTGGATGAGTAAACCAAACTGACCCACCAAGAAACCCCCAAATATTGTACCAAGCTGTATTGGCAAAAGGGGTCAACGTCTACATAATAAAATCATCTCTGTGCTTCATTACAGAGATCTCAGAATTATTTCTCTGTTGAATACCCTGTGGGGAGGTGAGGCATCGTGTCCACCACCTTGATTAGAGCCCCTAAACCTGTTAATGTGTCCCAAGTTAGAGAATCATGCCAGCACCACCCCAAGGAGGCAGATCCCAGGCCTGAGCTCAGAGAGCTGACAGAGATAGGGAGGGCCACATAGCTCATACACCCTCTAGGCCAGGAGTCCACACCTCCCAGGACAGGCCACACCACAAAGGGTGCTACCAGAGTATTTGGGATTTGCCTAATTACCTTTTCCTCATCAAGCTAACTAGAATTGAAAAAGCTCACACGTTTGGAAATTAGGCAAGGTTTGGAGGCTCTTCCAAGCCCAATCTCTATACTCTGGTGGATCAACACTCTACAAACCTTACAGTAGGGAGTAGGCTGTGTACAGCTTGAGGTTTCCGCCTACATGGCCTGCCCCTGTTGAACTGGGATTTTTGCTTGTTTGCCTGCAGCTTGTTAGAAAAGTTACTTGCTCTCATTCGTAATTTTTTTCACATATTTCAACATGTTCTGGGGCATGCTCAGAAGCCTCTGAACTTTTGAAGTTAACAATGACATTTTAAATCATCCTCATATAATTGGCTGATTTCAGGGGGGATATTCAGAAGTCTTTACAAAAGGCTTTATTTTTTGAACCCTTCCACCCTAAAATTAGTGAAAATTATTTTCTGCATTTCAACAAAATACAACCTATCTTTGGCCAGTAAAATTGTTTTCAAATTCAATTGATGCTTGTATTTCTGCCAATCTTGATCATTATTGTTTCATTATGCCTCTAGCTAATACTTTGTTCAACTAAAAACAAGTGATAAAATGAGAAAATGTGAGTTTGTGCCTGCATCAAACACACTCACACACACACAAACTCATATTCAGATTCACATACACTCACACTCAGACACTAACACACACTCATGTACATACACTCACAGGTGTGCACACGCTCTCGCACATGTCCACATACACAAGTTCACCCAAACATACACAATCCTTAGGGAAAGGCTGTTTTAAATGGAATAAGAAATGTATCTCAGATCATCAGAAATCTCTTCTATTGCCTTACTGAGAAATAGGATTTCCTCCAAAAATTCCACCCAACTCTTTAAAAGGAGATGGCATGCTTATACAACAGGGGAAGTTTTTATTTTCTTAAATCTCTAGTTTGAAATATTTACCTAGACATCCTTCTCTTTCTCTCCCACACTTTCTGTAAACCCCTGGCCTTTGAATACCTTACCAGGTTTGACTCTATCAAATATCTGGTTTCTTTTTCTTATACCAGGTCTTCAAACTCAGAAAGTAACTGCATAATTCATACATCTATGTAGCAAAAATGATCATCTCTGAATCGAGTAGAGTTATTTGAAATTGCATTGGAGAACAATACTAAATGAAGGCATGGCAGCACAGTGGAGAAGGGCATGCACCTCAGGGCTAGGAAATCTTCAAATGAACAGGTCCTTATGCTGTCATTGCCCATTGAAGTGACATTTTCAAAAACGGCTTCCTGGGTCTGATTCCTCATCTGTAAAATCCTCATAATGTAACTGCTGTAGGGATTAAATATTATAAACTACATGAAATGCCTAGTGTAAAGACTGACACCTAGTAAGTGTTTAATGAATGATCGGTCTTGCTTTTATGTGGCTGGCTGCTAGAGGGCCACAGCAGCATTCCATCCTGATCCTGATTCCAAAGCCATAAGCTCCAGCTTGGTCTCCAGGGACTCATGACTTCTATGTCCACCCCAGCTCCCAGCCACTGAGGCACCTGGTCCCATCATTACATGTTTAAACACTTGGCAGCCCAGCTTCCCAGGGATCATAGCCCATGAATAGGGTTTTCTCCATTGTTAAAATATCCATAGTGCACCTATCTGGAAGAATTGGGATTAGAGGTGAAAGAGGCCGGGCGCAGTGGCTCATGCCTGTAATCCCTGCACTTTGGGAGGCCGAGGCGGGCGGATCATGAGGTCAGGAGATCGAGACCATCCTGGCTAACAAAGTGGAAACCCTGTCTCTACCAAAAAAATAGAAAAAATTAGCCGGGTGTTGTGGCAGGCGCCTGTAGTCTCAGCTACTCAGCTACTCCTGAGGCGGGAGAATGGTGTGGACCCAGGAGGTGGAGCTTGCAGTGAGCCGAGATCTCGCCACTGCACTCCAGCTTGGGCGACAGAGGGAGGCTCCGTCTCAAAAAAAAAAAAAAAAAGTAAGACCTGGTCCCTGACTTTGAAGAGGAAAAACAGACATAAAATCAATTTTCTTAAAAGCAGAATAAGCTCCATTATAGAGGTCAATAATAGAGCACAAGAAAATCATAGTAAAAGGTAATGAAAAATCTGGAGGCATCAGGCAAGACTTAGAGAAACGGTGACCTTTCAACTTTGATTTGAAGCTCTAAGAATGTCATTGAGAGCTTACACAAAATGGCAGAAAACAGTGTAATATCTTCAAGACATAATTCAGTATGGCCAATCCAATCAACAATGTGCAAAAGATAGACAGAGAGGTACCAAGGGGAACCTTCCGGGATACCAAAATAAGTCTGTAATCTATGTTATAAGTAAAAAAAAAAAAAAAAAAAAAAATTGTATCAATACCTTTCTATTTGAAGTGACAACTGGTGTCTTAAACAATTATACTACAAAATAAATCTTCAAAAATCTATGCTTAACTGGGCATGGTGGCACGCACCTGTAGTCCCAGCTACTGGGGACGCTGAGGCAGGAGAATCGCTTGAACCTGGGAGGCAGCAGTTGCAAGTGAGCTGAGATCACACCACTGCACTCCAGCCTGGGCAACAGAGTGAGACTCAGTCTCAAAAAAATAAATAAATAAATAAAAATCTATGCTTAATCTTACAAGAAAGAAAAAATCAAAAAGGGAAAAACATTTGCAACCTATATAAAAATGATTAATATCCTTAAAATATGAAGTTTCTTAAAGAAGAAAAGAGAATAAGAATCCTACAGAAAAAAATGGGCTAGAGGTATGAACAGACAGGCCACAAAAAAAGAACTGCAAATAACTTTTGAATATAATGAAAGATGCTCAACTAACTATTTTCATAATAGAAATGCCAATTCCAAGTATACTGAGTTACCATTTCTCACGTATCAAATTGTCAGAAAATCCAAATGACTGATGACCTATAACATGGGCAAGACAAGGGGAAGCTTCCTCATCTATAGCTAGTGAGAATACAAAGTGACACAGATCCTATGGAGGAGGATATAACTAAATCACTACTTCATTTACCCTTTGAATTCAGCAGTGTCACTTCTAAGAATATACTGGCAAAAATCTGGAAAGACATCCACAGGATTACTCATAGTAGTGCTGTTTTACAAAAGGAAAACGCTAAAAATGACCAAAATGTTTATCAATAGGGGACTATTAAACAAATGATCATACAATCACTTAATGGAGTATCATACTTAAATAACTAAGATGTCTGCTTCAAGATAGAATGTTCAACTACAAGACATCGCTCTCACCAAAGCAATGAGAAAAGAAGATAAGCTGATAAACTTCTAAAATATCGTATTTTACTTAGACCCATCAGAGATCTGCATATGCACAGAAGTCTAAATTTACTAAATTCCAGAAGGCTTATAAGCCCTTTCCAGGTAAGAAAAAGCCAATGGCCATTTTCCTTTCTGAGGGCAATTGCAGAATATAAGATGAGCAACTTTGCTGGGGTAAGGAGATTTACTGGCTTGGCATGTTGGGTTGGAATCTGGAGGACTCCCAGACATGAAGCTAGCTCACCTATCCTGCCTGTTCTCCCAGTTGAGAGGATGGAAGTGAGACCACAAAGAGGAGAGTGACAGAGACATCACTGTTTTCAAATATTTAGATCCAAATCTTCCACTACCGAGAAGAACCTGGTGTGTCACCCTGAAGATGTTTCAAACCAGAATGAGCTACGAATAAACTGCAAACCAGCCATGGCCTGGCTCAATTTCTTTTCATAATTGTAGGAAAGTGATTAGCTCCTCACTCTAGCTGCTTGACAAAGGAAAAGGTATGTCCTCTCTACTGTTCTTCATATTCAAAGTCAACTATACAATCAAAAATCATAAGACATGCAAAGAAACAAGAAAATGAGACCCATAATAAAGAGAAAAAGCAGGCCAGGCACAGTGGCTCACGCCCGTAATCCCAGCACTTTGGGAGGCTGAGGCAGCCATATCACCTGAAGTAAGGAGTTCAAGACCAGCCTGGCCAACATGATGAGATCCCGTTTCTGCTACAAAATACAAAAATTAGCTGGGCGTGGTGCCGGGCGCCTGTAATCCCAGCTACTCGGGAGGCTGAAGCAGGAGAATCACTTGAACCTGGGAGGCAGAGGTTGCAGTGAGCCGAGATTGCGCCACTGCATTACAGCCTGGGCCACAAAGGAGGTTCTGTCTCAAAAAAAAAAAAAAAAAAAAAAGAGAGAGAGAAAGCAGGTAGTAGAGGCACACTGAAAGATGACACAGATTCTGAAATTAACAGACAAAGACTTTGAAATAACTGTGATACATATACTAAAATACTAAAGAAAAATATGAAAAAGTATTTAAAAAGAGATAATTTAAGCAAAAAAATGAAAAACTATTTTTAAAAAATCCTAACAGAAATTTTAGAATGAAAAAAATAAGTAAAATTAAGAATACATTCAGTTGGTTTAAAAAAAGGGCTGAATAAGACAATAAGAAACAAATTAGTGAACTCGAAAATACCTTAATAGAAAGTATTCACATTGAAGTACAAAAAATATGGACAAGATAGAAAAGAGATATTCTAGCATATCAGAGAGATATAGACAATATCAAAGTCTAATAAGGATGAAATTAAATTTTCAGAAGGGGAGAGAGATAATGAAGCAAAATAATTGAAGATAATAAATGAGAATTTTCCAATGCTGTTTAAAGTCATCAACCCAACAATTCAAAAAGCTCAACAAATTCAGTGAAAGATAAACACACACACACAAATCTATACCAAAGTATGCCCTAGTCAAACTTTCTAAAACCAAGAATAAAGAGAAAATGGTAAAAGTACACACAGAAAGGAAACAAATTGTATTCAGGGTAACAACAATAAGAAAGGCAAGTAACTTTTCCTTAGAAACAAGGAATGCCAGAATTAAGACAATTATTTTTTAGTGTGGAAAAAACAACATTTATAACCCTAAGTTTTACAGTAAGCAAAAATATTCTTTAAAAATAAAGATGAAATAATATCATTCTCAGAAAATAAAGGAAGCGGAGAGGATCATCATCAGCAGGTCTACACCAAAGGAAATACTAAAGGAAGATCTTCAGGCTGAAGGGAAATGAGCCAAGATGAAAGCACGGATCTGCAGGGAGGAATGAGGAACACCAGAGTGAATCAGTGAGTTTAGATATAATAAAGATAAAATTCAAAACATGTAAGACTATTGATTCTGTAAAGAAAAAATAAGAACATTGTATTCTGTATTGCATAACATACACACAATGTAAGAACACTGTATGTTTTATAACATACACGCAATATATAAGAATATTGTATTGTGTGTTTTATAACATATTATTACAACAATAGCACAAAGATTAGAGGTCATAGTAAGTCAAATTATAAAATTATGATGGTCTAATATTCTTATGTTGTTTGAGAAATGGTATATTATTAAATAATGGTATGCTGAGAAAAGTTTAAAGTGTAATTGTAATCTCTAAACACTAAAAACAATACAAAAACGTATAGTTAAATATCAATAGCAATCATAAAGTGGAATATTGAAAGATAATAAACCCAAAAGAAGGCAGAATAAGAGAAACAGGACAAAGATTCAACAGGACAAATAGAAAATAAATGGCAAGATGGTAGACTTAAACCCAATTAAATGAATAATTATATTAGATTTACATTAACTAAATACTCCAATTAATCTGACAAAGATTATCAGACTAGGTTTAAAAATAAAAATAAAGACAAGACCCAACTATATTTATAAAAAACAAACTTTAAACATAAACACACCATTAGGTTAACATTTAAATGATGAAATATACATACCAAGTAGTTAATGCCACCTCAAGTAGATGACAAGAAAAGTACCCAGGGCAGAAACTTCCATGAGGTTGCAGTCCAACTGCAACCCAGTGGAGCTTCAGTCAGTTTAAGGCTTGGTTGGCCTGGAGGACCCACTTCCAAGTTGGTTTAGTGACATAGCTGTTGCCAAGAGGCCTCAGTTTCTCACCATGTGGGTCGCTCCATTAAGCTACATTAAAGATATTAAAATTTCTATTAAGTTATTTATATTAAAGATACAAATTATATAAATATAGACATTTCATTTTTAAAAAAGAATCAATTTATCAAGAAGACAATGTTCAATGCATAGATGCTTAATACAGACATTAAAAATACATGAAGCAAAATCCAATAGAAATAAAGGATGAAATAAACAAATCCACAGTTGTAACTGGAAATTATAATATTATTCTCTTAATAGTTAATTGATTGATATTCCTTCCTTCAAGATGTGTAGCCCAATTCCCCTCCCCTAGAGTATGGGCTGGACCTGCTTTTAATGAATAGAGTAATGGAATTGAAAAATTGTGACTTTGGAGACTAGGTCACAAAAAGTCACTATGGCTTCTATCTTGCTTGCTCTCTCTGTCTCAAATGACTTACTGTGGGGAAGACATCAGCATATCACGAGTGGCTTCATGGAGTGGCCCACGTGGTAAATAACTAAGTCCTCTTGTCAATAGCCATATGACTAAGCCATCTTGGAAGTGGGTCCTCTGGACCCAACCAAGCCTTAAGCTGACTGCAGCCCCATTGGATTGCAGTTGGACTACAACCTCATGATACCCTGAACCAACACCACCCAGAGAAGCTTCTCCTAGATTCCTGAAACTCCTAAACTATGTGAAATAATAAATATTTGTTCTTTTAAGTCACTGACTTTGAGAGTAATTCATTAGGCAGCAGTAGATAACGAAGACACTGTAAACTAACATAACCAGCAGACGTGTTCAGAACACTACATTCAACAACTGTTGAAGGCACATTCTTTACACATGCATATGGAACATTCACCAAGAGAGACCACTTCCTGGGCTCCAAAACAAGCCTCTATAAATTACAAAGTCATGAAATCAACAGAGTATTTTATCTTACCAAATGGCATTAAATTAGAAATCAATAACATAATGATAACAAGAAAGTTTATGAATGTTTGGAAATTAAGTAGCACAGTTCTAAATAATCCTTGGTTCAATGACAAAAATCACAAGGGAAATAAGAAAACATTTAGAACTGAATTATAATGAAAGCACACTATATCAAAATAGGAACCAACTAAAGCAGTGCTTAGAGTGAAATTTATAGCTTGAAGTGTTTAAATTGGAAAGAAAAAAAGCTTAAATCAATGATCTAAGTTTATACCTTAAAAAGTTCGAGAAAAAGGCAAGTTAAACCTAAAGTTAGGACGAAGAGAAAAATAATTAAAAGTAGAAATCAAAGAAATAGAAATTAAATAGGAGTAGAAAGAATCAATCAAAACAACTTCTGATCAGGAAAAGATGGAACAGACTATTTTTCCCTGCTCCTCTCCATGAGATACTACTATACCTCTGGAAGTAATGCAAGAGCCAACCAAAGGAGAACTTTAAAAAGTAGTAAGAGGAAGGAGAACTGGTTTGCACTCCCCAGACTAAAAGAACAGCACAGTGACAGGATATCTCATGATTCCCACCAATAGAAGGTGACCCATAGTTGGCACTTTCCAACCCCTAACCTACCATTAGAGCATCTAAGGTAAGATCTTCCCCTGGATCTAACAGAAGTCTCTTCACAACACAAGGGAGTCAGGTAGCATCAGCAAAAAAGATTGCTTGGAAGCCCTCTAATAATGAGGGGCCAGGTGATATGCGCTTCTCTGCCTGGCCCATACTCTTCTCTTCATGAAGAGACACTGGGAGAGTATTCATGAGGCCTCTTCTTACCTACACTGAGAGAAACTGGGGCATGAGACCACTGGCAATTGGAATACCACTGCAACTAGAAACCCAGTCCTAGAGGCCTTTTTGTTTCATCTTGTCTGAGACTCTCCTTTCTCATGGGCCATAAATATATATACCTAGAACTTAAATTGTTGTGTCAGTTTTCTGTCATTTATTGTGTCAACTTTAGTAATTTTTGTCAATCAAGAATTTTATTCTTTTCATCTAAGTAGTTGAATTTATTGCAAAAAATGCTACATAATATTGTCATAACTTTTTTAAGGTCTGTAAGATCTGTAATAATGTCCCCTTGTTAGTTCCTGAGCTTTGTTGGGTTTTTTTGTTTTGTTTTGTTTTTCCAAAAAACTGAGTTTTGGTAACACTGATTGAAGTAACTGAAAATTTTATGGACATAATTGTAGCTTCACATACGCTTGTAAAAAATAATACACAGAGACCCCATGTACCTTTTGGCCGACTCCCCCCAGTGGTAACATTTTGAAATTTATAGTACAATATTATAAAACCAATATATTATGACATAGATCCAACAATTGAATTCAGGTAATTTCTGCCAGTTTTACTTCTAAAACGTGTGTGTGTGTGTGTGTGTGTGTGTGTGTGTGTGTGTGTGTGTGTATTTCATTCTAGAAAATTAAATCCCAAGTGTGGATTCATGTATCCATCACTACAGTCAAAACACAGGACAATTCCATCACCACAAGAGCCCCTCCTGATGCCCTTTTATAACCACACCTACCTTGCTCCTGTCTTCCCCTCCTTTGTCCCTAACCCTGGATCACTGATCTGCTCTCCATTTCTAAAATTGTTATTTCAAAAATGTAATATAAATGGAATCATACTGCATGTCAACTTTTGGAGGCTCTGGGTCCATTTACATCTTCTATTTCAGTATCCAGTCACCTCTTTAGATGTATCATACAGGTGCTAGCTTAGTTTTGTGGGCTTTGGTTTGAATGAGAATTTTACTTTCCAATTCTTGTAGTTTTATTTCTGTTTCCTTGGTGTTGTACTACCGGGGCTACTGCTATCCCTGCTGATTGAGGGGATGGATGGGGCTCTCCTGTGGGCCATGGGGAAAGAGAGTCTCAGGCCAGTTGGGACGAGGAAGCCACCAGGACTGTGCTGCTAATAGTAGTGGTGTCCCACTTGCCAGTGGTCACCTGCCCTAGTGTCTCTCAGAAAGGTTGTTACTTAAGAGCTTTTTTTCACAAGGGTATTCTGACTAATAAATTAAGAAAATAGAATTGAAATATCACCACTTTTCAGGTTGGTATAAATTACTGGTTCTATGCAATGTTCATAAATGCCTACTAATATCACAAAAAGGAGACAGCATTTTTGTGGCTGTCTGAATAGCTCTGTCAGCCCTTTGTGGCTGTCTGAATAGTAATGATAGCTCTATTACTAGGTATCTATTGGAAAAACACAAAGCGTGATAAAAGATTTATGTATAAAGAAATTGTAAAACTATTCTTATAATTAATTTGAGAGCAACATAAATGTCAAACTATAAGAAAATAATAAAATAAATTTTGGTATATCAGAAATACCATTTTATGCCTCCTAATAGAAATACTACCACCTACAAAGAGTTCTTTCTAAAAAACAATGAAATACCTCTGAGCACATCTACCCATTTAGAAAAATTATAAGAGATGGAGAAACATGTTAACATCTTAGAGGTACAATTGGCTAACTCCAGACTTTGGGAAAAGGCAAGATAAAGAATCCAGACTCTTCAAAAAATACAACTCAATGAAAAAATAGAGAAGGAATATATAGATTAATTGAGGTCCAAGAAAAAGGAAATGACATGTCTGCACAAAGGTTTGTACAAGAATGTTTATATAAAAGTAACTGTGTGAGATGAGAGATACGTTAATCTGCCTATCGTAACCATTTTACTACCTATATGTATCCTATAACATCATATTGCAAATCTCAAATATGCACAATAAAAATTTCATTTTTAAAAAAAGAATGTTCATATAAGTTGTATTTATGATGGCCATTAATAGCTTAGAATAGGCAAAAACTATAATAATTAAAATCAGAATAGAGGTTTTGTCTAGGATGTTGGGGGTGAGCGTTGATTGGAAAGAGGCATAGGAGAAATTTCTAGGGTGAAGAAAATATTCCATCTTGACAGGTGGTGGGTTACAGTTAGGTAGGTGTACACATTTGTCAGAATCCAGCAAAGTATATATTTAAGATCTCTGCATTTTCCTCTATGCACAGATCTCAAATGCACAGATTTATTATACCTCAATAAAGAGGTACTTTGCAAATTTTTTAAAAAGTCTCGGCAAAGAGCTTTAAAACTGATATGCCTTTTAATAAAGTATTAATAGCTCTATTACTAGGTATCTATTGGAAAAATACAAAATGTGATAAAAGCTTTATGTACAAAGGAGTTGTAAAAATATTCTTATAATTAATTTGAGAGCAACATAAATGTCAAACAATAAGGAGGCAATAAAATAAATTTCAGTATATCAGAAAAATGGAATTAGCCATAAAAGATAAGTTCAAGAAATAACATCTAACGATGAGGAACAAGATTTAATTTACAAATATAAAATTAAGTACGTAAAGTTACATCTTGTAAACCTTATTTCAAATTGGAAGTCTCCAATGACAAGAAAAGGGATATGAAAATTGTATGGATGGGGTGATCTCAATTATAAGGAAGAAAAATTCATAAAGACTAAAGTATTTCAACATGTAAATAGGCAGGGGATCTGAGGGGTGGCATTCTGCAATGCAATCCTGTCACTAACTAAGGTGGCTCAAATTCCACAGGTTAAGGGCACAGTTAGCACAAGACTGCCCTCACTTTAGATGCCAGCCACAAGCTTGGGGTTCCCAGGCAACCCTAACCAACTGGTTACAAATCCAGAGGCTTCCACCATCCACTGAGTTTCAATAATTCAGAAAACAACTCACAGAACTCAAGAAAGTCATATACTTATGATTATAGTTTTATTACAGAAAAAAGTATGTAAATAAGAACCAGCCAAAAAAAGAGACCTGTAGGATGACACTTGGGAAGGTCCCAAATGTGAAGCTTCCATGTCCTCAGGACAAGGCACCCTCTGTGCACACTGATGTGTACCATCAACCAGAAAAGCCTACCCCAGCTTCAGTGTCCAGAGTTTTTATTGTGATTTCATTAGCAAGACATGATTGAATCACTGCCCATGTGATTGACTCAGTCTCCAGCTTTCCTCCCCAGATGTTGGGATGATGTGATGTGGCTCAAAGCACCAACCATCTAATCACTTTGTTGGTCTTTCTGACCTGACCTGAAGATACAGAGGGGGCCTACCATGGGTTACTCTAGTAGTCTAAACTCAGGTGTTATCCCAGGGGCCTCCGATGAATAATAGACATTCTTGGGGAGAAGCCAAGATGGCCGAATAGGAACAGCTCTGGTCTACAGCTCCCAGCGTGAGCGACGCAGAGGACGGGTGATTTCTGCATTTCCATCTGAGGTACTGGGTTCATCTCACTACGGAGTGCCAGACAGTGGGCGCAGGTCAGTGGGTGCGCACACCGTGCGCCAGCCGAAGCAGGGTGAGGCATTGCCTCACTCGGGAAGCGCAAGGGGTCAGGGAGTTCCTAGTCAAAGAAACGGGTGACAGACGGCACCTGGAAAATCGGGTCACTCCCACCTGAACACTGCGCTTTTCCGACGGGCTTAAAAAACGGCGCACCAGGAGATTATATCCCGCACATGGCTTGGAGGGTCCTACACCCACAGAGTCTCGCTGATTGCTAGCACAGCAGTCTGAGATCAAATGGCAAGGTGGCAGCGAGGCTGGGGGAGGGGCGCCTGCCATTGCCCAGGCTTGCTTAGGTAAACAAAGCAGCCAGGAAGCTCGAACTGGGTGGAGCCCACCACAGCTCAAGGAGGCCTGCCTGCCTCTGTAGGCTCCACCTCTGGGGGCAGGGCACAGACAAACAAAAAGACAGCAGTAACCTCTGCAGACTTAAATGTCCCTGTCTGACAGCTTTGAAGAGAGCAGTGGTTCTCCCAGCACGCAGCTGGAGATCTGAGAACAGGCAGACTGCCTCCTCAAGTGGGTCACTGACCCCTGACCCCCGAGCAGCCTAACTGGGAGGCACCCCCCAGCAGGGGCAGACTGACACCTCACACGGCCGGGTACTCCAACAGACCTGCAGCTGAGGGACCTGTCTGTTAGAAGGAAAACTAACAAACAGAAAGGACATCCACACCAAAAACCCATCTGTACATCACCATCATCAAAGACCAAAAGTAGATAAAACCACAAAGATGGGGAAAAAACAGAGCAGAAAAACTGGAAACTCTAAAAAGCAGAGTGCCTCTCCTCCTCCAAAGGAACGCAGTTCCTCACCAGCAACGGAACAAAGCTGGACGGAGAATGACTTTGACGAGCTGAGAGAAGAAGGCTTCAGACGATCAAATTACTCTGAGCTATGGGAGGAGGTTCAAACCAAAGGCAAAGAAGTTGGAGACTTTGAAAAAAATTTAGAAGAATGTATAACTAGAATAACCAATACAGAGAAGTGCTTAAAGGAGCTGATGGAGCTGAAAACCAAGGCTCGAGAACTACGTGAAGAATGCAGAAGCCTCAGGAGTCGATGCGATCAACTGGAAGAAAGGGTATCAGCGATGGAAGATGAAATGAATGAAATGAAGTGAGAAGGGAAGTTTAGAGAAAAAAGAATAAAAAGAAACGAGCAAAGCCTCCAAGAAATATGGGACTATGTGAAAAGACCAAATCTACTTCTGATTGGTGTACCTGAAAGTGACGGGGAGAATGGAACCAAGTTGGAAAACACTCTGCAGGATATTATCCAGGAGAACTTCCCCAATCTAGCAAGGCAGGCCAACATTCAGATTCAGGAAATACAGAGAACGCCACAAAGATGCTCCTCGAGAAGAGCAACTCCAAGACACATAATTGTCAGATTCACCAAAGTTGAAATGAAGGAAACAATGTTAAGGGCAGCCAGAGAGAAAGGTCGGGTTACCCTCAAAGGGAAGCCCATCAGACTAACAGCAGATCTCTCGGCAGAAACTCTACAAGCCAGAAGAGAGTGGGGGCCAATATTCAACATTCTTAAAGAAAGGAATTTTCAGCCCAGAATTTCATATCCAGCCAAACTAAGCTTCATAAGTGAAGGAGAAATAAAATACTTTACAGACAAGCAAATGCTGAGAGATTTTGTCACCACCAGGCCTGCCCTAAAAGAGCTCCTGAAGGAAGCACTAAACATGGAAAGGAACAACCGGTACCAGCTGCTGCAAAATCATGCCAAAATGTAAAGACCATCAAGACTAGGAAGAAACTGCATCAACTAATGAGCAAAATAACCAGCTAACATCATAATGACAGGATCAAATTCACACATAACAATATTAACTTTAAATGTCAATGGACTAAATGCTCCAATTAAAAGACATAGATGGCAAATTGGATAAAGAGTCAAGACCCATCAGTGTGCTGTATTCAGGAAACCCATCTCACGTGCAGAGACACACATAGGCTCAAAATAAAAGGATGGAGGAAGATCTACCAAGCAAATGGAAAAGAAAAAAAGGCAGGGGTTGCAATCCTAGTCTCTGATAAAACAGACTTTAAACCAACAAAGATCAAAAGAGACAAAGAAGGCCATTACATAATGCTAAAGGGATCAATTCAACAAGAAGAGCTAACTATCCTAAATATATATGCACCCAATACAGGGGCACCCAGATTCATAAAGCAAGTCCTGAGTGACCTACAAAGAGACTTAGACTCCCACACATTAATAATGGGAGATTTTAACACCCCACTGTCAACATTAGACAGATCAACGAGACAGAAAGTCAACAAGGATACCCAGGAATTGAACTCAGCTCTGCACCAAGTGGACCTAATAGACATCTACAGAACTCTCCACCCCAAATCAAAAGAATATACATTTTTTTCAGCACCACACCACACCTATTCCAAAATTGACCACATACTTGGAAGTAGGGCTCTCCTCAGCAAATGTAAAAGAACAGAAATTATAACAAGCTATCTCTCAGACCACAGTGCAATCAAACTAGAATTCAGGATTAAGAATCTCACTCAAAACCGCTCAACTACATGGAAACTGAACAACCTGCTCCTGAATGACTACTGGGTACATAACAAAATGAAGGCAGAAATAAAGATGTTCTTTGAAACCAACGAGAACAAAGACACAACATACCAGAATCTCTGGGATGCATTCAAAGCAGTGTGTAGAGGGAAATTTATAGCACTAAATGCCCACAAGAGAAAGCAGGAAAGATCCAAATTTGACACCCTAACATCACAATCAAAGGAACTAGAAAAGCAAGAGCAAACACATTCAAAAGCTAGCAGAAGGCAAGAAATAACTAAAATCAGAGCAGAACTGAAGGAAATAGAGACACAAAAAACCCTTCAACAATTTAATGAATCCAGGAGCTGGTTTTTTGAAAGGATCAACAAAATTCATAGACCGCTAGCAAGACTGATAAAGAAAAAAAGAGAGAAGAATCAAATAGACGCAATAAAAAATGATAAAGGGGATATCCCCACCGATCCCACAGAAATACAAACTACCATCAGAGACTACTACAAACACCTCTACGCAAATAAACTAGAAAATCTAGAAGAAATGGATAAATTTCTGGACACATACACTCTCCCAAGACTAAACCAGGAAGAAGTTGAATCTCTGAATAGACCAATAACAGGCTCTGAAATTGTGGCAATAATCAACAGCTTACCAACCAAAAAGAGTTCAGGACCAGATGGATTCACAGCCGAATTCTACCAGCGGTCCAAGGAGGAAATGGTACCATTCCTTCTGAAACTATTCCAATCAATAGAAAAAGAGGTAAATACTCCCTAACTCATTTTATGAGGACAGCATCATCCTGATTCCAAAGCCGGGCAGAGACACAACAAAAAAAGAGAATTTTAGACCAATATCCTTGATGAACATTGATGCAAAAATCCTCAATCAAATACTGGCAAACCGTATCCAGCAGCACATCAAAAAGCTTATCCACCATGATCAAGTGGGCTTCATCCCTGGGATGCAAGGCTGGTTCAACATACGCAAATCAATAAATGTAATCCAGCATATAAACAGAACCAAAGACAAAAACCACATGATTATCTCAATAGATGCAGAAAAGGCCTTTGACAAAATTCAACAACCCTTCATGCTAAAAACTCTCAATAAATTAGGTATTGATGGGACGTATTTCAAAATAATAAGAGCTATCTATGACAAACTCACAGCCAATATCATACTGAATGGGCAAAAACTGGAAGCATTCCCTTTGAAAACTGGCACAAGACAGGGATGCCATCTCTCACCACTCCTATTCAACATAGTGTTGGAAGTTCCGGCCAGGGCAATTAGGCAGGGGAAGGAAATAAAGGGTATTCAATTAGGAAAAGAGAAAGTCAAATTGTCCCTGTTTGCAGATGACATGATTGTATATCTAGAAAACCCCACTGTCTCAGCCCAAAATCTCCTTAAGCTGATAAGCGACTTCAGCAAAGTCTCAGGATACAAAATCAATGTACAAAAATCACAAGCATTCTTATACACCAACAACAGACAGAGAGCCAAATCATGAGTGAATTCCCATTCACAATTGCTTCAAAGAGAATAAAATACCTAGGAATCCAACTTACAAGGGATGTGAAGGACCTCTTCAAGGAGAACTACAAACCACTGCTCAACGAAATAAAAGAGGATACAAACAAATGGAAGAACATTCCATGCTCATGGGTAGGAAGAATCAGTATCGCGAAAATGGCCATACTGCCCAAGGTAATTTACAGATTCAATGCCATCCCTATCAAGCTACCAATGACTTTCTTCACAGAATTGGAAAAAACTACTTTAAAGTTCATATGGAACCAAAAAAGAGCCCGCATCGCCAAGTCAATCCTAAGCCAAAAGAACAAAGCTGGAGGCATCACACTACCTGACTTCAAACTATACTACAAGGCTACAGTAACTGAAACAGCATGGTACTGGTACCAAAACAGAGATATAGATCAATGGAACAGAACAGAGCCCTCAGAAATAACGCCGCATATCTACAACTATCTGATCTTTGACAAACCTGAGAAAAACAAGCAATGGGGAAAGGATTCCCTATTGAATAAATGGTGCTGGGAAAACTGGCTAGCCATATGTAGAAAGCTGAAACTGGATCCCTTCCTTACACCTTATACAAAAATCAATTCAAGATGGATTAAAGACTTAAACGTTAGACCTAAAACCATAAAAACCCCAGAAGAAAACCAAGGCATTACCATTCAGGACATAGGCATGGGCAAGGACTTCATGTCTAAAACACCAAAAGCAATGGCAACAAAAGCCAAAATTGACAAATGGGATCTAATTAAACTAAAGAGCTTCTGCACGGCAAAAGAAACTACCATCAGAGTGAACAGGCAACCTACAAAATGGGAGAAAATTGTTGCAACCTACTCATCTGACAAAGGGCTAATATCCAGAATCTACAATGAACTCAAACAAATTTACAAGAAAAAACAAACAACCCCATCAAAAAGTGGGTGAAGGACATGAACAGACACTTCTCAAAAGAAGACAAAAAACACATGAAAAAATGCTCACCATCACTGGCCATCAGAGAAATGCAAATCAAAACCACAATGAGATACCATCTCACACCAGTTAGAATGGCAATCATTAAAAAGGAAACAACAGGTGCCGGAGAGGATGTGGAGAAATAGGAACACTTTTACACTGTTGGTGGGACTGTAAACTAGTTCAACCATTGTGGAAGTCAGTGTGGCGATTCCTCAGGGATCTAGAACTAGAAATACCATTTGACCCAGCCATCCCATTACTAGGTATATACCCAAAGGACTATAAATCATGCTGCTATAAAGACACATGCACACGTATGTTTATTGCGGCATTATTCACAATAGCAAAGACTTGGAACCAACCCAAATGTCCAACAATGATAGACTGGATTAAGAAAATGTGGCACACATACACCATGGAATACTATGCAGCCATAAAAAATGATGAGTTCATGTCCTTTGTAGGGACATGGATGAAACTGGAAATCATTCTCAGTAAACTATCACAAGAACAAAAAACCAAACACCGCATATTCTCACTCATAGGTGGGAATTGAACAATGAGAACACATGGACACAGGAAGGGGAACATCACACTCTGGGGACTGTTGTGGGGTGGGGGGAGGGGGGAGGGATAGCATTGGGAGAGATACCTAATGCTAGATGACGAGTTAGTGGGTGCAGCGCACCAGCATGGCACATGTATACATATGTAACTAACCTGCACATTGTGCACATGTACCCTAAAACTTGAAGTATAATTTAAAAAAAAAAATTTAAAAAAAGAAAAAAAAATAGAATTTCTGAATCTCTGAAAACACGGTAATGCCAAGCTTTAGCCTTTATATTTGGAAGTAACCAACTATAACTTAGGATGAAAAGAAGAAAAGCATTGAATGCTTTGCTCAGACCATAAATTCCATATCCATTTTCCCTAGCATTTGGGATAATTAAGTTCATTGTACTAGTGGTTTTTTTTTTCCCTTAGGGATTCTACCTGGAATATACTAATATTTTCAAGCACTCATAGAAAATGGTGTAAATAAAATTGTTACACATGGAAATACACATTTATAATTTTGATATATTTTGCCAAATTGCTCTCTAAAAGGGTTAATTCCACTTACGTTCCAACAAAATATTTGTTTTCCCACATCCTTCCCCATATTAAATGTTAACCTGTTCAATTTGTCAATCAGACACAAGGAAAATTATATCCTTATTATTTAATTTGCATTTTCTGAATTATGAAGATATTAAATATACTCATGTCAACAGGCTATTATCTTTCATTTCAGTATCTGGATGTGAGTGGTTTTTGCCTATTTGTTGCTTATTGACTTGTAAGAGATCTTTGTATATTAAAGAAATTTAGCCCTTTAAAAAAAAAAATAGACATTCTTACCACTTGGAAGATTCCAAAGTTTTAGGGGCTGCCTCCCATGAACTAAGGACAAAGACCAGATAGATTCTTTACTAAACAACAAAGTCTAAGATAATATTTTCTGATTTACATTATTTCTGACTTTCTACATTGTTTTATATAAGCATGGATTACTTGATCAGAAAAAACGACTAATGAAATAAAGAATAAAGAGAGAGAAAAAATTTCTAAAAGTCACCTAAAACAAAGTCCTTGGAAAATATAGTAAATCTAGGAGGTAAGTTTCATTCTCCCACCTTCATACAAAAAAAGAAGTTATATATTAATTATGAATCCTATGAGGAAAATGTGCAAACTGAAATGTTAAGACTGGAAGCCAAAAAATTCCAAAACTCAAAAGAATTTTTATTAGGAACAGTGAAAATGGGACCAGGTTTATTAAGAACTCTTGGAACTTTTCGAAACTTCACCACACTGAAGAAGCAGTATGGACCCAAAGGATACGAATGAAGATCTGAGACTCCAATGCACCCCCAAACTGGAGGGTAGAGGAGAAAATGAAAATTACATCTCAGATGGCTTTGACGGCCATTGCAGTGGAATCTGTGGGTAGTGATGAAAAGGCTCAGGTCTATGGGACTTTGTCTCCCAGGACAGTTTCCCAGGACTGCAAGAGTTCTTCATTTATGCAAACAGCAGGAGAAGGCAACAGGCAAGGTGGGGAGTTAGCTCCTCTCCAAAGAGAAAAAGGAATATGCTTCTCCACCCTCCACCAGGAATGGGACTCAGCCATGTCAAGACTGGTACTAAAAAAAAAAAATGAGATTTGCCAAACCCAGAGGAGAAAAGACACAGACAGAGAAGCAAATTTCCTTTCCAAAAATTAATCAAAGCTTTAGTTCCCTCCCTCCCCTCACTAAACTGGCATCAAGACTTGAACCTTAGGATCCACAATGGTATTCGAAGAGAATGATGAGGAAACCTATAAAGTCATTATTCACTGTTCATGTAAAAAACACCACACCTAACTAGAAGTCTACACATTTAAGAGCAAGCAAACAGAAAAATACATTGTTAGTGATAACACTTTGCAGCATATAAATGATGGGAAATGAATAAATGTTGAAAATGACGTGGTGCAAAAAACATAAAGCAATCATGAATTAACTTTGTACCAGCAAAACTGAAAATAACACCTATTTTATGAAATGAACCAAAGTGAAAAGGCAAAAGAAAAGAAACTGAGATTGCTTAAATAATTTGATATATTAATATATTACAAAAAAGAAATAGATAGATCACATCATCTGGCTCTTGCAATTCAATTTAAAGGATCAAAAATATGAGGCTTATTCCACAGAAAAAATAAAGTAATCTTAATTATTCTATATAACATTAGCCAGAAACTACTACAATCAATGCATGTTTTTCATTTTATACAGGACACTTGGCTGGTTGGTAAAAAATAAGGTAACATGAAGTTTTCAGATGAACAAAAACTGAAATAAGTTATTTATTAGAATAGAATACTAAATACAATAGAATAGAACACTAAAAAATGTAAAAAAGTATGTACTTCAGGCAGAAGGAGCATTATCACAGATGAAAAATTGAAGATGCAGAAAGGGATCAAAAGAATTGTGAGACTATATTGAAATGAACACTGTATTAAAACAAGAACACTAACATTTTTAGGATGTAGATTATACAGGTGAAATTAAAATATATGACAACGAGAGCATAGAAATCAGGAAAGGGACAAATAGAACTGAAATGTCTGAGTGTGCTTTTGCTTCACAGGACTAGAGTACAATTATCAATTAATATTTGAATTTTATAAATTAAGAAGGCTTATTGTAATTTCTAGGAAATACTACAGGATGACTAAAAAAAAAAAAAAACACTTCAAAACTACCAGGAAAAAGCATTATAAAATCATAAAATTAATCAACTAGGAAAGCTCCTTCTAGCTAGGATTAGACCTCTACAGCTACAAAAATCACTGATTACAACTAAAATATCTAGTAAACAAAAGTCAACAATTGTGGGGAGAGTCAAAACACGGAAAAGTAGCCTAAAAGGAGGTGTTTTCTAGTTTTGTTTTTTCTCTTTTCTCTTACAACATGGATCCAAAGGCAGTCCTAATCATAGACTGTTCAACATTGGTGGTTAAGAATTCATGGATTCTGTGTGTTAGGCCTGAGAAACCAAGAAAAGGGCTCCTGAGGCTAAACGAGTGTACATGGGAGTCCCCTATTTTCCCCATTATTTTTTCTCCAAGATATCCCCTCAGGGTGTGCCTGGTCCTGGAATATAGCTTAGACAACTGAATGTTCTTTAACTTGCAACTGAGTAAAAAAGCTGTGGTGCATCCAAAGTTAATGTTATTGGCCGATACTCTTTGGCAATAAAAAGGAATGGATTATTATTACACACACACACACCATGAATGAATTTCAAACACATCGTTATAACTGACAGAAACCATGCTCAACTATGATTTGATTTATATGACATTCTGGAAAATTCAAAATTAGAGGAACACAAACACATTGGTTGTTGCCAGAGAGTGGAGATGAGATAACTGAGTGCAAATGGGCAGCGCAGGGGAGAGTTTTGCGATGACGCTGCCTTGTGGTTACATAAGTGCATGCATTCGCCAATCTCATGTAACTGTACACCAAAAAGAGTGAGTGTTACTGTGAGCAAAGAAAAAAATAATCAACCCAAAAAAGAAGGCAAGAAAGAGAAAAGGCATAAAACCAGACAAATAGAAAACACATAATTAGATGGTTGGTTTACCCCGTAATATATTAGTAAGTACAGTAATGGTAAGTAGACTGGATGTTTGAGTGAAATATCAATCACTAGATTTAAATATCAAAATCTAATGCTGTGGTGTGCGAAGGAGACACGCTTAAATTTGCTGGGTACATATTGAAAGCTGTAAGAGTAAATAACTGTGTAGATAGCATACATAACTAACCAAAAGAAAGTTGGGGTAGTTCTATTTAACATCAGAAGAGAATAGATGCAAAGAATTCTAAAGAAGGCCAAAGAATTACTCGAGATGAATACAGTTGTTTTATAATGATAAATGATTTGCTAAACAAGGAAGATACTAAATGTATATGTACTTAATTCACATGGCCTAAAAATATATAACAAAAATTGACAGAACCATGAGAAGAAACTGACAAACTCACAATAAGAGTGGAAGATTATAATACATATCTCGCATTAAGTAACAATAAAACACACAAAAAATACAGATCTTATCTAAAATCTGAGCAACATGATTCATAAACTTGACCTAGGAACAATGCATCCAAAAATTATAGAGTACATTCTGTTGTTAAACTCATGTAAGCTTCTTAAAAAATTAACCATATACAGGACCATTAAGAAGTCCTTTAAATATTTAAAGAACTGAAATCATTCAGGGAAAGTTCTCCAATCACAGTGTAACCATGCTAGAAATACATTTTTAAAATCAGGCATATTTCATGTATTTGAAAATTAAGAAACATGCTTCTAAATATTAGATGGGTCAAAGAAGAAAACGTAAGGGTCACAGAAAATATTTTGAACTAGATTACAAACAAAACACTACATATCAAAACTGAGTAATGAATTTAAAATAATTCTTAGTAGGACATGAATTTTACCATATGTGTGTGTGTATGGTGTGTGTGTATGGTGTGCGTGTGTGAAAAGAACAGCTAAAAATTAACAATCTAAATGTATGTCCCCAAAGATTAAAAAAGAACACTAAAATAAGCTTTAAGAAGCAAATAATAAAAAATGAGTGCAGAAATAACGAAACAGAAAATAAATAATAGAACGATAGAGAGCCAAAAGAAATCAGAAAGTTTATTCTTTGCAAAAACTAATAATAAAACTCAAAACCTCAGGCAAAACTGTTTAACAAGAGAGATGGCATAATCAATAACACAAATGAAAAAGAACACATTTGAGATCCTGTCCCCGTTAAGAAGACAACAAGGAGATATTGTAACCAACTTTTATGTCAATAAATACACAATTTAGTTGAAAAGAGTAATTTCAAGGGAAAATAACCTGCCAAAATTGACAAATGCAGGAAGAGAAAACACATATTCCTAAAACTTTTAAAGAAATCCAATCGGAAATTTAAAATGTTCTAACAAAGAAAACTCCAACTTCAGATGGTTCTACAGTGAATTCCAGAATATTTAAATGATCTAGCCTTACACTAACTCTTCTACAGTAAAAGAAAGAGAAGATATACTCCCTAACTCATTTTACCAGGCTAGAAAAACCTGAACAAAACTTTGTAAGACAACATTACAGCCAGTGATCAAAGTTAACATGCCGGTAATGACACTCTGATATAATATGTGAAGAGAAGTTCGCTTCTATGACATTTCCCTCTAAAATCTGTAAGCCCAGTCTAATTATGAGAAAATAACAGACAAGCCCAAATTGACAGCCATTCTTCAAAACACCTGATCATTACACTTTAAAAAATTAAAGTCATTAAAAAAGGAAAAACCATAAAACTATCACAGATTGGACGAGAATAAAGAAACATGATGGCCAAATGCAACAAGGTATACTAGATTGGGATCCCAGAACAGAAAAAATATCTTAGAGGAAAAAAATGCAGAAATCTGAATAAAGTCTGCAGTTAGTTAATGGCATTGTACCAATGTTAATCTCTTAACCTTTCTTTTTCTTTTTTTTTTTTTTTGAGATGAAGTCTTGCTCTGTCACCCAGGCTGGAGTGCAGTGGCGTGATCTCAGCTCATTGCAACCTCTCTCCCCTGGGTTGAAGCGATTCTCCTGTCTCAGCCTTTCAAGTAGCTGGGATTACAGGTGCGCATCACCATGCCCAGCTAATTTTTGTATTTTTAGTAGAGATGGGGTTTCACCATGTTGGCCAGGCTGGTCTCGAACTCCTGACCTCAGATGATCCACCTGCCTTGGCCTCCCAAAGTGCTGGGATTACAGGCATGAGCCACCACGCCTGGCCAATTTCTTAATCTTAATGTACCATGGTCATGTCAGATGAATGAGAGGAAGCTGAGTGAACGGTTATGTGAGAATTCTCTGTATATCTTTATAACTCTTCTAGAAATCTAACATTTCAAAATAAACATTTTTTAAAGAGTGAAGAGTAGTACAAGAAAGAAAAGTATGTAAACCCAAAAATCACACACTAAATAATTAGCAAACTTAATGTAGTAATATTCAAAGAAAGAGGAGGAAAAGGAGAAGGATGAGAAGCAGCAGGAGCAAGAAAACGAAAAGGGGAAGAAGAATAAAGACCAGGTTTGATCATGATCAGGAACACAGATTGGTTAAACATTAGGAGCAAAATCAATGTCATTCACAACATTAATAAACCAATGGTGAGTTCATTTGGTCATCTTTGTAGGTGCAGAGAAAAGTATGTGATACATTTCAACAGTCATGCTTTTCTTTAACTTAGCAAAATAGTAATAGATAATAATTTTATTAACCAGATAAAGGGTATCTACAGCCACAGAAAAAAATAAAATCTATAGCAAATATCAGACTTCAGAAAGAAATACTGAAAGCGTCCATTCAGGAACAAGATCTGTCCACGGTTAAGAGAGACGGCTTCTGGCAGAGACAGAAACCAAACCTCCATCCAACCCAGGGTTCTGACCGCAGTGCGCTCCAGTTCCACCTCCCTGCCCCAGTCCACTTGCCTTCAACTCCTTGCTTTTTACCTATGCCTTGTAAAACAATAAAAATGTAGCCTCGTGGTGTAATTAAAAATAAACAATTCAAGTGTTTGTTGGTTTGGGGTCATGTATAGGACGGAATGGCAACAGGAGGGGGTAAGAATATAAGCATAATTAAAATTAGGTTTAAATTCATTTTCATGAACTCCCACATCAGGAAGTAAAATTTTACATACGATTGTGTCAGGAATTGGTTCTTTCCGGTGGGTTCTTGGTCCGGCTGACTTCAAGCATGAAGCCACAGACCCTCGCGGTGAGTGTTACAGTTCTTAAAGATAGTGTGTCTGGAGTTTGTTCCTTCCAATGTTTAGATGTGTCTGGAATTTCTTCCTTCCGGTGGGTTTGTGGTCTTGCTGACTTCAGGAGTGAAGCTGCAGACTTTCGCAGTGAGTGTTACAGCTCTTAAACGTGGTGCTTCCGGAGTTGTTTCCTCCTTCCGGTGGGTTCGTGGTCTTGCTGACTTCAGGAGTGAAGCCACAGACCTTCGCAGTGAGCGTTACAGCTCATAAAGCTAGTGCGGACCCAAAGAGTGAGCAGCAGCAAGATTCATTGTGAACAGCGAAAGAACAAAGCTTCCACACCATGGAAGGGGACCTGAGCAGGTTGCTGCTGCTGGCCCGGGTGGCCAGCTTTTATTCCCTTATTTGGCCCCACCCACATCCTGCTGATTGGTCCATTTTACAGAGCGCTGATTGGTCTGTTTTACAGAGTGCTGATTGGTCTGTTTTTACAGAGTGCTGATTAGCGCATTTACAAACCTTTAGCTAGACACAGAGTGCTGATTGGCGCATTTTTACAAGTGCTGATTGGTGCATTTACAATCCTTTAGCTAGACACAGAGTGCTGATTGGTGTGTTTACAATCCTTTAGCTAGACAGAAAAGTTCTCCAAGTCACCACCTGACCCAGAATCCCAGCCGGCTTCACCTCTCACAATCATATGACCTTTCTGCTAAAAAAAATATAGTCATCTTATTTATTGCAGTAACCCTCTCAGAGCATACTAAGAAAACTTTGATCCCATAAATAGCAAAACCCACTGCCAATGAATGGGGGCAACCATGCTCTAATAAATCTTTGTTTACAAAAACGGGTAGCTGGATGTGGCCCCTGAGCAGCAGTTTGCTGACTCCTACTCTGAAGGGGATCGGTCCCCCCAGAGGGTGCTGCTGCCTCTCCACTGTAATTTGTTTTGCCCCGGCTCCTGCACCCCCTCGACCTGCAGAGGACGCAGGTGCGCTCCTGTTTCTCGCTGACAATTGCTCCTGGCTGAACCGTTCGTCTGTTAGTGGAGTCCCTCACCCATTACTGCTCGTTGCTGCTGCTCTGCCCTCCCACAGGGCCTCTCCCCTTCTTTCCTGGGTGAGTCTAGCTCCAGTGCCTCTGCCATTTTCTCCAAAACTCTGGCTACCTTAATTCTTGTCTACAAGTCTGTCCTATCCGACCTCCTTTTCTTCTTGACCTTCTTTTCTCCCAGGACCTTGTCCTGCACCCACCTCGGCCTTCCACTCCCAGACTTCCATGAGCAGTAACTCCAGCCCTGCCCTGACAGGGTCTCATCATGGACCCCACTCTCTGATTACCATGCCCTGGCTTTCCAGATCATTCTTTCAGCCCCATCAGCATATATGACACATTCATCTTACCACAGTCTGTTGCCCTAGACTTTTTGGTATCTTCTCTTTTCTCTGAGTGGAGCTTAAATTTCCTTTGCTTTCTGACATTTCCATTGCCAGAAGGAGCAGCCGCGAGGTTCTTGGGTTCCAAAAGGTGTAGTATGAAGAGGAAGCACGAGAAGCCTGAGTACTTACACCCGGGGCGCCTGGTCAGAGCATCACACCCAGGGCCTGTTGCACCTGAGAACTAGCCCAGGTTTCAGAAGAGAAAGTCCTGCTTTCTGACGTCCACAGGGCACAGGGGATCTGAAATCCCTCTCCTCCCGGCACCCCGCCCCCTGCTGCTCTCAGGCTGCAGGTGCATCCAGTGCCTGGGCGGGTCTCGGGAGCAATCCTGTACCCCAGCCTTCTCACCGCTTCCCGCCCTCCCAGCATCTGCTCTGGCCTGGCAGCTGTTCTGAACTTTCCCTTCCTCTATTTAAACACCTTTCACTCCCCTAGCATTCTGTGCAGACAACAACAGCAACATTGTCCACTCATTCTTTTTCCTCTGAACTGAGAACTGAGTGGTGCCTCCACTCAAAGAAATAAGCCCACCCGAGCTGACCGAGCTGACGGAGCCGGCCTCGGTGATGCACCGGTCGGCTGCTCTGTGGTTGGCAATGGCGAAACTGCTCCTCTTCCTTCCTGGAAAAGACCAAGCTTGAGATGAAAATGATTTATTTAGGCCCATGCCTGTCTTCCAGGTGATTACGAATTGTTCTACCGTGTGAGGATTTGCCGAGACACTTGGGGGCTCGCTTGGCAAGTGGACTTCTCTCACCTCTCAGTTACCCAGCCCTTTACCCACGCATGCATGTCTGGCGACATTGACTGGGCAGCAAGACAGCACAGTGAACTGTGTCTCCCGAATGATGCAGGGCAGTGTTCCTCCTACTGAACCTACAGCACAGACTTTTGTAGGGTGGGGCATCCAGAATCAATCCCGAGCTGGGTGCTGGCACTCTGGATTTTTAGGAACTCTTAGGTTTATTCTCAGTGAAGCTTCCTCTCACCCCAAGTCTTTTGCATCTTCAACTTTCACAAAAGACCTTTGAATTAATCAGACACTTCCCTTCCTCTGGTAGCCAGCAACCAGGTTTGAGATCCAGAAGGCACTTCCTGTTGTGTGCAAGTTTTACAAATATTCACCACACACAGCTCCCAATACACATACCACACAACACAACACACACCAAAAACACACACACATCTCACACATACAACACATATACAACACACAAAACACGGCACACAAACCACACACAGCTCACAACACACACCTCACACCCAACACAACAAAACACACATACTACAACACACACACACCACAACATACAACATACACCACAACACACACATTCTACGCATCCCATCCACACAACACCCATAGATCACCACAGCACACACAGCTCATAACCACATACCATACACACACAGTACACACAAAACACACACACCACCTTCCTCTGTGCTTCCTGCTTGCTAATAACCTTTCTTGCTTGCTTGCTCCTCACCATAAAATACTGAAGGTGGTAGAGACCCAAGAGTCTGCTGACTGCACCCATTCATTACACAACAAAGAAACCAGAGCATTTTAAGAGGGAATGACTTGTCCAGGGCCGCGCACCAGTTGCTAGGGGACCAGACATGAATCGGGCCCTCAGATCCTGGGGAGAACACAGAGGTTGGAGGCCATGTGGGCAGTGGGGGACATCACAAGGCTCCCAGCTTTTGTGGGACACTTGGCAGGTCTGCACCAAGTGCCACCGAGGCTGGGGACTGATTCTCTGAGCTGCCCTGGCAGGTTTGTCCAGAGGGGCTTGTCGTGGTTCAGCCTGATGCTGGGCTTTGGCTGACATGAGTAAGCTCGTCTTAAAAGCTCCCCTTAAAAGAGGAATCAAGATCATGTTGCACAATAGCCGGAGGCAAACGCCCTGCTGCTGTTTAGCAGATGCACGCCTGGGACTAAGAAAACAGCACAGCCCCATTCAGGGGATGGCAGTGCCTGCTGTTAACCACTCACCCTGGTTAGACAATCCCAGAGGGCTGGCCATGAGAGGGACTGATGTCACCCATTATTTGGTCCCTCAGCCTCAGGAGCATCCCAAGAACCTGTGGACCAGAGTGGTGTTGAGGGTCCCACTCTGGCTTCAGAGAGACGTGGGTCACATCTGGTTTTGCCTGTGACTCTGTGTGCAACCTTAGACCCTCCACACAACCCTGCAGCACTCCTGTCTCTCATCTGTGAAATCATGAACTTCTAGGAGGTCTGGGAAGATGCAGTGAGCAGTTCAAGTTCAATGGGAGCTTCATGTGCTGGGACGAGGACTAAGTGCTTGACATGGAGCCCTTCAGTTCATTGCTTAGTTTTGTTTTTTAATGTTTCCAAAAAAAGTTTAAAAAAAAAAAAGTAGCACAACAAGTGCCTGTGTGACCAGAACCCAGCCTGCAATTCATCAAACCTTCTGCCATGATGTCATTGTTTCATTACAATGTGTGGCACACCAGTTATATTCCTGGATGCCCTACATGACCCATTCCTCTCCTACCCTCCACAAAGGTGACCACCTTCCCAAAATTACTTTGCAGCTTTGACATGCATGTTCCCCTTCTTTGAAGACTTTGCATCTCTCCGTAACAACATAGACTATTGTTTTCCACCCCTACTGTCTTTGATATAATGAACATATTCAATAACTTGCTTTTCTTGCTTATTTGATGTTTCTCAAATGTACCCATTGTGATACCTATGCTGGTTCATTCCTCTTGTTTATGGCACAGTCTGCCAGTGTCTGAAGAGAGCTCTCTGCTTACTAAGGGATGCATGCTCTTGCAGACCATGCTGTACTGTGCATTCACTTGTGTGTCTCCTTACGTGTCTGCACTGGAACTTCCCTCGTGCATTCACTTGTGTGTCTCCTTACGTGTCTGCACTGGAACTTCCCTCAGTGTAGACTGAGTAGTGGGGTGGGTAGATCACAGCAGCTTGGGAATCTGCATCTTCACTAGGTTTTGCCTACTTGTTTTTATCAGTGTACTTGGGTCAGCCCAGGTCATTACTCCTTCACCTGCAATGTGGCACCACACACAATGCCATGAAGGCACAGCAGAAAGAGAAATCAACCAGAAGGCAGGAAACACAGGTCCATGGAGACATGGAGACGCAGAGTGGGAAGGCACTTTGGAGGAGGTTTAGAGTGACACTCCCAGCCTTTTACACTTTAAATTATAAATAGGAAATGCTAATATTTGTGAGAACACAAGAATAAACAAACAAGGATGACTGCAGCTGAAGGCAACTGGTCTCAGAGCTCTGGTCCCCTGACAGCCTGCACAAATAGACCAAGGGTGAATATACGAAAACACACTACATTGTACTGAATTGTACACTATAAAAGGATAAATTTTATAGTTTGTGAATTACATCTCAATTAAACAAACTGTAAAAATCTAGGCACACAAAATGAATCAACAGATAAGCTAAATTTCATATACATATATTTTAATTTGTAATTGAAAACCATCTCGGCCAGGCGCGGTGGCTCACGCCTGTAATCTCAACACTTTGGGAGGCCGAGGCAGGTGGATCACCTGAGGTCAGGAATTCAAGACCAGCCTGGCCAACATGGCGAAACCCCATCTCTAATAAAAATATAGAAATTAGCCGGGTGTGGTGACACACACCTGTAGTCCCAGCTACTCGGAAGGCTGAGGCAGGAGAATAGTTTGAACCTGGGAGGTGGAGGCTGCAGTAAGCCAAGATCACGCCACTGTACTCCTGGGTGACAGAGCAAGACTCTGTCTCTCAAAAAAGAGAAAGAAAGAAAACATCTCCATGTGATGATCAAGACATGGGTGGTCACTGGTTTCCAAGACCAGTGTCAGAAAAGAAAAAATGAGCTTAGTTCCAGGGAAGGGCTGCACAAGCTGCTTTGCACTTGAAGTACAAGTACAAATGGTGTGCCTTTAACTCACAGAGGGCCAATCTTGCCCACATCCCTTTATAAAATTCAATGACCAGTGTAGTAGCAACAGCCACCTATGCTTCAATGCAGCCAGCACTGTACTTCCACACGTGCAAGGGGGCTGTGAGCATGAAAAGAATGGTCTGGTTCCAGGTAAGATGGAGCAAGAACACTCCACCCTGTCTTTCCCATGGAATGCAGCAATAAAACTAGCATGAAATGCATGGAGCAGATATTTGAGGACTCTAATAAGGAAACAGTAGCAAGCAAATTGGGAAGGAAGACCAGAATTCTAAATCCTAAGCTACGTAAGTGGTAAATTTCCCATTTTTCCTCTGGTAGATCTCCTGACCCAGAGCTGAGGCACCTCCAAATCTAGAATTGGGCCCTGGAGCTCAGAGAAATTTCTAGGATAAATCCTCTGGTTCTAGCTTGAGAAACAAGAAAGAAGCTAATCCCTCAGAGACAGTAGAGGAAGTCCCCCACTTTTTCTTTTTGTTGTCTCATATCCCTGTCTTCAGATAACCCCATAGTAACAAGAGTCAGTGATAATTGCAGGGGCAGGTACCTAAAACCCTGAGTTTTTTCCCATCAGTCACCTGTTGCTTGCCTAGACATGGGCACAATTGTGGGACGTATACAGTAGTAATACCCTTCCACCCAGAGTGAAGAAAGCCACAGCTTTCCAGTTAGAAGACAAAAAATAGGGAGCTCAGGAAACTGGAGAGCTTGTGAGACATCATGAAGAAGGAGGACACTGAGAAGTCAACCCCATAAAGTCGTTTATGAGCTCCTGAGCTCACACTGAAGTTGCACTGGCCACTTAGTGATGCATATGCAGGACAAATCCCAACAGTACTGCAAAGGCTTGGAAAATGGAAAGGGCATTAAAACCATAGCTTAAATGATGCTGGCCAGACCTGGCCTAAGCTCAACTGAGTAAATGGCCTGCTAGAATAAAAATAAGAACTTTTTAAAAAATTTAAATGAGACCCAGAGTCTCCTAACAAAATATTTAAAATGTCCAGGAGAGAATCCAAAATTATTTACAATACCAAAAATCAACTCAAGTGGGAAACAGTCAACAGACACCAATGTAGAGATGACAGAGGTATTAGAATAATAAGAGAAAGGCTTTCTGTAGCTATTATGAAAGTGCTCTGAAAAGTATGGAATAACAATCATGAAACAAATACAAAAATATAAAGTCTCACAGTGGGAGAAAATCTTCACAATCTTTACATACGGCAAAGTTCTAATATGCAGAATCTACAACAAACTCAAACAAATCAGCAAGAAAAGAACAAATAATCCCATCAAAAAGTGGGCTAAGGCCATGAATAGACAATTCTCAACAGAAGATATACAAATGGCCAACAAACATGAAAAAATTCTCAACATCACTAACGATCAGGGAAATGAAAATCAAAACCAAAATGCAATACCACCTTACTCCTGCAAGAATGGCCATAATCAAAAAATCAAAAACAGTAGATGTTGGCGTGGATGTGGTGATCAGGAAACACTTTCCACACTGCTGGTGGGAACGTAAACTACTACAGCTACTATGGAAAACAGTGTGGAGATTCCTTAAAGAACTAAAAGTAGAACTACCATTTGATCCAGCAATCCCACTACTAGATATCTACTCATAGGAAAAGAAGTCATTATATGAAAAAGAAACTTGCACACACATGTTTATAGCAGCACAGTTCACAATTACAAAATCATGGAACCAACCCAAATGCCCATCAATCAACAAGCAGGTAAAGAAACTGTGGTGTGTATATATATATATATATACACACGATGGAATACTACTCAGCCATAAAAAGGAATGAATTAGTGGCATTTGCAGCAACCTGGGTGAGATTGGAGACTATTATTCTAAGTGAAGTAACTCAGGAATGGAAAAACAAACATCATATGTTCTCACTGATATGTGAGAGCTAAGCTATGAGGATGCAAAAGCATAAGAATGATACAATGGACTTTGGGGACTTAAGGGGAAGGGTAGGAAGAGGGCGAGGAATAAAAGACTACAAATAGGGTATAGTGTACACCGCTCAGGTGATGGATGAACCAAAATCTCACAAATCACATGATAGAACTTACTTGTATAATCAAACACCACCTGTACCCCAATAACCTATGGAAAAAATTTAAAAACTTTTTGCACGAAAAGCAATAGAAATTATAAAGAAGGACCAAATAAAAAGTTTAGAACTTCAAAATACAATAACCAGAGTAAAAATTTCTCTAGATGTGCTTAGTAGCAGAATGGAGATGAATGAGTGTGGGTGGCAAGCCACCCAGGTGAGGAAAGAGTCAGTGAACCGGATGATAAATAAATATTATTTAATCAGAAAAAAGAGGGAAAAGATAAAGAAAACGTTGACAGAGACTCAGAGACCTGTAGGTGATACAAAAGTCTAACATTCTCCAGATGAAGAGAAGGAATGTGGATTAGAAAAAAAAACTTGAAGAAATATTGCCCAGAAATGTCTCAAATTTAATCAAAGACATAGACTTGCATAATAAAGTAGCCTAACAAGCCCCAAAGAAAAAAAATAAAGAAAATAATAGTCAACTGAGAGTTGTGTTTCTAGGAAAAATATCATTCAGAAATAAAGGTGAAATTAATACATTCTCAAGTGAAGAAAAACAGAGGATCTTGTCAGCACATCTACTTTAAACAATTACTAAAGGAAGTCATTCAAACAGAATGGAAGTGTTATCAGAGGGAAACCTGGAATAATCCTAAGTAAATAATGATAAATAAATGAAGCTCAACAGAAATAGTACACATCTAGGTAAATATAACAGACTATTCACACCTTGAGTTCTTTAAAATAAATGTAATACTCAAAAGCAAAAACATCATCTGATGGGGTTTTTTATGCATATGGATATAATCCATAAAACAACTACAACATAAAAAGGGGAGGGTAATGGAACCTATAAGATGAAAATATTGTAAATTCCTCTTTAAGTGGTAAAGTATTGATTCTAACTAGACTACCAAAGGTTAAGTACATCTTTTGCAATTAAAAAAAACACTAAGAAGAAATTATGCAAAAAGATAAAGTCAAAAATAAATCAGAAAATTAAAATGTTATATTTAAACAAAAGGCTCAAATAACCCTGCAGAAGGTTGTAGAAAGAAAGCAGACACACACACACACACACACACACACACACACACACACACACACACAGGACAGGACAGAAAGACTGATCTAAACATGCAATGAAAATAGCAATAAGATTTTTTTAAAATCTAAAAAGCCTCTAGCAAGACTGACAAACAAAAGAGAGAGAACATACAAATTGCCAGTGACAAAAATAGAATAGGAGATATCACCACAGACCTTGCAGATAGTAAAAGAATAATAAGTGAATACTACAACAACTCTACGCACATATATTCAATAACTTAAAAAAATAGATCAGTACTTTGAAACCACAAAATACTAAAACTCACCCAAGATTAAATAGAAAGCCCATACTAACTCATTATTTATACATGAAATTAATAGTTTAAAACCTTTCAAAAAAAGAAATCTCCAAGTTTCATGAGTGAATTCTAAAGAGAAGAAAATTATACAAATTATACATATTGTTTTCTAGAAAATAAGAGAATACATCCCATTTTATTCTACGAGGCCAGGATGGGCTTTATAACAAACTAAAAAATTATACAATTTATATATATAGTAAAACATTACACTGTACCCCATAAATATGTAATTGTTTTATTTGTATTACAAATAAAATAAAACCAAAAAAGAAAAACATAGACCAATATCCCTCATGAGTATAACAACAAAAATCCTAAACAAATTCTTAGCAAATCAAAAATAGCAATATGTATTTTTTAAGTTCCACCATGATCAAGGGGTTTAATCCTAGGAAAGTAAGGCTGATTCAATATTCTAAAATAAATTAATGTCATTTATTATATTAAGACTTGAAATAAAAAATATTATCATATTAATTGATACAAGAAAAAAATTGACAAAATTCAACATCCAAACATGATAAAACTTCTCATCAAATTAGAAACAGTAGAGGACATCCTCAATTTAATAAAATCATCAATAAAAATTCTACAGCTAGCATCATACTTTATAGTGTAAGAATGAATGCTTTATCACTAAGATCAGGAACAAGGCAAGGCTGTCCTTTCTCACAGCTTCTATTAAACACTGTATTAGAAGTTCTAGCCACTGCAATAAAGCAAGGAAAATAAATGAGTCAGAATGATTAGAAAGGAAGAAATAAAAGTGTTTACATTTGCAGATGGTATGACTCTCCATGTAGAGTATCTCAAAGAATCTACAAAAAACATAGAATAAATAGATAAGTGTAGCAAGGGCATAGGATACAATGTCAACACAAAGAAAACTCCATCATATTTCTGTATACCAGAATGAGCAATTGAATTTTTAACTAAAAAAAATCATTCCAAATAGCTCCAAAACATAAAATATTTAGGTATGAATGTAATGAAATACCTATAAAATTTTTATGCTAAAAATGATAAACTCTAAGGAAGTAAACTTTAAAATATCTAAATATATAAAGATACACACCATGTTCATGGATTGGAAGACTGATAAAGATGTTACTTCTCTCCACATCTATATAAAGACTTTACCCAATTCCAATTAAAATCTCAACAGAAAACTTGTAGATTAAAATTTATATGAAAAGGCTAAAAACAACTAAAATAATTTTTAAAACAAAGAATAAACTTAGAGGAATCACACTATCCAATTTTAAAACTTACTATATAGTAATCTTGATTACTGTAGTAATTGAGACAGTGAGATCTTTATAAAAGGACATATAAATAAATCAATGGAACAGAATAGAGTCCAGAAATAAACTCACACAAATACAACAATTTTATTATTGATGAAAGTCTCAAAAGAAGTTGAATGGGGAATGATAGTTTTTCAATAAATTATGTTGGAACAAATAGACATCTATACGCAAAAAACAACCCTGACAAAAACTTTGTACCTTATAAAAGTTAACTCAAAATGGATCCTAGGTCTAAATATAAAATGTAAAACCATAAAACTATTAGAAGAAAATATAGGAGGCAAATTCTATGATCTGAACTTAGAGATAACACCAAAAGCATGATCCATAAAAGAAAATAATGTTAAATTATATCAAATTCAAAAGTTTTGCTGCTTAAAAGACACTGTTAAGAGCCTGAAAAGACAAGCTACAGACTGAAAGTATTTGCAAATCACAGATGTGACAAAGAATTTGTATGCAGAATATATAACTAACTCTCAAATAAAAGAGTAAAGGGGAAAATGTTCAATTAGAATCAGTTAAAATGCATGAACAGACACTTCACCAAAGAGAATATACAAATGGCAAATAAGTACATAAAAAGTTGTTAAAATTCATTACCATTACAGTAATGAAAACTGAAACTGCAGTGAGATGCCACTACATACTTACCAGAATGGCTAAAAAACAAACAAAAAATTTGACAATTCTAAGTGCTGAGGAAAATACAGAGCAACTAAAACTCCCATATATTCCTGTGAATGCAAATGGCACATATTCTGAGAAATGATTTGGTGGTTTCTTATAAAGCTAAACATACACTCACCATACAACCCAGCAATTGCATTCCTAGATATTTACCTTGGAAAGTGGAACCTTATGTTTGCACACACAAAAAAACCTGTACACAAATGTTTATAGTAGCTTTTCCATAATTACTGAACACTGAAAATAACCCAAATGTTCTTCAATGGGTGAATAGATCAACAAACTATGCTATTTTTATAAAACAGAATGCTAGTCAGCCATAAAAAGGAATTAATTACTGATATATGTATCAATGTGATGAATCTCAAAGGCATTATGCTGAATCAAAATAAAAGCCAGTCTCAAAGGTAATATATGATTCTATTTTCATGATGGTATGATTCCATTTTCATGACATTTTAAGGCCATCATGAAACTATGGTGAGACAGAACAGATCACTAGTTAATAAGACTTAGGGGAGAGGTAGGGATGTGATTGAAATGGGTCAGCATAAGAGACGTTTTGGGGGTGATGGAACTATTTTGTATCTTGATTATGGTGATAATTACCATGTGCACTAATTTCTTAGGGCTGTCATAACATAACAAATTACCACAAACTGGGTGACTTAAAAGAACAGAAATTTATTCTCTCACAGTTCTGGAGGATATAGGGCTGAAATCCAGGTGATGGCAGGGCTGTGCTTCTTTTGAAGGTTCTAGGGAAGAATCCATCCTTTACTCTTCCGGGCTTTGGGGGATTGTTGGAAGTCTTTGGCTTTCCTCAGCTTGTAGCTGCAACATCCCAACTTCTGCCTCCGTCTTCAAATGGGCTTCTTCCTTCTGTGTGTCTGTGTGTCTCCAAACTCTTTTTTCCCTGTAAGGAGACTAGTCATTGAATTTAAGACCTACTATAATCTAGTATCACTTCATCTTAACTAATTACATCTCCAAAGATCCTAGTCCAAATAAGGTCACATTCAACGTATCTTTTGGGGTACCATTCAATGCACTATGGTCTACCCTTGGAAGTCCCCAAAAATTGACATGTGTCTTACATGTGCAATATATTCACCGCACCCCAACAACCCTAGAACCTACTATGACATCAACTCTTAAAGTCTCATTTAAGTATCATCACTTCAAAATTCCCAAATCTCATCATCTAATTGTCTAAGTAGCCCAGATGGGTGATATTCTGGGTATGATCCAACCTGGGGCAAAACTCATCTCCATCTGTGGACTTTCTAAACTCGAAAACATGTTATCTGCTTCCAAAACACAATAGTGGGACAGGCATAGCATAGGGAGTCCCATTCCGAAAGGGAGAAATTGGAAGGAATAAAAGATTTATGTGTTCCAAGAAAATTCAGAACCTAGCAAGAAACATTACATTAGGTTTCGAGACATAGCGACACTCCTCTGTTGCTTAAGCTTCACCCTCTGGGTCTGCAGAGGCAAAATCAAAACAAAACAAAAGCAAGCACAAAAATCAAAATTTCCTACAAAGAAAACTTTGGTCCAAAATGGCTTCACTGGTGAATTCTACCAACCATGTAAAGGAAAAAATAAGAATTCTGCATATCTCTTCAAGAAAAAGACATTACAAGAAAATTACAGATCAATGTCATTCATGAACACCAATGCAAATTTTTTTAGAATTTTTTTAAGTCTTAAAAACTAAGTTCAGCAATATATTTTTTAAAAGAATAGAATGATACATCCTGATCCAAGTGTGTGTAGTCACTCTATCTCAGGAATATAGGAAGGTTTAACATTCAAAAAATTAATCTGTGTAATTCACCAAATTAATAACCTTAAAAGCAAAATTATATGATCATTTTATCTATTCAGTAAAAGCATCTGACATAGATCAACATCCATTCCTGATCAACAGCTCTATCTGCAAAACAGAAAGAGAAAGTAACTCTCTTATCCTGCTAAATGTCATCTGTGACAAACCTACGGCTAACATCATGCTTGATAGTAAAAGACCAAATGCATTCCCCGCAAGGTCAGAAACAAGACAAGGATGTCATCACTGTTCCTCTGAAACATTATACTAGAAGTCCTAATCAGTGTAATAGGGTAAGAAAATGAAATAAAGGCACCCATATTAGAAAGAAAGAAGTAAAACTGTCTTTATTCACAGACGACAAAACCCACAATAAAACTACAAAAACTAATGAGTGAGTTTTGCATGTTTTCAGGCTACAAGATCAGTATTCTACAATCAACTGTGCTCTTATATACTAGCAATGCAAACTTAGAAGTTTAAATCTTTAAAAAAATAGTATTTACAACAGCACCAAAAATATGAAATACTTAGGAATATGTCTAACAAAAGAAGTATAAGACTTATACACTGAAAACTACAAAACATTGCTGAAAGAAATGAAAGATGTCCTAAATAAATGAACACACATGTCATGCTCATGGGTATGAAGACTCGGTATAGTTAAGAGGTCAATTCTCTCTAAATTCATTTTTAGAATCAATACAATCCCAATCAAAATTTCAGTAGCCTTTTCTGTAGAAATTTAAAAACTGATTCTAAAACCCATACAGAAATTCAAAGACATGAAAGAGCCAAAACAACTTTGAAAAAGAACAAATGTGCAAGAGTAGCACTACCTGATTTTAAGATTTATAATAAAGCTATCATAATGAAAACTGTAACCGTGGCATAAAAACAGATGGCATAATAAATAGATCAGAACAGGGTGGAATGGAATGGAATGGAATGGAATGGAATGGAATAGAATACAATACAATAGAATACAATACAATACAATACAATAGAATACCAAAAGCATGATTCATAAAAGAAAAAAATGACAAATTGCACCATATCAAAATTAAAATCTTCACTTTTCAAAGGCCTCATTAAAAACTGAAATGACCAGCCACAGGAGAAAATATTTGCAATTTACATGTCTAATAAAGAAGGACTTATATCCAAGATGTACAAAGCATTCTCAAAATTCAATAAGAAAACAAATGTCTTAATTTTTTAAGTGGGCAAAAATTTTAACAGACATTTCACCAAAGAAAATATACAGATAAAAAAATTAGCACATGACAGCTGCTCAACATTCTTTGTCATGAGGCCAATAACAAATTAAAACCAAGATGAGATGCCACTACCCATCTAATAGAATGGATAAAATTAATAACACTGTCCATATCAAGTATTGCCAAGAATGTGGGAGAACTGGAACTCTGATATACTGCAGATGAGGATGTAAAATGGTACAATACACTTTGAACATTTTTGAAAACACCAAACACACACACACACACACACACACACATATATAACACATATTTCAAATAAAGCATATATATGTGCTTTTTATTTATAATTTAAAAATCCAGACATTCCACCAGCAGGTATTTACCCAAGAGAATTGAAAGCATACATCCATGCAGAGATTTCCACAAAAATATTCAAGAGATTTCTACCCAAATATTCATAGCAGCTTATTTCTGTTTAATAGCCACAAAAAAATGAAAACAACCCAAATGTCCATTAACAGATGAATGGATAAACACACCGTGATATATCCATCCAATAGAATTCAACTCAACAAAAAGGAACGACCGATTTACACATACAATAGGGATGAATCTCAAAATAATCATGCTGAGTAAAAGAAACCAGGAGAAAAAAAGTAGATGCCATATTATCTCACTTACATAAAATTCTGGAAAATACAAACTAATCTAGTGTGACAGAAAGGAGATCAGCGGCTTCCAGGAGATAAGAATGGAGAAAAGGAGGGCTCAAGATTATGAAAGGTCAAGAAGTTTTTGAGGATGATGGAAAGGTTCATTTGTATGTTAGCGATTTCCTAAATGTATACATATGTCAAAACCTATCAAATCATACACTTCCAATCTGTGTAGTACATTGTATGTTAATTATACATCAATGAAAAAGAAAAATCTATCTCTCTGTCTATCAAATTGGAGAGGCACCATGGAATCTGTGGATTATGATCTAGGAAATCCAGCAAAAAGGGTCTGCCTCCGTCTCTCCATCTCCAGTGAAAGGGATAGATAACAGGACTCTCAGGACTCTTCTAGCTATGATAGGAGAGCTACTGGGAATCTTCTCCTTTCTATCTGGCCTTGCAAAGCTGGAAAAGGAGCTTGAAGTGGCACCAAAGATGCCCTTGGGTAAAGACACAGGATTGACACTGGTGCCGGGGACAAACCAGCTGAATGAAAAGTGCTCCTAAAATCTTTCCTGTCCCCTTTTAAGACTTCACTGGGCAGGGAAAGACCATACTAGACTGTTGGCCAGTTTGAAGACTGTATGTCATGCCCACAGGTAGACTCAATTGTTAGCATGTTGACATTTGAACTAAGGAGACAAGGTATGTGGGCTGTGTGCTAGGACTCATTTGAGAATAAAACCTTTAAGATTGTTCAGGTGGCTATGTGAACACAAGGATGAACTTTTATTTCCCATTCCCCAGGCAACACTGTGTCTAAGAGTTCATCCTTCCATCAGTGCTGTAAGATAGGTACTAGTGCCCTTACCTGGTCCTAGAATTGAGTTGCAGAACTTGCCCAATGTCAGAAAGCTATTGAGAGGAGAACTGAGCAAGCAGTTAAGAATAAACTCTAGTCTACTGTGATTGAAGTCCCCAGTCTCTCTCATTGTTCTGAAGCTTCAACCTTGAAGAAAAGTTGGAAGTTAGACAGAGTCAGGAATTGCCTCTGTTTGAATGACCAGGAGACACAGAGGTAACTCTTATCATGTAAATGACTAACTGTGTAGGCAAGGGTGTGGGTGCCCACATGTAGAAGGTAGCACTATTGTGAGAGAAAGCCATGACAGGAGTATCATTGTCCTGAGCAGAAACCTCCCTTCCATGGGGTGGGCTCCCAATGTCCAGGCCCCTTCTCTGGAGCATCTATCTCCAGATTGTCTGACGACACGGGACAGCACTAACTCTGAGGAGCCCCTGTCTCTGGACCATGGATTTCCACTGCCACAGGTACCACTGTCCCCATCCAGTATATCCAGTTACCTTCTCTTCTCTTCCAAATCTCAGAATTATGCCTTCCACAGGTCACATGCACAATGCCAACACCATCCCCTCTGAGCCCTCCCCTCGTCCCTCCAGGCACACAGAATGACTCTCTGTGGATGCCCATACTTTCTTCTTGCCTGCCTCTCTCAGCTGGACTCTCCCACATTGTTTAAGACTCAATTCAAATGCCACCACCTCTCAGAAGTTTTTTCTGACCACACGGACAGGTTTGCCATCCCTCCAGCAGGGTTATAAATGCACCCGGTGAACCTCTCTGTTTTCTCTGCTGTCACACTGCCTACCACTGTCTGGACTCTGGTGAGTCACTCCAGCCAGCCTGTGAAATCCTGCAGCTGGCACATGGAGGTGCTTAGTAATCATTCTTGGACTAAGTGGATAGATGAACTCTTAATGATGTTATTTGTGAGTAAAAGTCATTTGCAGTGTTGTTAGCCACCGTGATGTTGGCAGTTGATGGTCCCCAATGCATCCCCAAGCCCAGTATATGTAATTCCGGGAGGCTCACCCAGCAGGCGATCTGATGGAGAGAAAATTAGATTTCCTGTCTCCACCAATACGTCCCCTAAAGGGGAAAAAAAACCTGAAGCTTATAGGGTGAGAGCCACTGAGTCCTAGCAACTGGGTCCCCAACACTGCTTGCCTTTAGAAGTTTGGCTCTTTCTGTTCTAAGTCTATTGGTGGTCAGTAAGACTGATAGCCACACCCCAGAGGACACTGAGAAACAGTAGTGCTGTCAGAAGGAGAGAGACCCTAGGGTGGCTTGTCCAGCTGGGGGCTGAGCAGAAGAAAAGCAAAGGAGCCAGTATCACGCAGCGACAAGGTGCCCTTTAGCAGCAGGAGTGGGCTCAAAGAAATGAGTGGTTTAGGTCACCTGGTGAAAATAACGAGGCTGACCAAAGGAAACACTAATTATAATCAGGTCAGCTGGACTCCGTTAGTGAAAAGAGATCTATGCAGCCTCCTGACCTCTATTCGGATGGTTATTCGCTACTTTTGCAATGATTAGCAATTGTATGCCAAGCACCTTCACAGGGGGTAAACATCTTTCTCACTAAATACTAGTTTATGTTAAAAACTACAAACACCAGATGAATTGGAAGTTTAACAGAATTAACGAGCATGTCACAAAATTAAGTTTTATCCAGTCCAAATCCTTCCTGCAACAATTATGTTCCGGGAGGGGCAGGGAGCTTGCAGTTATCAAATAAAACTGGCTAAATAACAAAACACAATTCTCCCCGTGTCACTGCCTCAAATTTACTCTGCTGTTGCAAGATGTCATGATAAAGGTGATGGCAATCTATATAAAACATTGTTATTGGAATAGCCTTTGAAAGTTGAAATGTGACTTAGTCTTTACGTGTGTCCCGTGGTCCCTGAGGCCGGGCTGGACGCCTGGAGCTTTGGCGCCCCCTAGCCATTCGGCACTGAACAAGTTTCTCCAACTGCAATGCGAGGGAAAAAAGAAGAGAACCAAGAATAAAACAAATTTTTTAATCCTTTCCAAAAAGACATTGTTTCTGATCTTCCCCTGTCCACTCTCCAGATGATAAAGCTGAATAAAAAGTGCTACACTAACCAGTGGTCAGTCCAGGCTCTGCTGCAACATTGCACTAACCAGAACTGCAGACCTGGGACCTCAAGAATTGCATTTGATGCCGAACCCAGCTCTAATTTCAGAGTCAAGGTCTCTGCGAGTATTTAAGGAACGGATGTAAACCTGGGGGATTCGTTTTGTTTCCTTCAATTTTCCAATGAAATCAGAGATCCTGTTCTTGGGTGTCAACGCAGATACTAGAAGGAGGTGATACAAGAGAAAGGAAACAGCAAGCGACGATTATGGCACGGTTTCCTGTAAACAAGGTTGAGTGTAGCCACAGCCTGAGCACTGTGGGAGAAGAGCTCATAAGAAAATGACGGTGCTGGGCCTTCGTCACCCCGGGGCACTCCATTGTTCTTGTCTTTGGTCTCTTTTTATTTGTAGAGGTCCAATTATTTATTTATTTAGTACAAGAGGGAACGAAATTGATCTTTCCATTCTAAAAGGAGAGTATATATGTATAAAAGGAAGCTGTATAGATATGGGGGAAGAGGTGGACAGGGGGAAAAGGGGAGAGGACGAGAGAGAGAAAGGGAGGGAGAGGGACAAGGAGAGACACTGGGCGAGAGATCGATTAGGAGAGACAGAAATGATGAATGAAGATTAACTTCACCCAAGGCTTCGTGCTGGAGGGGAATGGAGGAGCTCCTGATTTGCTATTACTACTCCAAACTGCAAAGGGCTCCTTCAAGTCACCTATCCACCTCCTAAGGCAAGCGTCCAATTTCAACAGCGTTCAGGAAAGTCTCCTCCCGCGGAGGTCTCACCGCTTCCCACTCCACCCCCACAAACTCTTTGGAAAAGTGCCTTGAAAAATTTAATCCTCAATCCAATCCTGGACCACCAGCGTCCTCTGTTGGTCACCGAAGGGAGGGGGTGCGCAGACAAAACTGAAGAAACTCGAGTGCCAGAGAAGGCCGACAGGAGTTACAGCGACCTCAGCGCGCAATTGCGCCCCCGAACTTTACTGAAAAGTGTTTAGATTGCAGAGATAAGCTAGAATCCCAACGCATCGAGAATACAGTAATACGAAGTCGCCTTCAAAAAATGACAATGAAAATTGCCTATTAAAGGACTATTTGGTTAATTACGTTTCAGCAGTGCCCAGTTTATTGTCTTTATTATTCTTTTGTCATGGGTGTAAACTCCATTTGAAAACATAATCAGGGAGAATACCCAAGACAAGAAGAACAGTTGTCATTTAAAATATTTGAAAAGCCCTGCCTTAAGGACGCATTCGCTTGCCGGTCCACTCTTAATTGGAGACTTGCGGTGTAGCAACACGTGAGAGTCTTCTTGCGTTGAGAAGTAAGCCTGGAAAGGGGCGAAGGCCCCGGGCGCATCTTCAGATGCGTATTTGTGGGCCCCTGGGGATATAAACAGCCCAGCGGGTGTAAATTAAACCCCGCAGTGCCTTGGCTCCCTGAGACCCAAATGTAAGTCAGAAATGTCCCAAGACTTCGCCTGCCAACGGAATTAAATTTTAGAAAGCTCCACGAGGTACACACGAATGCGGAGCGCTGTATGCCAGTTTCCCCGACACCGGCTCGCCGCAGGGAGACCTCACCCCGAGAGCGGAAGGGGTAAGGGCGGCGGGGTCAAGGAGATCGGGGGTGCTGAGTTGGCCAGGAGTGACTGGGGTGACCGGGGGTGCTGAGGTGGCCTGGAGTGCCGGGGTGGCCGGGCACACCTTGGTTCTTGTAGACGACAAGGTGACCCGGGCTCCGGGCGTGCGCACGAGGAGCAGGTGCCCGGGCGAGTCTCGAGCTGCACGCCCCCGAGCTCGGCCCCGGCTGCTCAGGGCGAAGCACGGGCCCCCGCAGCCGTGCCTGCGCCGACCCGCCCCCCTCCCAACCCCCACTCCTGGGCGCGCCGTTCCGGGGCGTGTCCTGGGCCACCCCGGCTTCTATATAGCGGCCGGCGCGCCCGGGCCGCCCAGATGCGAGCACTGCGGCTGGGCGCTGAGGATCAGCCGCTTCCTGCCTGGATTCCACAGCTTCGCGCCGTGTACTGTCGCCCCATCCCTGCGCGCCCAGCCTGCCAAGCAGCGTGCCCCGGTTGCAGGCGTCATGCAGCGGGCGCGACCCACGCTCTGGGCCGCTGCGCTGACTCTGCTGGTGCTGCTCCGCGGGCCGCCGGTGGCGCGGGCTGGCGCGAGCTCGGCGGGCTTGGGTCCCGTGGTGCGCTGCGAGCCGTGCGACGCGCGTGCACTGGCCCAGTGCGCGCCTCCGCCCGCCGTGTGCGCGGAGCTGGTGCGCGAGCCGGGCTGCGGCTGCTGCCTGACGTGCGCACTGAGCGAGGGCCAGCCGTGCGGCATCTACACCGAGCGCTGTGGCTCCGGCCTTCGCTGCCAGCCGTCGCCCGACGAGGCGCGACCGCTGCAGGCGCTGCTGGACGGCCGCGGGCTCTGCGTCAACGCTAGTGCCGTCAGCCGCCTGCGCGCCTACCTGCTGCCAGCGCCGCCAGCTCCAGGTGAGCCGCCCGCGCCAGGTGCGCTGCGTGCAGCACCCGGCGCACTGGCGCCGAAGGGCCTGGGGGTTGCTGGGTGCCGCTGCGGGAGACTCCGCTTTTCTTCTCACTGGAGATAATATGTGGGGAAACTGAAGGCGCTCCGGGAAAGGTGAAGGCGGTCGCCGGAGGGACCCTCCCCAGCCGGCCCTCTACTTGCTCGATTCTCTAAGTGCAGAGTACTTGTAAATTGCAAAGCGCTTTCAGTGAAAATGGGTTAAAGGTTTCCGGAGCTGAGGGGAGCGGTACCGATGTTTAGCTGTTGGAAAGATCCTGGACACAGGAGATTCTCCTCGCCCCGCACGGGGGTGCACACGGACTGCAATCCCAGGGATGCTTGGGGATGGGGGGGATATAGGCGGATTTGGACCAAGGAAGGTGGGCAGGCACGTTGTAGGAAATAGTACCTCTCTTTTAAAATACTGACTTTGCACAGCCTTTTGGTTTGCAAAGCAATGTCTAGTCCCGGTATGTCCAAAAACAAGTAAAGTGGATTCGGGTTTTGATATCTTCTGCGGTTGGAAAACCTGAAGCTGAAAAAGAAGTAACTTCTTAAGGTTACCCAGCGGCCACAACAGAGTGTAGGTTTGAACTCCGCGTGCCACTTTCAGTACCATACCATTCTTACAACTCGGGCCACCCCTGCACCTGCGCCGACCTCAAACAAACTTCCAGGTGCGTGGTGGGTGCGGGCAATGTGGACTAAGTCAATTTCAATGACACGGAAGGGAATTGGAATCAGTCCTAGGGCTGTCTCCCTTCTTAATCTGAAATGGGGGGGGGAATGAGATGTTGTTAAGGGGAGCCCCAGAAGAGGAAAAATGCAAACATTTGGCAGAGTTACCCTCTTGGCTTAGCCACTATCAGTATCAGGCAGACAGCGACTCTGGTAAGGGCATCACATTGTTCCCTTAAAAAAAGGAGCGGGGGTTGTTTAAATGGATTTGGCAGCTGTTCTTTCAAGCATTCTTAGCCAGCCTCACCTAGTTATATGAGAAATAAAGTTCCTGCCTTGCACAGCTGAAGGCTGGGAGAATTCTCCCCATCCTAATTCCCCCAACTCCCCAACGATCACGTTGGACAGATGTCACTGGGCAGGCCCCCATCTAGGGCTAGCAGGATGAACAGTCCCTTTATAATTTATGTAGCTGTAGAGTTCCACGCCCGGGTGAAGTTATTTTCTGGCTCGGCAAGGCTGGCTCTGTTCACCCCTGAGAAATGCTGGATTCATGGAAAGGCAAGATGCCTGAAACATACACTGGCTCTGGTCAGCTGTTAAAGCTGCTGGAGGCATTTGTCTCTCGGGGCAAAGTTATGTCATTTGCCAAGTGTCGTACATTATTGTGCATTTTGGGGTATTCAAAAAGTGATCTTAGAAATACTGATACACATCGTCATTCTTGGGCTTTAGCAATCATCATGATTACCACCTTAGTAGCACTGTAGTATAGGTTGATGTGAGTTATAAGATTATAAAAAGATCTAAGTGACTTCTAGAATCTATTTGACAAAAAAAGGTAAATTTTCGACAGTCAAAAGTCACAATTATCTGTTGCTTAAATAGAACTGTTTTGTCTTCATGCCCTAGTCTGCAGCCCAGGCATTAAGAAGAAACCAAGGAAATTTAAGAAATTACTCAAGGTTCTTAGAAAAGAAGTATAAATACGTTTATTTACATGTTCTTAGAGTATTTACATTCTTAGTATCTCTTTTATCTCAGTATTTCCTTGAAAAAGAAAGCAAGCTAAGATTAAAAGAAATTGAAACCAAATCCTCGCAGGTAGGGACCTCCTCTGTGAGGCTCTGTGCTGGACCCTGGGAATGTGTGCTTCCCAAGGTATGAAACCCCTTGGGGAACTTTACAGCAGGACCTCAGTGAGCTGTTTGGCAGGTGAGGAAACTAAGACCCAGAGAGGAGAGGGACTTTCCTAAGGCCCTGGTGAGTGACCTGCCAGTAGCCACTTCCAGGGGAGAGCAGAGCATCTGCAGCCAAATCATTGCAGCCCCAGGTAGCTTTCTAGAATAGACTGTGGACCAGATGGGCCACCTGAGCTCCCTGCTAGGGTTACACATTATAGCCCTGTTTGTTGTAGTAGAGAAATTTCATGACTCTCAATTGTGGACTTAAGCCGATGCCTCCAGACCTTGGCATGGTCCACAGGCCCTGGGAGCATGGGCTCTGAATGTAGCCTTTGATCCCCATAGCGGTCTTACAGCCCCTCCAAGTTCATTCTGAAGAAGGAATGGAGTGAGAATCCTGGCTGCAGATCCAGTCTTGAATTTAGTCATATACTTAAAATTCCAATTCAACTGTTAACATTCCAGCATCCATTTTAAGCATCAGACTTTCTTCATTTAGCACTTTTTATTATAAAAGGGAGATCTGCTGGAGGGGGATTTCTCCTACCCCACCCCCACCCAGGGAAGGAAAAGCTCTTTGGCACTTAGAAGTCTGAGCCGTGAGTGGGACTTTGGCATTGTCTGCATCCATGTGCTGCTGTGTTCACCCGGGGTGAAAAGGACTCACTTAGGCAGGCACCAGCAAGATGCACAGGGTCTGTGTAGACCTTGAGTTTTAGAGATGTAACGGGGACCTAGAAAACAAGCCACCAACATGCTTGCATGATTCTGAGCCCCTGAGGCAAAACGCTTTGCAGGTAATAATTCAGTTTTCCCATCTGAGCTGGACACCAAGCTCTTATAAGCGTGTTTACCTGGTAGCATTGAGGACGGTACTGGTCAACCTTGGAATTCCCATAAGGGCTTGTTACAACTCAGACTGCTGCCGCCACTCCAGCGTTTCCGGAGTGGAGAATGTGCATTTCTTCCAAGTCCCCGGGCTGCCGCTGCTCCCGCGGGTGGGAGGACCACACTTGGAGTTGACTGCAAAATTTCTGAGCCGGCGCTGCAGCAGCCTCCCGTGGCTCAGGTCTGCCCCCTGCCGGTGGAAGATGAAGCATACTGCCTTCACCTACTGAGGGGCACTGAAGCGTTTGTCTGCCTTCTTTAGTTGCAGCTACTTAGGAAGAGCACCTGTCAGATTGACTTTCAAACAGATAACTTCTTGAGGTAGAGCAACCACCATGTAGTGAGTAGTATGATGGAATAATACTTCATCGAGGTATTTTAAAAAAAAAAACTCACTTGGATTGCCAACTAATATTGTCATTTACATGTGACCTGGTTGCAACGTTAAGATTTTTAAAAGACTGTGATAGATATTGATGACTCTCATGTGTTTGTCTCTCTTGGGCGTTTTAAGGAAATGCTAGTGAGTCGGAGGAAGACCGCAGCGCCGGCAGTGTGGAGAGCCCGTCCGTCTCCAGCACGCACCGGGTGTCTGATCCCAAGTTCCACCCCCTCCATTCAAAGATAATCATCATCAAGAAAGGGCATGCTAAAGACAGCCAGCGCTACAAAGTTGACTACGAGTCTCAGAGCACAGATACCCAGAACTTCTCCTCCGAGTCCAAGCGGGAGACAGAATATGTGAGAGCTTTTCCTCTTGTTAAAGGAGGAGGGCAAGACCTGCCAAGCCTGGGTACTCAGAGCCTCTTGAGGGCAATTCTTACTCAACAAACCCCAGCGCCTGGCTGATGGGTGGGCAACCCCTAGCCCCTCTGTGCCCTACCTCTCTCCTCTCCTTACATAAAGAATATTGACCCTTTTGGAGAATCTTATGAGGATCAAGCTGAAATAACACTCTTAAAAGCATATGGGATGTCATAAAGACCTCTGCAGATAATGAAAAATATTCTCATAAAGATAGTTTTATTTACTTCATCCTCTATGCTTGTTGACCTGCTATTGGTTCCATACCAGCTTCTGTGCCTTACTCTGGGAAGAGCAAAAAGGAGACAGGGAGTGATGGTTAGCTTATTCGGGGGACTTTCGTGCTACATCAGACATAAGGTATCTGAGGAGCAAATTACAGGTCCCACTTTTGGTAGTTGTGCAGCATCGTAAGATTTTTAAAGCACACATTCTAGAGTAAAAACTGTGACTCTGTTGCTCTGGTCCTTCCTGATCCCCAGGGTCCCTGCCGTAGAGAAATGGAAGACACACTGAATCACCTGAAGTTCCTCAATGTGCTGAGTCCCAGGGGTGTACACATTCCCAACTGTGACAAGAAGGGATTTTATAAGAAAAAGCAGGTGAGTGAGGTCCTCAGTGTGTTTTCTTCCTCTTCTGTTGACACAGAGGAGAAACCCATCTCACCAGCCCCCAGGCTCTTCTGGCCATAGCTCTAACTCTGAGCCTGTGCAGCACCAGTGCCCAGGACTTGGTGCCAGTCTCAGGAGGTCAGACCAAGGGCTGCTTTGACTTGTTGCTCTGAGTGCTGCTATATTGGCCATAATCCTCAACCCTAGTGCCTTTCCACCACCCGCTTCCCACTCCTGTCCTTTCAATGGTTCACCCACAGGGCGGACAAGATGCTGCCCAGTGGCACCCTTTATAAACTGCAAGTGGACATGTTAACACATTTGTTAATGCTGCGTCAGGGAGTGACATTTCAAACAACTATTATAGTCAGTTTCCAAGAAGTGTGACATGAGGTCATACCACAAAAAGCTTACCCTGAAATCCCACAATCGTCCCCTTTCCTACTGATGCCTTCCCGATAGTGAGCAGGTTGCAATATTAAGATTTTGAAAAGGCTGTTGCTAGATGTTGGTGACTCGTGTGTCTCTGTCTCCCTTGGGCTTTTCAAGGAAATGCTAGTGAGTGGGGGGATGACTGCAGCATGGCCAGCTTGGAGAGCCCAGCCATCCCCAGCACATACCAGGTGTCTGTCTTGGCGTGGAGGGGATGGAACTTGAAATCAGACACTCGGTCCATGCTGGGGATGGCCAGTCTCTCCAAACTGGCCATGTGGTCTTCCTCCGACTCACTGGCATTTCCCTAGAAAGTCCAAGTGAGAAGAAGGCATGAGAGTCATCAACATCAAACAACAGTCTTTTCAAAATCTTTATATTGCAACATAGTCCCATTCCTGGAAAAGGAATGGAGTGAGAATCCTGGCTACACATCAGCCCCAAATGTAGTCATATGCCTAAAATCCCAATTAACCTGAAAATGATCAAACAAATTTAAGATATAGTAATATTAAGCTGTAATAAATATGCTTCTATAGGCTTTGTGTTATGTGATGGCACTATTTCAATTGGCTTTCTAATTGGACAATTGATACTATGCTATCTACAGAATTGGCCTTTGGAGACCTAAGTGAGCCACAGTGGCCTCAGGGTGACCATATACTAGGATTCATAGTAGTGGCCACAGTCAGAAAGCCTAAGCTTTCCTCCATTGCCATTGCTCGTTTATACCCACGTTTTCTGTCAAAGTCATATTCATTCAACAAAGTCATACTGAGAAGGTGTCATGTGAGGCTGGATGTGGGCTCCAAAGTCATAGCTGTGACATTCGCAGGCAGCGGGGATGTTCTCAGTCCCACATTTGGCAGAGAAGTCAGTCAAGAGGTTCTACAAGGGCTGGTGTCCACCTTATACTCCTAGAAACACAAAACTGCCCCCACCCCCGCTTTCTTGGAGCAGGAAGTTACACCCACACGCATGCACAGGCGCACACTCAGCGGGCCTAGGCACGCATGGCTCTTGTGTTGCCTTAGCTGAAATTTCTGTTGTGCTTTCTCAGCATAGCAGAGTCACGCTGGCAAACCATCATGCGCCCTGGCCACCGACCTGACACCAGACCCAGGAGCATTCACTTCTCTGTCTTCTGTTTCTCTCCCACAGTGTCGCCCTTCCAAAGGCAGGAAGCGGGGCTTCTGCTGGTGTGTGGATAAGTATGGGCAGCCTCTCCCAGGCTACACCACCAAGGGGAAGGAGGACGTGCACTGCTACAGCATGCAGAGCAAGTAGACGCCTGCCGCAAGGGTGAGTACTCAGGAGGGGCAGCCTGGGGCTCCAGGGCCTCACTGTCCTTGGACCAGCCTCAGGGGCTGGGCGTGGCCACTGGCCCTTCCCCAGGCTTACAGACCCAGGAGCTGCAGCTCAGGGCCAGAAAGAGCAAAGCAAATAGGACAGAGCCCTCAGAAGGGTGCAGGGAGAGGGAGACCCCATCAACCCAACCAAACAAGTGTGGGGAAGGAGGCCGGCCAGTGCACCTCAGGGACACTCTGCTTTATCTCAGATACCTCACAGCACCTAAGCTATCATTCATCCACACACAAAGTGAAGATTTTCAAAGTTAGGCTTTACCCGTGAGGTCTGGAGGTCCATTTATCTTCACAGAGAAACCGTTTTAATCCGCAAGAACCTGCTAAAGATACATGTTTCTAAATTAAAGATGTGAATGTGAGACAGCTGAAATAGCTCAGTTGGGAGAGCATCAGTTTGAAGATGCAGCTTTTTTTTTCTGTAAAATATATAATGAATATTCTGTTAGTCTGTGGCTAATATAATTTTAATAAAGTTAATTTAAATCTGATAGAAAAATGAAATTTTAAACGATAATTTTAGAGAATGCTATTATATCCAGTCTTCTTTTTTCTTTTAATAAATGAGGGAACTATTGGGGGAAAGGAATAAATACATTTTCTTTCATTTTATTAAGACAAATTTAGTAAGCAGAAGAAATTTGCATGTTTAGTTATAAGGGTTTCTTTTTTCCTTACAAGTTGGAAAAAATAATTCTAATTTAAGGGTAACTCTTTGACAATGAACACTGTGAGCAGCATCTGGTACTCGTTGCTTTGTTTGAAAACATGAGTTGAGACCCCAGCCCTGCACTTGCAGGCCTAGTGCCATTAGCCTGCAGGCTGTGCTGGATATCTCAGGGCAAGAGTCGAGCCCTTTTGATTTTGGGGGGATTATTTCAATATATTTCTTTTTCTTTTTGTTTTAGTTAATGTGGAGCTCAAATATGCCTTATTTTGCACAAAAGACTGCCAAGGACATGACCAGCAGCTGGCTACAGCCTCGATTTATATTTCTGTTTGTGGTGAACTGATTTTTTTTAAACCAAAGTTTAGAAAGAGGTTTTTGAAATGCCTATGGTTTCTTTGAATGGTAAACTTGAGCATCTTTTCACTTTCCAGTAGTCAGCAAAGAGCAGTTTGAATTTTCTTGTCGCTTCCTATCAAAATATTCAGAGACTCGAGCACAGCACCCAGACTTCATGCGCCCGTGGAATGCTCACCACATGTTGGTCGAAGCGGCCGACCACTGACTTTGTGACTTAGGCGGCTGTGTTGCCTATGTAGAGAACACGCTTCACCCCCACTCCCCGTACAGTGCGCACAGGCTTTATCGAGAATAGGAAAACCTTTAAACCCCGGTCATCCGGACATCCCAACGCATGCTCCTGGAGCTCACAGCCTTCTGTGGTGTCATTTCTGAAACAAGGGCGTGGATCCCTCAACCAAGAAGAATGTTTATGTCTTCAAGTGACCTGTACTGCTTGGGGACTATTGGAGAAAATAAGGTGGAGTCCTACTTGTTTAAAAAATATGTATCTAAGAATGTTCTAGGGCACTCTGGGAACCTATAAAGGCAGGTATTTCGGGCCCTCCTCTTCAGGAATCTTCCTGAAGACATGGCCCAGTCGAAGGCCCAGGATGGCTTTTGCTGCGGCCCCGTGGGGTAGGAGGGACAGAGAGACAGGGAGAGTCAGCCTCCACATTCAGAGGCATCACAAGTAATGGCACAATTCTTCGGATGACTGCAGAAAATAGTGTTTTGTAGTTCAACAACTCAAGACGAAGCTTATTTCTGAGGATAAGCTCTTTAAAGGCAAAGCTTTATTTTCATCTCTCATCTTTTGTCCTCCTTAGCACAATGTAAAAAAGAATAGTAATATCAGAACAGGAAGGAGGAATGGCTTGCTGGGGAGCCCATCCAGGACACTGGGAGCACATAGAGATTCACCCATGTTTGTTGAACTTAGAGTCATTCTCATGCTTTTCTTTATAATTCACACATATATGCAGAGAAGATATGTTCTTGTTAACATTGTATACAACATAGCCCCAAATATAGTAAGATCTATACTAGATAATCCTAGATGAAATGTTAGAGATGCTATATGATACAACTGTGGCCATGACTGAGGAAAGGAGCTCACGCCCAGAGACTGGGCTGCTCTCCCGGAGGCCAAACCCAAGAAGGTCTGGCAAAGTCAGGCTCAGGGAGACTCTGCCCTGCTGCAGACCTCGGTGTGGACACACGCTGCATAGAGCTCTCCTTGAAAACAGAGGGGTCTCAAGACATTCTGCCTACCTATTAGCTTTTCTTTATTTTTTTAACTTTTTGGGGGGAAAAGTATTTTTGAGAAGTTTGTCTTGCAATGTATTTATAAATAGTAAATAAAGTTTTTACCATTAAAAAAATATCTTTCCCTTTGTTATTGACCATCTCTGGGCTTTGTATCACTAATTATTTTATTTTATTATATAATAATTATTTTATTATAATAAAATCCTGAAAGGGGAAAATATTTTAGCTGTAGTGGAAAACTTCATAACCACAAATGTTTCCCTGCTTTCCCTTTTAGCAAAAGAACCCAAGTCAGTTTCCATGGCTTTGTGGGAAGCCTATGGAGGCATTGGGTCATATCTGCAAGATGGTCCAATTCTAGGAGGTTGTGTTGTTGGGACAGTCTGTGGCCCAGGTTTGATCAGGTCAGCAATGTGCACCTATGTGACTGGTCCTTGCCTTTTTTGGGTTGTGTCCTGTATTGTCCCATCTAACACTAGCAGCCATCCACAGACAAGCAGGGAAGGACCAGAACAGACACTCAGCAATTCAGTCTCGTGTCCTTTACCGCTTTGTCCCCTTCCCATCTCCAATCAGAGAGTGGCCCTTCTCTGCTCCAAGCAGAAGGGGTTCTGGGATCTAAGCCCCCTCATCTGCAGCCTTGGAAGAATTGTTACTTGTCAAAGCCACTTTAGACAAAACACTGAGCCTGTGGCTTCAGAGCATCCAAGGATAAACTGCAGTCGAAGAGTTACCTCCTGTCGAGTTACCTCCTGTCTAGCGCCATGTCTGATTTGTTGATGAAACATCTAAAATGATACCCTTATCACGTGTTGTATGTGATGAGCAGCAAGCCGGTTCTGTAAGTGTTCAGAGGACTGGTATTGTGGTGTGTGGTCTCAGGCTGATCACATGAGAAACCAGGACAAATGAGAAAGCAGGCCCCTTGGGGGTGCTGTGACTGCAAGGCTGTGAGGATGGAGGGAGACAGTGAGCAGAAGGAGCCCATTGCAGGGAGCAGGCACCAAGCGTCACGGAGAGTTGTGCGGCAGAATCCTGGAGCACCTGGGGAGCGAGGCCAAGTGTCTGGAAATCCAGGACCGGAACGTGGCAACCTCTTGGGAGCTGCTGAAGAGCTATGAGCTACAAAATAATGCTTGCCTTCTAAGCCCACTGGGTTTGTTTTCCTGGGAGCCACCAACTCATGTGCCCTTTCTTGTCCTCATTTCTTAACCTCTAACTTCTGCTGCTTCCCACACTTCATGATGATTAATTCTATGTGTCAACTTGACTGGGCCATGGGGTGCCCAGGTACAGCATCTGTGAGGGTGATACTGTGAGCGTAGTATCTGTGAAGGTGTTTCCAGATAAGATTAGCATTTAAATCAGTGGACTCAGTAAAATAGATTGCCCTCCCCAATGTGGGCAGGCATCCATCGATCCATTAAGGTTCTGAATAGAACAAAAGGCAGAGGAAAGAAGGGTTTGTGCCTTTTTTCTGTCTGCGTGGGCAGAATTGCACCACCAGCTTTCCTGGTTCTCCAGCTTGCAGATTACAGATGGTGAGACTTAGCCTCCATACTTAGCCAATTTTTTGTAATAAGTCTTTTTTGGTGGGTGATTAGAGATAAGTAGGTAGATAGACTAGATAGATGATAGATTGATAGATTAGATAGATAGGTAGATTAGACAGAGATAGATACATAGATGATAGATAGATAGATAGATAGATAGATAGATAGATAGATAGATAGATAGACAGACAGATAGATATAACCTGTTAGTTCTGTTTCTCTGGGAAACCCTGACACAATACCTATGATCAACTATTCCCTCTAAATGCTCTCCTGCCACTTCCAGTAAATACCTTAAAATTGCATACTCTCATTCTCCTCTGGACCCTCCAGTTCTTCTACCTCCCTGCCTTGGTTCTGATCCTCTGCCATCTTCCTCAGGCAACTTCTGCTCCCTGGGGCTTTTGCTTCCACTAACCCCTAAGGTCACATGTACCCAAGCAACCTGCACGCAGACACACACAGAAATGAACAAGTAAGGGTGGTCTCCTCCATGGGAGTCAAGGTGATGCAGGTGCTACAACAACAGCTTCCTAAGATTAAGTTATCAAATCAACACACTTTAGGAAAAATAAAAATCACCATTGTTGATGAGGGTACCCTAATGGGATTCCAGGTTCTCTGCTGTGGCAGCCTGTCTAGAGGGACATTTCTGATCTGATCAAACTCCTTGAACTAGTCATCCCACTGGAGAAACAAATCCCACAGGCATCATCAGAGACGTGCACAGACAGTTAAGTACAAGGGCATTTTACACTGAAATGCATTGGTACAAAGAAATATTATGCCACCACTAAAAATGTTTTTGAATAAGAGTTACAGCAAGAAAAATGTCTGTGGTGGGCTAAAAGAAAAGCAGAATGCAATTATATTGTGTACACACACACATAAAACCAAAATAAAATACACCAAAATATTAACCTTGGCTATGTGAGTGTAGGTAATGTCCTTGTTTTATTTCTATTTTGATACAATCTCAACAATTTCCACAGTGAACATGATTTGTTTCTTTTCATTCAGAAAAACTTGCTGCATGTTTTATGCCCCTGCCTCTACTTCATGAATGAGCAATGAGCCTACATTTCCATCAGCCCACTGGTCATCTCCAAGAAGTATAGAACCCTGACCTCCTGGTCCAGCCACCTTCCCAAACCTTGGAAATTGTCTTGGCTTCTCTCCTTGTCCCACATTCAGGCATAATTGTTTATCTACTTTTTATGTTCTAGAAGGGCACATAGCAGTGAACAAGCCATATAAAATCACTGCCCTTGTAAATAAAGACAATAAACAAGATTAGTCAGTGGGATAGATAGGGTGGTCAATAGTGTTAAGTGCTATGGGGAAAAAATAAAGGGAAATGTGAAGTGTCAAGTATTGTTAATGCAGGGGTTTTTTTCATCTTCTCTCTCCCTCCTTTCCTTCCTTCCTTCCTTCCATTCTTTCCTTCCTTTCTTTCATTTTTAGAAAAGCTAGCCAAGGAAGGCCTCATTGAGAAGGTTACTCTTTTGTTTGTTTTTAATTGACAAAATGATTATTTGTACATATCTATGGGGTACAGTGTGCATGTATATAATGCATGTATACATTGTATAATAATCAAGTCAGGGTAATTAGTATATCCATCATCTCAAACATTTATCATTTCTTTGTGGTGAGAGCATTCAAAATCCTCTCTTAGAACTATTTTGATATATGCATTATTGAGGAGCTCTCATGACCTAATCACCCTTAAAGGCCCCACCTCTTACCATCACATTGGCCATTAAGTTTCAACACCCAAATTTTGGAGGGACACATTCAAGCCATAGCAGTATGAAATATCTAATAGTTGAAATGAAAAATAAAGCAGATGGAATTTTTAAAAAATGATAACAGCTAGGCCAAGCACAGTGGCACACATCTGTAATCTCAGAACTTTGGGAGGCCAAGGTTGGAAGATCACTTGAGCCTATGAGTTTGAGACAAGCTTGGGCAACATGGTGAGAACCTATCTCTACAAAAAATAAAAATAAAGAGCCAGGCATGATGGTGTGCACCTGTGGTCCCAGCTGCTTGGAAGGCTGATGTGGGAGGATTGTTTGAGCCCACCATGTTTGTGCCGCTGCACTCCTGCCTGAGTGACAAAGCAAAACCCTATCTCAAAAAAAAAAAAAAAAAAAAAAAGAATGGCTACAGCTAAAGGACAATTTAGTAAAGGGGAAGAACAAGTGGAGGAACTCTCTTAGAAGGAAGCAGAAAGAATAATGACTGGGAAATACAAAAGATCAGTTGAGAGAAATGAAGGACAGAACCGTTTCTGTATCCGTTACAGATAACAGAAGTCTTAAGAAATAACTAAAGAAATCACAGAGGTAATTTTCTCTAGGATTGAAAAAGGGGAAGACTTTATATTGAAAGACCTCATAGAATGTAAAAAGAGATAATTTCAAAAGCATTGCTTGGTAAATTATGGTGAAATCTTAAAATAGCAAAGTTTCAGCACAGAAAGAACATATCACAGATAAAGAAATGAGTATCCGTTGACACCACGTTTTTAAAGAGTGACTCTAGACACAGGAAGATGAGGGAAATAATTTAGAAGCTAGAGTTCTATACCCAGATAAACTGTCTTTAAAAGTGAGGGCATGGTCAACTAGTTTAAACATTCTCACAAAGAAATCACCAAGTTATTTAAGTTCTACACCAAGTGCTTGAGAAACAGATCGTCCAATTCAACAAAAACTTTTTAAGAAGCTGTAAAAGGAAAGAATATACCTCAAGTTATTCTACAAAACCAGTATGTATAACCCCAAAGCCAAAATCAAGCAAAGACAAATACAGGCCTATTTTGCTCATTAATGAAAAACCCCAAGGAAATCATTAATAAAGCAAACTCCATAGTCCCTATTAAAAGCATTACACTGTTTCCAACTGCGGTTTACTCCAGGCATATAAAATAATTTAATATTAGAAAACATATAAATATATATATATCACAATATATTAAAGAGAGAAGTGATATTTAATGGAAACAGTAAAAGCAGTTTACAAAATTCAACCCAACAAAAACTGTTAATAAATTAAGAATGCAAGGGAATGCCCATTATCTGATGATGTGTATATATTGAAGAACAAAACCCAGCAAGCACCATTGTAAATGGAGAAACATTAGAAACAATCTCTTTAAAATAATAAATCAGACGAGGATATTCACTCTTACCATTTCCATTCAACACAGTATGAGAGAACAGTAACAGTTTGTACAGTAAGATAAAAAAGAGACTTGACAGTTGAAAAATACTGTCACTACTTGCAGATATTTACATGGAAATAACAGAATCTACAAATTATTATAAATAATAAAAGTATTTAGCAGTATGGCCAGGTATAAAAATATGCAAATGTGAATTTTATTTCTGTCTACCAGCGACAACCAACATAAAAAAAGACAATGTAAAATCATCTCAGAGAACATGAAATACCAGCTCCCTTTGCCCTGCCTCGGCCACTCTGAGGTGTGACCCTCCCTATCTTGATGAATTGAACTTCTGTGGAGTTCAGTGTGGCTTGGCCTGGATTGGCCTTCCCACCTTCTGGGTCCCATTTCCTCATAACCATATTGATTTTTCATGAGAACGCTGCCTAGTAAGTTGCTTCCCTGAGTCTTTCTCTTAGTATCTGCCTTCTGGGGATCTAATCTAAGAAATACATGTACACACATGTACAAGAATATTTTTGCAGCACTGTAGACAATTTTTTAAAACCTGAAGATAACCGAGTTCCCATCATCAGCAGCCTGGATCAATAAACTGTGGTGTATTTTCAAGAGAGAGGACCCTGTAGAAGCCTAAATAAATAAACAGCAGGTGCATAAAACAATCAAGAGACTGGCAGCTTTACAGCATCAGTTTAAAAGCCAAGTCCCTAAAGATCATTTTCTGCATGGTACACTTTTTATGATGTTAAAAAAGTAACTGAAATCATCTAAAATAAAAATATATGTTTAAAAAATAGATATAGATAAAACATATGCAAAGAAAAGCAGTGAGTGATTAATTCCATATAGGTTGTCAGAATTCTGGTTAAGTTGGATGGGTATTTGATGGATCTTTATTGCACTATTAAAAAATAGAACAAATAAACAAGAGAGGACCAGGCGTGGCTCAATAATGAGAGTGTGTTATAAACCAATTATAATCAGCGCTTGCAGTTGATTAGGAAGTGTTCAAAAGAGAATAGGAGAGAAGGTGGAGTCAGCAAGCACAGGTGATTCTTTCCAGAGATTGATTCTCCGTCCCTTGTGTACCCCAATCTGCTTCCTTCTACTTTGATCTTCAGCATTTGCAACATAAATAAGTTTCACCAACTTCTATCTGGCTTTCTAATCTCCTTTGATCTTCAGCATTTGCAACATAAATAAGTTTCACCAACTTCTATCTGGCTTTCTAATCTCCTTTATCTTCTCAAATCCCATGACAATCATTGCTCCCTGAGTCTTCTTTCTAAATCTCAACACTGACAGAGTTGCTCCTACTGAAAAATCTTTCTTTTTAACAAATTTATTGAGACAGAATTAACATATCATAAAATTCACCCATGTTATGGCTTTTAGTATAGCTTTAAATGTACAGCCATCACCATAGGCCAAGTGTGGAACATTTTCATCACTTCAACAAGAAACCCTGAACTCTTTAGCAGTCATCCTCCATCCTCCCTTCCCAGCCCTAAGCAACCATTAATCTACTTTCTGTCTCTATAGATTTCCCTATTCTGCACTTTCATGTAAATGGAATTATAATGTATAATTGCATGTGACTAGCTTCTTTCACTTAGCATGTTTCCAAGGTTCATCCATGTTGTAGCATTATCAGTACTTCATTCTTTTTGATGGTTGATTAATATTTCATTGTCTAGATATACCACAATTGACAAATGTGTATCCGTTTGTCCATTGATGGACATTTGATTTATTTCCACCTTTTGGCTATTGTGAATAATGCCTCTATGAACATTTATATATAAGTTTTTGAATGGACATACATTTTCATTTATCTTGGGCGTATACCTAGAAGTGGCATTCACCCAGGAGCAGAATTGTTGGGTCATATGGTAGCTCTATGTTTAAACATTTGGAAAACTTCCAGACTATTTTTCAAAGCAGTTGCACCATTTTGCAATCCCACCAGTATTCTAAGAGGGTTCTGATGTATCCAGATCCTCATAAACACTTACTGTTATCAGAATTTTTGGTTCTAGGTATCCTAGTGGATGTGAAGTGATAACTTTGATTTGTACTTCCTTCACGACTAATAATGCCAAAGACTTTTTCATGTGCTTATAGGCCATTTAATACATCTTTTTTGAAGAAAAGTCTGTTCAGTCCCTTTGCCTATTTTTAATTGGGCTATTTGTCTTGATATTGTTGAGTTGTAATTGTTTCTTATATATTTTAAATGCCAGTCCCTTATAAGATATATGATATGCAAATATTTTTGACCATTCAGTGGATGTCTTTCACTTTCCTAATGGTGTCACTTGAAGCACACAAGGCTTAAAGTTGAGGAAGTCCAATTTATCTATTATACTTTTGTTGCTCATGCTGATGGTATCATATCTAAGAATCTTTGCCGAGTTCAGAGTCTTGAAGACTTACCCCTATGTTTTCTTCTAAGAGTTTTTTAGTTTTAGGTCTTACATTTAGGTCTTTGATAGATTTTTGAGTTAATTGTTGTTATGGTATATGGTAGGGGACCAACTTCACTCTTTTGCCTATGGATCATTTGTTGAAAAGATTATTGATTGCTTTTGGTACCCTTGTTGAAAATCAGTTAATTATTAATGTATGGGCTTGTCAACGGACTCTCAACTTGTCTATTTTTGTGCCAACACCACATTATGTTCATTACCATTACTTTGTAGTAATTTTTGAAAACAGAAAGTATGAGTCCTCCTACTTTGTATTTTTCTTTTCAGGATTGCTTTGGCTTTTCTGCGTTCTTTGCATACATTATGAATTTTAAAGTCAGATTGTCAGAGAAGTCAGCTGAGATTCTGATAGAGACAACACTTAATTTGTAGATCATTTTGGGGTATGTTGCCATCTTGACAATGTTAAGTCTTCTAATCCATGAACATGAAATATTTTCCCATTTAGTTAGAGCCTCTTTAGTTTCTTTTGGCAGTGTTTTATAGCTTTCAGAATATAAATTTTACACTTCTTTTTTCAATTTATTTTTAAATATTTTATTCTTTTTGATGTTATTATGAATAAAATTGGTTAATTTTATTTTTGAATTGTTTATTGCAAGCATATAGAAATATAATTGATTTTTTAATCTTGATTTCATATCCTGCAATGTTGCTGTACTCATTTATTAGTTCTAATGGACTTTTAGTATATTCCTTAGGAATTTCTAAATAGCAGATGGTGTTATCTTCAAATAGAGTTTCTTTTACTTCTTCCTTTCCAATCTGAATGCCATTTATTTATTTTTCTTGAATATATCCTCCAGTACAGGTAGAAGTGGCAAGAGCAGATATCTTTGTCTTGTTCCTGATCTTAGGCAAAAAGCCTATAGTCTTTCATCAAGTATAATGTCAGCTGTGGGTTTTTCCTAGATCTCTTTCATCAGCTTGAGGAAGTTCCCTTTTATTCCTAGTTTGCTGAATATTTTTATTATAAAAGGGTATTTTTGTTTGTCAATTATTTTCTGCATCTACTGAGATGATCATGTAATTTTTTTGTTTTTATCCTATGACTTATTAATTTTATTAAATTTTAGATGCTAAAATAATTAATATTATTTTAATTAATTAATTTTCAGATGCTAAAATAACTTTGCACCCCTGGAATAAATCCCACTGATCATGGGATATATTCCCTACTGATCAAGATTCTTTTAATATGTTGCTGTATTCAATTTGATCACATTTTGTTGAGAATTTGTGTGTCCATACTCATAAGAGATATATGATCTATACTTTTGCTCTGATGTCTTTGTCTGGTTGTGGTATCTGGGTAATAATAGTCTCATAAAATGAGTTGAAAAGTTTTCACTTTTTATATGTTGACCTATCTCCAAGTTCACTAATTCTTTCTTCTGGAAGTTCAAATCTACCATGGACCCTTTTTAGAGAATTTTGTATTTCAGTTACTGTACTTTTCAACTCCAGCATTTCCATTTAGTTCTCTTTTTTTCATAATTTTTCTGCATTGATATTATCTATCTGATGCAACATCATACCCTTCTTTACTTCTTTAATCATGTTTTCCTTTAAGTCTGTGAACATATTTATAATAGATTTCATATTCTGAAATCTATTTTTGTTAAATCTGGCATCTGAAAAGTACTTTGTGCCATCCGGTGTTGTTGTTGTTGTTGTTGTTTGTTTGTTTGTTTGGGACGGAGTTTTGCAATTATTGCCCAGGCTGGAGTGCAATGTCGCGATCTCGGCTCACTGCAACCTCCGCCTCTCGCGTTCAAGCGACTCTCCAGCCTCAGCCTCCCGAGTAGCTGGGATTACAGGCATGCGCCACCACGCCCGGCTAATTTTTTTTTATTTTTAGTAGAGATGGGGTTTCGCCATGTTGGTCAGGCTGGTCTCGAATTCCTGACCTCTTGATCCACCCGCCTCGGCCTCCCAAAGTGCTGGGATTACAGTTGTGAGCCACCACACCCGGCCTGCTTTTTTACTGGTGTATAGGATCTACTTTACTATTTATTTGCATGCCTCATAATTTTTATTGGAAACTGAACATTTTAGATTGTATATTGTAACACTTCTGGGTCCTGGTCTCTCCCTCACCAGCGCTTGGTACTGCTACTTCTTGTTTGTTTTTTAGTGATTGGCTCAATTATTTTAGTGAAGACTATTCCTGCTCACCACCACCAGGGTTCAGCAGCTGATGTTCCTCCTAAGGCTGCTTTGCTATGGGTATGTCCACAGGCACCCTGGGATGACAGTGGTACAGGTAGGACTCTCTTCCTCTTCCCAGGCCATGCCCAGCTATTAAACTCCACTGGTTGCCAATGGCCTCCTGTATTGTTTTCAACAATTCCCTGGGCACAAATTCCAAACTGTAGCTCATTTGAAGGAATAGTTTCTGAAGCCAGAGTTTGATATTTGTTCTGATCCCAGAGTCTGGTATTTGTTCTGTACCCAAGAGGACTCCTCCCAGCTGTCATCCCTCAGTTCTCTCCTGCAAACTAGCTGGGCTATAGTCCCGGCTGTATCTTCATTAGATCTATAAATCCCCTTCCAATTGCCTGTCATTACAATCTCCACTTTCTTGAGAGTGCCCATAGATTTAAACTTCTCCAGGTTCTCCTGCAAATGATGTTAGTTTTCATGAGAAGAGAAAGGAGCTACCTGTTTCATGTCCTGCATCTCCCTTCTGGCAAAAATCTCTGAGTCAGGGCTCTGGACTGGGGATAGGGACAATGACAATCTTCTCTCTAAATGATTTCCCTGCTCTGAGAGCTAAGTACTTCCTGGAGGGGGGATCATGTCCTTTGGCTTGCCTCTTCTGGTGTGAAACCAGAGCCTGGGCAAAGGAAATAAGAGCCCTAGTGTTCTCAGCATGCCACATCCAAGGTAGACTCCATTCCATGAATTGGGGCTGGGCAGAAGTGAGCCCCCTTCCACTTCCCCTCTTCTCTTCTCTCCCCTTCCCCTTCCTTAAACTCCCCACCTCCTTGCTCTTGACTGCACTTGTCTGGAGCTTACCTTAGCAACAGGTAGCTGGGGGCAGGATGAGACACACTGAAATCCTGACCCTCCTGGAAAGACAGCCCACTGACTGGCAGCTGGGAGGAGAGGAAGCTCTGTGTCCTTAGCTGCACCAGTCTGGAGTGTAATCTCTACCCACAGAGCTTAGAGGGGAAGGGAACAAGGGATTTTGGTTCATATACTACACTCTTATCTTTCTTACTGAACTTTCATAGATTTTCTTGGATAGATGTTTTTTCACTTGTTGTTTGCTTTTACAGCCATTTTAGGACTCTGAATGGTTTTGTTTTGTTTTTTTAATATTTTTCACCAGTTTTACTAGGGTGTAGGTTGGTGAAGCATCTCACACTGTCATGCTGCCTCCAAATCTTAAAAGTTCCCCATTGCCTTCCAACTAAATCAAAACTCTGAGCCTGACATTTACAGCCCACACTGGAAACTCCTAGCACACCTCACCTCTCATTAATGCCCATAAACATACCCTGTGTTCTCACTACACCAAACAGCTTACTAAACCCAGCATGCACAATGTACTCTCTGGTTCTTGTATTTTCCTTTGTTGAAACTAGTCCTTCCTCCATCTTGCTCAGGCGAGCCATCCTATCTGCCCATTCTTCAAAGTCATGGCCTGAAGGCCATTCCTCTGAGAAGCCCTCTTATCCACTGCATACAGAGTAGTTTCTCTCTCTCCTCTGAAAACCCCAGCACTATCTCAGTATATTTTAATGGACTTGACTTACTTTTGTTGTTATTATCTTACCCACCTCCTTCCCCTACAACTACCAAATCCTTTAGAAGAAAGATTCTTCTCTGTTTGATGTTGTCACCTCCCTAGCACCTATGTCATGAATAACGTTCATTAATTATTTTTAAATGAATGCATGCATGCATGCATAAATGAGATTGGGTAAATACAGGGCAAACCAAGAAGGAACTGCTGCAACAGCCCAGTTGTGACATGGTAAGAGTTCAAATCAGAGGATAAAAAGACAAAGTAAGAGTCATTAAAGAGCAAAATCAGCAAGATTTTGTCTCAGTTTTAGAGTAGAGGGAGACTACAAGGAAACATTAAGGCCAGGGATGCACCATGGATAATTTTTCACTCTCTCTATAGCCATGATGTGTGGATAATTCTGGATTTGAACACGTTTACCTCGCCCAAAAGCTTGCCAATGTCTGTCCATCTTACTTGCTGTCTTGCAAAACAACACCATACTTCAACATCTTCTCACACAGAAGAAGGGTTGTGCTGAAGACATGAAGTATGGAAATTTGGAGAAGAAGCTGGTTAGGGGACCAGGAGTTCAGATTTGACAAGCTGGGTTTCAAGAGAACAATGACCATGTAGAATATCATGTGGGAAAAAAGAAATTTGAGGTAAGAGTGAGGTAAGAGTGCTGAAAGCTAGGTGAAAGCTTTGAGAGTCCAGAGTAGAACACCTATGCAGGAGAGGGTTAGTATGTCCCACTGTGAAGGAGCACTTCTTTTAAGGAGAGAGTGAGTTTTTTTGTTTGTTTTTTGTTTGTTTGTTTTTAGTATTTCAGCTAATGTATGTGTCCTGTAAGCATTTCCTGACATTCATTCCATTCTAACAGGACAATTGAATAATGACACTAACAAGATCTTTCAGACTAAATATTGGTCCTCCATCATCTCTGGACTAGGGTGGCAGTGACTCACAGAAGCTCCCACATTTTCCAAGATGCCTCAGGGGCAGTCTATATTATTTCTCCTAGATCTCCCAGAGCATCCTGCTCTGTCCTCTTGTCTTACATCTCTGGTGGAAATCCTTTGTACCAACAGTACCCAGATGAAGGAGGGCCAACCATTTTGTCTAGAAAAGTGGCTCTAACTCCAAGTCACTGTTCTCAGACCAAGCCAGTATCTCTTCATTCTCTTTCCAAGGCCCCTTCCAGATGGAGGGACTGAAGCTGACAGCATCCTTCCTACTCAGCAGTGGTACTCAGCCCCTGTACTATGCTGGGGACACAACTGACATTGTAGTCCCTGTGAATGCCCTATTGTGGAGCCCTTAGAACACAACATGAAAGATGCCCCCTGGAGTTGTGCAAAATCTACTGTCCTGGCCAAAGAAGCAGTAAGAGAAAGGCAAGGTATGAGTGCACATGCTTCCTTGGGAAGCCAAAGAATTATTAAGGGAAGTAGAGCAATGGTTTTCAACGTAGCCTCAATAAAGTCTAAAGCTTTCAACCAAGGGCCTTAAGGAAAATTGTTAACATGAGTCTCTGAGTGTCATTATGATTTTTTAAACATTTAGTCCAGTATTCTTAAGTACAATATAACAAGACTTATGAAATTAATTTTATTTTCTAAAGCTTTTCTTTCTTCTTGTCATGACATTTTTAAATATCATATATAAATACACATATTCGATATCTATGTAATGATGGTCTATGAGAAATTCTTTCTTTTCTATTTCTACTGTAAATGTATTTTTCTCATATAAGAGTACTGTAACTAAAAGATAATTTTTATAGAAGGAAGGAAGAGAGGGAGACAAGGAAGAAAAGAGAAGAAAGAGGAAATGCCACCACAGCCCTAATGCTCCTACACAACCAAAGCTAAAATCTGAATGTTTTTCAGCCTGTTGTTTTTCCACTGCAGAACCAATGTAAAACTACCAGCAATCTTACTATAACCTGGATCTTAGCATTATATCTTGGTGATATAGTATTCTTTTTATACATTGTTGGATATGATTAGATAACATTTTCTCAGAATTTTTGCATCTATGTTGATGAGAGATATTGATCTGTAGTTTTCATTTCTTTTAATGTCTCTATCTGGTTTTCGTATCAAGATAATACTGACCTCATACAATGAGTTAAGTGTTAATTTGTATCTATTTTGAGAAAGAGATTGTGGAGCGTTGGTGTCATTTCTCCCTTAAATGTTCGGTAGAATTCACCAGTGAAACAATCTGGGGTTAATGCTTTATTTTTGGAAGGCTAATTATTGATTTAATTTTTAATAAGTATCATTCTATTTAGTTATTTATTTCTCCTTGTGTGAGTTTTGGTAGTTTGTGTTCTCAAGGAATTAGTCCATTACATCTATGTTTTCAAATTTGTGGGTGTAAGGTTTTCATAGTGTTTCTTTATTATCCTTCTAATGCTCATGTTACTAGAACTGATGGCCTCTCTTTTATTTCTGATGTAGGTAAAATGTGCCTTTTATTTTTCTTGGTTAGTCTAGCTACTGGTTTATCAATTTCATTAATGTCTTCAAATAACCATATTTGGTTTCATTGATTTTCTATATTGTTTTCCCAGTTTGGATTTTATTGATGTTTGCTTTATTTCATTCTTTATGCATGCCTTAGGCTTAAATTGCTCTTCATTCTCTAGTTTCCTAAGGTGGAGGTTTAAATGATTTATTTTAGACCTTTCTTAATAATTTCTATCTGTATTTAATGCTATAAATTTCCCTGTAAGCACTACTTCAGCTGCATCCCACAGGTTTTGATAAATTGTATTTTAATTTTCATTTAGCTAAAAATAGTTTTTAATTTCCCTTGAGACTTCTTTTTTTAACCCATGTGTTAGTTAAAAATGTATTGTTTAATCTCCAAATATTTTGTGATTTTCTAGCTATCTTTCTGTTACTGATTTCTAGTTTAATTCCATTGTGATCTGAGAGCAGACATTGTATTATTTCTATTTTTTTAAATGTGTTGAGATGTGTTTTATGGCCCAGGATGTGCTCTATCTTGATGACTATTCCACACAATCTCGAGAAGAATGTGTATTCTACTGTTGTTGGATTAAGTCATCCAAAGATGTTCATTATATCCTCGATTGATGATGCTGTTGAGTTCAACAATGCCCTTACTGATTTTCTGCCTGCTAGATCTGTCCATTTTTGATAGAAGGGTGTTGAAGTCTCCAACTATGGTAGCAGATTTATCTATTTCTTCTTGCAGTTCTACTTGTTTTAGCCTCACATATTTTGATGTTCTGTCATTAGACACACACACATTAAGGGCGATTGTGTCTTTTGGATAATTGACATCTGTTTCATTATGTAATGCCCCTCTTTAATGCTGATAATTGTCTTTGTTCTGAAGTTTTCTTTGTAATTAACCTAGCTAATTCTACTGTTGTAATTAGAGTTAGGGTGATATATATTTCTCCATCTCTTTGCTCTTAACCTATAGCGTCATTATATTTTAAGTAGGAATCTTATGAACAATATATATGTTGATTTTGTTTTTCATTTTCTAAAGCATACTGACAACCTCTTTATTTTCGTTGGGACATCTAGTATGTTTAAAGGGAGTGCTGATATATTTTGTTAAAGCCAGCCACATTTGTAAATGTCTTCTACTCATTGAATTATTATTTGTTTATTTTTCCTCCTCTTTTTCTACTATGGTTTTAATTGAGCATTTCACATAATTTAATTTTCTGTCCTCTCTTACATATCAATTGTATTTATTTAGTAGAAATTATAACTGGTTGTGATAGTTAATTTTATGTGTCAACTTGGTTGCACCACAATGACAAAAATGGGGTCAAACATTATTCTGGATGTTTCTGTGAGGGTGTTCTTGGATGAGGGTAACATTCAGATTGGTGGATTTTGAGTAAGACAGATAGCCCTCCATAATGGGGATGGGCATCATCCAATCAATTGGAGTCCTAAATAGAACAAAAGACTGACCAAGCAAGAAGGAATTCTGCTGGCAAACTGCCTTTGCATTCTAACCACAGCAGTGGCTGCCTGCTAGGTCTCCAGCCTGCTGATTTACCCTGTAGATTTTGGACTTCCCAGCTCCATAATTGCATGAGCCAATTCTTTAAAATAAATCTCTCTATATCCACATCTCATTGGTTCAGTTTCTCCAGAAAATCCTGACTAATACAGATTTTAGTACCTGGAGTGGTTCTAAAGGAACTCAATCTTTTTTTTAGATTTCAAAGTATTTATTTATTTATTTATTTACTTATTTATTTATTTATTATTTCAATAGATTTTTGGGGAACAGATGGTGTTTGTTTACATGAATAAGTTCTTTAGTAGTGATTTCTGAGATTTTGGTGCACCCATCACCTGAGCAGTGTACCCTGTACCCAATGTGTAGTCTTTTATCCCTCGCTCCCCTCCTTCCCTTTCCCCTAAGTTCCCAAAGTCCATTATATCATTCTTATGCCTTTATGTCCTCATAGCTTAGCTCCCACTTATAAGTGAGAACATACAATATTTGGTTTTCCATTCCTGAGTTACTTCACTTATAATAATGTTCTCCAATTTCATCTAAGTTATAGCAGCACAATTCACAATTGCAAAAATATGGAACCAGCCCAAATGATGAGTCTGAGTGCTGAGTTTACAGCACTTCAGTCAATGAGTAGATAAAGAAAATGTGGTATATGTATGCATGAAATACTGCTCAACAACAAAAAGGAATGAAATAATGGTATTTGCAGGAACTCAATCTTAAGGGTCAGTTTTCTGAATTGGTTCTGGGATTTCTGGAATTGGCTACCTGTTTTGATTATATTTAAAGACACTAATAACTCTATTTCCAGTAACAAAGAGAATACTGATAGTCCACAGCATAATGTTGCAGCAGAGATATGCAAAATATTACCACTGGATATTCTCAAATACTTGTAAGAGGCAAGGATCTGGGTGACTATGTATATAGTATCGTCAAACATTTTTGTCTAACTAACAAGCATAATGACATTAGCTGGTTGTTTCTAATTAAGCTGGATAAAGTGGGGAAAGGAAAGGATGAGCTCAGGCATTCAAATTCCCAGCTCAAGCCTATATAAATGACCTGAAAGCTTAGATATCTACTCTGAAGAAGTCCCTTGTCTCCTGTAGCTCCAAGACTAGAATTGGTAAAAATGAAACCCTGTGAGTGACTGACTTACAACAAAAATTGAATTCCCAGCCTCCACTTTAACAGTGCTTTCTGTTAAAGTGAGGGCATTGATAGGGAAAGAATGGGATCCTGAAAGTTGGAATAGATATGTATGGGAAGACCCTGGTGAAGGTGGAGAATTGAGACACTAATTTCTGCTGAGTTTTCTTTTCCAGTAGAAGCAGGCTGTCCACCCCCATCTGAGGGGATTAACTTTTTATTGCCCGAGGATACTGTAATGGCCTCCCCTGAGGCAGTTGCCATGCAAGACAATATTGCTTCTCCTCAGGACTTACCCCTACCATTCTTCTTTGGTTCTAGACCAGGTCCCATAAGACCCCTAAAAGTGAGGTACAATATGTAACCCATGAGGAGGCGCACCACATTCCGAAAGAACTACTTGAGTTTTCTAATATATGTAGATAGAAATCCAGGGAACATGTGTGGGAATTGATATTAGAGGTATGGGGTAATAGTGAAAGGAACAAAAAGTTGGATCAGACTGAATTTATTGATATAGGCTTACTAAGCAGAGATTCTGTGTTTAAGGTTGCAATTCAAGAAGCTAGAAACAGCTCCAACAGTTTATTTAGTTAATTGGCTGAAACATAGACCAAAAGGTAGCATAGACCAAAAGATCTTGAACTGCAAGATCTGCATTGATTTACAGTAGAAATGAACTCAAAGGCTTAGGGACACTAGAATGTTAGAGGGAATTTGTCATTTAAGACTTTCTTACCCACCATGGGCAGGTCCAAAGGGCATTATCTTGCACCTTGACCATAAGGAATACATTTATGAGGGGAGCCTCAGCATACTAGAAGAGCTCTGGCATTGCTCTTCTCTGTAGGCCAGACCGTACAGTGGGAACTGCAGCTGCTGAACTGGGAAACATAAATGCAATGGAAATAATGAGAGTCCAAGGGTGGCAGGGACCAAGTGGAGGCACTCAACCAACAAAGGCAAGGTAGGTACAGCTACTCTAATGGACAGCAGAGCCAAGGCAGCACTCAGAATAGTCAGACTCCTGTGGATCTATGACGTTGGCTACTTGATCATGACATTCCTAGAAGTGAAACTGATAGGAAGCCTACTAAATTGTTATTGACTTGTATAAGCAGGAAAGTTCAAGGACAAGTGAACAAAAATCTAATTTGAATCACAAAAACAGAGTCTTGGCACCTCAATCAATTCTCAGACTTAAGCCAGTTTACAGACCCAGAACCCCTTGAATGAAGGAGGGGCTGGGCCCCCTTGAGAAAGGGCCCCAGTACACTGTTGAAAATATTTCTACCAGTGTTCTCCAAAGGGACCTAGAGGCTTTCACTGGGGCAATTGTGGATTGAGGGAAAGGAAGTAATCAGACCTTTCAGGAACTACAGGGCACTGGCTCTGAACTGTCATTGATCAGTTCAGAAGCCATATTGCAATCCCAGAGAGATGGCAGAAATTAGTGCCACCATCAAGGACTTGAAAGATGCAGGAGTGGTGATTCTCACCACATCCCCACTGAACTCTGCTATTTGGCCTGTGCAGAAGACAGTTGGATCTTAGACAATAACAGTGAATTATTATAAGCTTAATGGAGTGGTGACTCCAATTGCAGCTGCTGTGCCAGATGTGGTTTCATTGCTTGAGCAAATGAACACACCTCCTGGCCCTGGGCTGCAGCTATCAGTCTGTCCCTGTCCCACATCGGTCTGGCTGCTCCTCTTGATGAGTCTGAGTGCTGAGTTTACACACCAGCCCTAGGGTCATGGCAGAGAGGATGGCAGCCTGGCAGCTATGGGGTTGGAGGGTTAAAGGGGGGACCCAAGATAGGGAGCTAGAGTCTCCAGGAAAAACCAGAATGTCAGGGAGGCCACCAGCCCCACAGATGAGAGAAGCAGCCATGGATGCCAAGCCTCCAAGAGGTGGCCTGAGGCAAGGAGAAGTGTGGGCTTTCACCCCGACATAGAGCAGGGGGAGTCCAAGAGACAGGGCTGGAGGCAGCCAGCAGACCGAGATGGAATCCCCTGGGATGGGCAAGGTGCTAGGAAAGATGTGGAGGGGAGGAAAGAAGCAGTCAACAGGGTGAGCAAGAGTTAGGAGGGGCAGCGTTGGGCACACCAAGCAGGGCACAGTGTTAAGGAAGAAGAGCTCTGAGGAGCAGAGAAGAGAGATGCAATCAGGGCTCAGTCATGGAAACAGAAGTGACAAAAGGATGCTGGGAGCCCTGTGGAAGAAGGAGGCTAGCAGGAAGGGAGGGCAAGCAAGGGAAAGGCTAGGGAGCAAAACCAAGGAAGCACTTCTGTCTTGTGTTTAAGAGGAAAGAAACCCTGTTCCTATTTATAAGTTGAACGGAAGGGACAAACCAAACCAAGAGGAAGAGGCTGAGGACCCTGGGGAGGATGGGGACTAATGGAGAGGTGGGACACAGGAATGCCCAGCCTGGCCAGGCAGAGGAGGAAGGTCCCAATGCCACTGGGAAGTGGAAACCCTGGGGCAGCCGGGGCAAGATCTAGGGTAGTTAGGACAAGGGGCTCTGCAGACCCAAAACACCATCTTGGTATCACAAAAGCACAAAATGCATAAGGAAGGTGAGGGTGAAGGACAAAGGGATTTCAAAAAGATAATATCACTAAATAAACATCCACAGAGATAACAGTATTTCCATGCAGAATATTTATTGTAAATGTTTCCATTATAGACACGTGTTTAACAACATATCCAGTGTACATTTTAACAGGTGGCAACATCACCACAGGTAGCTTTGATTATGTAATCAACACTTTTAACTTTCCCTACACATGTACATCAAATGTGAATGGTGGAATATACAAGTTAACCGTCCTCCTTCAAACTAGCTGAAAAACTACTCTCTCTTATTTCATTTTGCATTTTCTAGGCAGTATTTTTCCATGCTCTTTAAAAACAGACGCAGGAGCTTTGGAAGAGCAGAAATGCAATTACTTACATACAATATGATGAGAAGTGTTTCATGATATACAAATTGACATAGGACAAGTTATTAACATAGTACAAGTTTTTACTGTGTAGAAAAAATAAACTTACAGTGAATAAATAAACAGCTTTCTATATCAAGTTATGTATGGAGTATAAAAAGTAGTTACTATATATATATACATATACATATATATATAAATGTGCATGTTCTAGAGTATAAATATACTATATACTTAAATATTTCACGTGACAGAACATTATTTCATCTGGTTTCAGTTTTGTACATTAAAATATATCTGGCAGTTGGGGTCTCCCCTGATCTCTGGAGACCCAGGGATCCTCTTCCCATTCCAAGGGTAGACGCACCAGCAGAGTCCCGCCTCTCCATCCATGGATGTCTCACACTGCAAAGACAAGACCAAGGTCAAGAGCAGCAGATGACAAGCTGACAGGGAAAGTAGAGCCATAGCTGGCCCTTTTTTCAGTGCAGCCGAGCACTGCAGAGCCAAGCCAAGAGTCCCGGCTGTGAAACCAGCTGCCCATGATGCAGGCAAATCTCACACCCTCCTGGTTCTCATCATAAAATAGAGACAGTGACCGAGTGGCATGTGCAATAATGACTTCCCATGTGTGTTAAACAGTACAGTGTGTGCACAGCTGTCTGCTTCATAGCCTGATGTCAGGGGAGCCCAACCCAGAGGGAACATGTCTCGTGTGTGCCCCACTGTTCATTGCCTGTGAAGCAGGGCCTAGTCCTCAGTTTCTCCCAATAAAATCTACAGAACCTGTACTTCACTGAGACCTAAAGCACTCCTCAATATGAAATCTTGGTCTGTTTGATCTCATTTATTATCTGGCAAGCCACAAAAATGTTGTTGTGTTTTATTAGACAGTTCAAGGAGAAAAAAGTGTTAAGAGCTGTCCAAATAGATACTTGCTTTTCTAAGTTAAGTTTGTTCCCTTCCTCTCTTGTATAGGTGAGGAACCCAAGATCCAAGCGTTAGGGGGCCTAGGAAAGTCTTCCATAGCTATTGGCTTGCTGAGTGATGGAGCTCAGGCTTAGCCCCAGGGCCCCTGGTCCAGCGCAGGTTTTCCACCTCTGGTGGTGACATATTGACCTGTTCAATAGGCTTTCTTCACCTAGCTGTTCCAGGTTCCCAGAGGGGTGGATCTGGCTCAATACAACCACTTCTGGTGTCTACTTTGGAGTGGACCTTCTTTGACATGAATGACCGTGGCTTGGCAGGAATGTAGGGCAGTAGTCCCTTTCACCCTGACGACGCACACTGGCAAGGCCACCTACCTGTCTGCTGTGATAAAATCCATTCTTGTTGCAGTTTGGCAGGTAAAATTTGGAAATTTCTTCTCCTGATGTCTCCTGTGCCTTGGCTAAACTCTCTACGACTCTGTAGAGTTCTATTCGGCAGGGCTCCTAAGAGAATAACTTGACATTAGCATATCTAACAAGACACAGTGAATTATCAGCCTAGACAATGACTGATGGAAGAGGTTTTGTAGAAGCAGGAGTGGCCCTACGATCTGGCCACGGGGACCTGGGACTAGGTGTCATGTGATGTGCTCCCTCTGGGCCTCTTTTTCCCACCTGCAGTTAGTCTGTCTTAAGTTGTTCAGATAAAGAACAAGAACACCATTCTCTCCCTCACCAATCACTCTCTCAACACCTGCACAGAGACATCCCCTGGCAAGAGCCTCACCAACACCACAAAACTCTTCCCAACTCTTCCTGCCACCTACTGAATACTTTTGGCACCCGCCATCTGGTTAGAAGAGTGGGCATAACTCTTAATTAAGAATTTAGCAGAAGACATTTCTAGATTTTGAATAACTTTCCTCTGCAATCTACAAGGTTCTTTTACATAAACTAAATCAAGTGAGGATTAAGGCATTCATTTGGATAATTTAAGAATTAACTTTCCTCCATTTATCGTTATTCTCAGATGAAATTCCAAAATGTTGAGAAAATGGTTTAATCCTCCCTTTTTCTGGGTAGGCATGTTTGTGGAAGTAATTTATTTTCTCAAATCAAATCACTCCGACTTTGATTCTCTGTCGCCCTCAAGTGGTAGAATTCAAAACAGACATAATTAAGATAATGGAGAGTTGATGTTTAATGAGTTCCGAGCTTCAGTTTGGGAAGATGAAAATTCTGAAGGTAGATATTGGTAGTGGTTGCAGAATAACATGCATTACTTATTGTTACTTAATGCCACAGAAACCTATGCTTCAAAATAGTTAAAACAGTACATTTTATGTCTATTTTATGACAACTTTTTTAAAGGGAGGCAAATCATACAATGGGGGTGAAAGCAGTTAGGCCCTTGTACTAAGTTTTGGAACAATGTAACTCAATGTTCTCACACCCTTTAGAGAGGAGCTCAGAGACATGAAGTAACCTATCGTCCGGAACTACATTTTCTTTGCATCCAGTGGGCTCCTCTCCTGAAAGTCCATGTGTTCACAGTTTGACAAAGTTTAACTGAGAAATGGCCACTAGGTTTTGGGGGAAAAGCATTTCTTTCCAGGGCATCAGGACCAGGAAGGAGTGGGCCAGGTCTGCTTGTCACAGCCGACTCAAGCTACATCCTCTGACAGGAGAGTTCCCACCACCCACCTGCTGGGCCTCACCTTCCATTTTTTGATGTTGGTGACATGGAGAGCCTTCGAGCCATCATAGGTACTGATGGCGTCCCAAAGGATGGAATGATCCTCTTCAGAAGGGGCCATCAGATGGAAATTATCCAGGAGCTCCTCCTCAGTTATCTCCGTGCTCTCTGGGCTTTCAGGGCTCCCTGCCTCTGGAAAGGAAACATTGCAGACCCCATGAGCCCTCCCAAAGCATCTGCCCCTTTCGGGCCCCCAGGAGATCACTTCCTTCCCTCAAAACCAGGCTGGGCCATGAGGATGGCCACATTCCCTAACCTGATTTTCACTGACTCTCACTGTAAAGGACCTTGTAATGGTTTCCAGGAAGAGTTATGTCCCAACAGCATGCCAGCTCTGTTCCTGACAATAGTAAGTTTCAGGGCCTGGCAAGGGTGCCCCACGTTTCTGCTTTTAAAGCAGCAGGGGAGCAGAGCAACAAATGCATTTGCTGAGGTTGAGAACAACCCTAAAGAAGCCAGGATTAGAGTTCAGTTCCTAACCGCATTAGTAGGGAGCCTCGAAACCTCAGCTTCTCCATCCTTAAAATGGGGATTTTACTAATATCCCTGAATGGATGGTACAGTTCATCTAGAAGTGGAGTCTAGAATGCAGCTCTCCTGACCCAAACTACTACCCTCTTCTATTTTGGGGCCCCTGCCTTCCCACGTCCTAATGGACTTCTCTGCAACACCCCCTCCACCCCCATGGCAAGAGGATCTTGCAGATAGAGTCCAAAGGTACATGAACAGAATCAGCACACTGGCCTATAAGGGACCCCCTGTGGAAATCCATCTCCTTGAGGATCAGTGAGACGACTCCCTTTCATTTCCTCTGAAGGGCAGAGAATCCGCAGGAAATCCCTGTTCCCTCCTTGGAAGGGTCACTGACTCTCACACACTCACTCTAACACCCTATCAGGGTATGGAAGTCCTAATTCCTCCAAGAATGGCACAGGACAGGACGTGCAAGCAGTCCAGATGAGGAGATAGGGGCTGGAGTAGAGAAAGAGGCATTTCCTCCACTTCCCGCTACAAACAAATGCCTGCTTAAATCCAGGAAAGAACCTGATTGTCATGTTCTTAGGGGGCAACATACACATCAAACATTGTTTTTCTATGGCAATGAATGGAAGTGAAGCTTTTAGCCTCAACTCTCACATTATGTTCTGTAAACATCTGGGAAGCACATACTGTATCCAGGACGTATATTACAAAGGACATTCCAAACACCTCCTGGGGAGGCCAGCAGGAGGGATTCCCTTCTTAGGCCTTCCCGGATGCTCCAGCCACTGGGGCTGCCCACGTGCTGGCAAGGAGACTGGTGGGGGACCCAGGGTGGCATCCCAACTGCGGAGGCAGCCCCACCGCCTCCCTCTACTCTTGCTGTCTGGGTCTCTAAAGATCTCTGGGCTACGAGGGCCAAGTGGGAGCTTCCTCCTTGAGTCTCCACTAAGCTATGTGTGCCCTGGAACATCTTCCTTCTTCTCCCAGAGCACGTCCTGCCAAGACCGTGCAATGAGCGGGCTCCACTGGGTGACCCAAGCTCCTTCCCCAACTACGTGCTCTGGTTTCAAGCTCTAGTTGTGGACAAGCCCCTGCCCGGCTGCAGCCCCACCCAGTAGTTAGGGGAGTGGGGGCGGGAGGTGCCGGGCGGGGGCGGGCGGCAGGAGGTGCTGGAGCAGGGGCGGGACTGTGGTACCTGCAGCATGGGGAGCGGAGGCGTCAGACTCCTGCACGCAGGCGCCTTGGCCGCGGGTGAGGGCGTGCAGAGGTTGCTGCTCCCCCGGCAGCGCGCGGCAACTGAGTCCCCGGGCGCAGCGTGCAGTCGCCACGCCGCACGCGGCGCCCAGAGGCAGGGCGCACATCGGGCAACAGCCGCAGCCGGCGGACCGGGTGACCTCCGAGCACGAGGCGGACACCGGCGGGCAGAGCGCGAGCTTCTCGGCGGAGCAGGGCGCGCACTGCCACGGAGCGCCGGCTGTCACGCCGACCTGGACAGTCAGCAGGAGCAGTACCAGCCAGACGCGAGCAACGGGGACCTCTGACATCTCCAGGCGCGAGCAGCAGACAGGGGCCGATGCTCTCTGGGCTGGTGGCGGCGGGCGGTGGCCCAAACTCTGGGCAAGTGATGGTGGAGCGGTGGCCAGTGCTCTCTGGGAGGGTGGCGGCGGCGCGGCGGCAGATGCTCGCTGGATGGGATGGCGGTGGCCGATGCTCGCTGGACACAGCGCGCACCTTATAAAGGGCACAGGCCGCGCCACTTGCACCAGGAGGTTAATGATTGGCAGCGCCGCACGCTAGGAGCTGAGTGTTCAAAATAAGTTTGTTTTGCTAGTGCACCCAAGGCCCTACGCAAACCGCTGGTGGGAGGAGGGTAAACGGTTTTGATTTCATACTGTTTGTCCCGTTGTTAGGGGGTTCAGGCCCTCAGTTAAAGTCCAGTTCTAACAAGTGCTCAGCTGGGAGGGGGATGACGTTTGTTTTTGTCAAAAAGACAGCCCAGGTCCAGCTGGCCAGGCTCTTTAATTGACACAGAAAAAAGCCCTAGAGATCTCCTGCAAAGCGTCTCCTGCAAAAATTTAAAAATCCTGGGTAACACCAGCCCACCCAGCAGTTCTCAAACGCAGAAAACAATGCCCCAGGTGAGGAAAGGCGAGATGGGGTTAGAATCCAGGTCTCTGCGAGCCCTAGCAGGTTATCTGTGGAAAAGCCCGGAATTGCTTCTCTTTCTGCAGGAAAAAGGCTCCAACCTGCAACAAAACAAAACAAAAACACAGTTCATCCTAGGGCTCTGCCAAGCTCCCCAATCTCACTCTACCTCCAAGAGCCTTTCTCCTCTCTGGAGGGGCAGTTAAGAAGGTCTAACAAGGTCTTGTTAGCAGTGGAGCCAGAATCCCAGGGCACCCATGACTTTCCCGCATAGGCCAGATATTTATCAGTAGCAAATGCAAAGGTTTTCTCTTTAGTTAAAATTCTCATTTCTCGGATATTCTCTTTCACAGGAAAGAAGTCGAAAGAAAAAAATCCTTCAAAGAAAGTCAGAATCAGGCTTATCTCCAGGAGTTGCAGGCTCTCCCCATCACTCCCTCCATGGCCTTCCAGTGGAGAGCTGTGATCAGGGAGCGTGCCATGCTCCAGGCCTGCCCCTTGGTCTCTCCTGTGACCCCCAAACCCCACATTTTCCCACCCACCTGCCACCATCTTTGCCTCCCATTCTAGGCACAGGCTCAGGGCTACCCTACCTCCAGGCCTGGGCCTCCTGTTGTCCCTTCAGATCCTTTAGGAGTGGTGTTGCCAAACTGGGAAACTGGAGATGGCTTGTCCAGCCCCTTGCTTTATAGAGGAGAACACTGAGGCCAGAGAAGGAAGGCTATTGCCAGGTCAAAGTCACAGAGGCTATAACGGTGGATCCTGAACAAGAATTCACATTTCTGATGCCCATACAGTCCTGTTTACTGTAAGCAAGCCCTAAGTAAATGCCTTTCTCTGTAATCTGGCTAAAACACTCTAAAACAGTAGAGCATTGCTGAATCACCTCAAGTGACAGTCATTCTTACATTCAAGGAAATGATCCCTGCTGCTCCCTTCAGGGAAGGTGTAAGGGCAGGTGAAAATAATAACTACCCTGAAATTCTGAAGCTGGAGGTAGAATGGTCTGTGCTAACAATGCCACCCTCAGCTGTTTATCCTACAGATGATGAGACAGACGTGAGAGATCATTTTAAACTTATGTGAAAAAATACGCGAACCAATCCCTATCTGGAAGCCATACTGCAAGTAACCTAAATGCCCATCTCTAGGTGCTGGATACATAAATCCTGGGGCATCCTTCCACTGGAAGATAGACAGCTATCAACAAGAAAGAGCAACTCTGATTTTCTTATAGAGAAAAATCTCTAAAAGTAAAGTGATTCAACTGAAGTAAAATCTCCTAGCTAAGTACAAATGAGAAAGTACAGAGTGTGGTACTGTTTGTGTACAATAAAAGCAAGATGAATGTATGCAACTGATTCTACATTTATTGAATGTTTTGGGAGGAATACATAAATTGATAGCAATGCCTTCTTGTGGGTGGTGGTGAAAAATGTGACTGAGGGACAGACCGGTTTTCCTTGCATACCCTTTCTTAACCTTCTGAATTTGTAGATGTATTTACACTGTCTGTTACATTATCAATCTAAAGAATAACCAAGGGGCCAGGCTCAGTGGCTCATGCCTGTAATCCCAACACTTTGGGAGGCCAAGGTGGGCGGATCACCAGAGATCAGGAATTCGAGACCAGACTGACCAACATGGCAAAACCCCATCTCTACTAAAAATACAAAAATTATCCAGGCATGGTGTCAGTCACCTGCAATCCCAGCTACTCAGGAGGCTGAGGCAGGAGAATCGCTTGAACCCAGGAGGCAGAGGTTGCAGTGAGCCAAGATCATGCCATTGCACTCCAGCCTGGGAGACAAGAGCGAGACTCTGACTCAAAAAATAAAAATAAAAAAATAACCAAGTTGAAATTAACTGACGACCTCCTTTTCTCACCACTTTCCTGTTTCTGTGGCCTTCGGGAAGTGACTTGGATTTGCCAAGCTGGCTTTTGTTCTACCTCTAAAGTCTCCAAAGAGTAATGGCCCCAGCGTCTCCTGCAAAAATCAAAATAAGGCAGTGAGGTCACTGCAGTTGGAAGTTTATGATTGTTTGTCATTATTTCTTTACAGAGCAGAGTTTGGTGTTTGGTAAAGGAACTGACCAACGGTTTTGAATTTTTTGACATTATTTTTAGGGTAGATGCCTAAGCAATTTGATTTCCAGAAGAAGAATGTGTGCTCTGTATTTTCTCTCTGACTTCCTCAGCTTGCAATCAGTGCCCACAGCTGAAATGTTTTCTTAATGAAACACATGAAAGAGGCAATTCTTTGGTAAATATCTAGAGGCCACCTGCTGTGTGCCAGGCAGTGTACTCCGCCCTGGATAGTTGTGCACTTGCTCAGCATTCGTCCCACCCATCCTCCCTGAGGTCTCACTTGTCCTGCATGTAGTGAAAATTCCTCCCCTCAAGGATCGATTTCCCAAATGTTTTCCTTGCTTGCTTCATAGCAACAGCAAACCAAACAGCCCCCAAATCAAGAGAGAGCTCTCCTCCTACTCCTGACCCTCTGTCAACACAGATGGAGCCAAGCCCCTCCCTACAGGCCTGTGTAGGCCGACTGTCCATCCGTCCATCCTGTGTGGGAGTGAGCGGCCCTGCCCTGGCAGGTTGGAGTTACAGCCGATGATGTGACTGCTCACACAGCCATTTCTGGGAACATTCATGAATCCCCAAGCCCCACTGCCCCCTGGCAGGGGTCACAGCCTGGCCTGCCTTTGGTGGTCCCAGTGCTCTGACTCACAGCTGACTGGGGAGGCTGGGGAAGTGCCCAGGGGAGACATGAAAGGAGGTGCATCTCTCAGCTCTGGGAAGTGCAGGGTGGGCCCTGGGAGAGAGGTCTCCGGACCTGCTGCACCTCAGCCTCAGTTGGCCTGACCCTAACCCCATGACTCTGGTCTTGCTGTTCTCAGTGCCTGAACTTCCATCACCCTATCATGCTTATCAAGTCCATGGTCTCTTCCATCCATCCCGGAAACTCTTTCTTGCAGGACTCTATCCTGATATCCCCCACCTCCTGCGGCTGCCCCCTCAGAATGAATTGCTCTTCCTTCCAGCTTCTCCATCTCAAGCTCCCAAGCTTCTGTCTGCATTCTTTCCCTCACCCAACAGTGACCGCAGTGGAGTGGAAGGGAGGTACCCTTCCAATGTAGGGCAGGTACTGAGCTAGGTGTGGGGGAAAGGAGTGATGGGATGCCCTACACTGAGCCACAGTCTTGCCCCCATCTAGCAGGAGGATGGTCTGTCAAGGGCGGGCTACTTACAACCTGACCCTTAGGATAAGTGAGGTGGGAAGAGACAGCAGGTCTATTTGTGTCTGGGTACGTCTCCATAAGCTGCTGGCCATGGCTGGTCTTGGAGGGTAAGTGGCCTTCCCCCAAGCAGCAAAGGGATGGGGTGTGCAATGTGGGAGAATAGAGATGATGGTGGGATGACAGCAGACAGCTGGGAAGAGTGCAGTGTGTTCAGGGAAGAGCCAGTAGTTCTTCCTGCTGGGAGCTGGAATAACAGGCAGGGAGTGGCAGGGGAGCAGGCAGGGGACCAGGCACAAAGAGGCCTGGAGGCTGTGCAAAGGGGTTTAGACTCCTCATTAGGGCAGCAGGCCACCACCACAGGGGTATAAGCAGGCTAAGAGAGTGGATATCCTTAGAAAGGAGGTTCTGAGTCAGGCAAAGTGGCTCACGCCTGTAATTCCAACACTGAGAGGCTGACGTGGGAGAATCGTTTGAGGCCAAGGATTTGAGACCAGCCTGGGTAACAAAGCATGACCCTGTCTCTGTGAAAATAAAAATAATTAGCCAGGCATGGTGGTGTATGACTGTAGTCTAGCTATTCAGGAGGCTGAGGTGAGAGGGTCACTTAAGCCCAGGAGTTTGAGGCTACAGTGAGTTATGATCACACCACTGTACTCCAGCCTCGGTGGCAGAGTGAGACCCTGTCTCAAGAGAAAGAGAGAGAGGAGAGAAAGAAAGGGAGAAAGAATGGAGGAAAGGGAGGAAGGAGAGAGATGGAGAGAAGGAAGGAAGGAAGGAAGAAAGAGAGAGAAAGAAAAAGAAAGAAAGAAAAAGAAAGAAAAGAAAAGAAAGAAAGAAAAAGAAAGAAAGATCGGTTCTGGAAGATCACCAGGGAGGGAGCCGGCGCCTGGGGACCCCTCATTCCTGCACCCCTTCTGAGCACCAACCAGACACCCAGAAGCTGAGGATCAGCCATGAAGGAGGCAGAGCCCCACCCTCAAAGATGTAGAGGGGGAAAAATAGTAAACAAATACTTTAACAAATGCACTGCAGCTTGTGATTAATGCATGAAAGAAAGAAAAGAACATCAGGAAGGGGAGTATGGAATGATGCTTCAGATGGGATGGCCCACATAGTGACCAAAACTGGTGAGAGGAAGAGTTAGAGACAGATAAGAAAAGTCAGAGAGCCATAGACGAGGTCCATGCCGTAGCTCAAGGCCCCTCGGACTCCCTGGAGCCAACTGCACAACTGTGTGCTTCCGTGTGGTCTTTGGGAGTCGTCATCGACTCTAATGGGCCTTTGACCACCCAAAGGTTGAGGACCATTCTGGCCTCAGTTATATCTTCATGGCACTGTTCCTTCCTCCTATGACCCCTTCTCCATCCCTGGGGACCCACCATAAATGTCCTCACCTCTGCACAGCCTGATTTCAGTGCCCCCCTGTGCAATCCTGATGCTTGATCTCACATTGGGTTATACTCATGCTGAAGAGCTAAAATAAATGCCTATCTACGTACTTCTGTGTGTGTGTGTGTGTTGGGGTGTGTGTGTGTCTCACCTGGTTTAGTGAACAGGGGACAAGCACATAGATGTCCTTCTGTCCAGCACCACACAGGCACCAATAGGTGCCCCATGCCCATTTGATAAAGAACTATGAATCCAATTTCACAGGACACCTGGAATCAGAGCACCAAGAGCAGGGAGGGGTGGGGGAGCTAGTGTTTCATAAACGTTTACTATACTGGGCATACCTCATGCCAAGCCACACATGCCAAAGTTGCCAGTAGGTCTCATCACCACCAGCTGGAGATGAAGCCCCTTCTTCACCCGAATCAAAGCCTTTACCCTTCCTGCCATACCATACAGGCATTTTATGTAGGCTAGGGCCAAAAATGTCTGTATGTGCAGGGGCAACTGGGAGCATATTTTGGGAGGCAGGGATGAACAGTTGTTTGGGGTAAGTGTGGAAAGCTTTCAGTGCTAGACATGGAATTTGTATTCAATCAACTGAGCAAAAAAGGGTATTAAACCGGGGACCAGGAGACCTCCTGCCGCATTGCAAATTCTCTGTGCTGCAAAGAAAAGGAAACCACTATCAGTGATTCAGAAAAGGTGAGGGACACATAATCATAGCAGTCCCATTGTGTCACTCCAGGGGGTGCCTATGAATAGGGCCACACACGGCCTCTGCCAGCAATTTGATGGCACTTCAGAACACATCTGTCTTTTTCTTGTGGGAACCGCAAGAACAAATGTTGACCGTTGCACTCAACAACTCAACTCTGACAATTGTGTTAGCCCTTGAAGGGGAGGTCATGAAAGCTGGGAAGTATCAACAGCAGAACAGCTCTGGAGCAAGACCGTTTGTTTTTGTGCCTTAGATTTCTATGTCCTAGCATGTTGCATAAAGCCCCTGGCCTCAGTTTTTTCACCTGTAAGATGGGGATGATGGATTGCCTGGTACAAGAAAGCACTGCATGAACAGGAGCTATTGTCATCCTGAGCAGCACGGTGGCTCGTTCCTGCCAACGGCAGAGGCTGGGACCTCTGGGGTGGTGCAGTCACACGGGTGCTTCCATCATCTGCTCTTCCCAATCCTGCCTTCGTGCAGTGTGCTGCTTACTCACCAGCAGCTGAAAATTGGGCAATCCATGCTCTGAAAAACAATACAAGAGTCAAGGGCAAAGTCAAACTTTCAAAGGGAAGAAATGCTGCAATCCAGGGACACCTCAGAAAGGAAGTTGTTTTTAACACGGGGAAAAAAAACAAAGTGATGTTTTGCTTATGTTCCATGATCAACACAGGGGATGATGTAAATCTGTGCAAAGGCCCGACGTGCTGCCCTTATCTCCCAAGCTGATGAAGGACACTGCTTGGCAAACTGATGGGAAAGTTTGAAAAAATAGCTCTCGCCCACACTCCCCACTAATCAAAGTGGAAAAGTCACCTAGCTCTTGTCACGTCAACAAAACCCAGTTTCTAAACACAGGAGGAGCACAGATGTGTCCAGGCCAAAGCCCAAGGGACCCTGTCAGAAGACCAGGGTCTGAATCTCAGTGTTGGCGATGGAAGCGAGGCCATCCCGAAGCATTTGCATTCAGGGTGCAGTGGGTTGGGTGAAAGAGGGCAGGTATCAAGTGCCAAACATAGGGCAGGTGCTCTTCGTCTTCATTCTGTTATGCTCTCCCCGCATCAAGGCTGCTCAGGTGACAGACCCCTCCTAATTTCTCACCTCTGGTAAAGGGGGGTGGGTTAGACCACGGTCACTCACTAATTGGCATTTCTACCTAGATGAGTAGAAAGGCCCATCCCCAGGCCCTACACCAACCCCAGACTCCGGCCTCTGGGGGCGCATCCCACACTCTGTTACTAGGCAAGCCGCCTAGGAGAATCTGTTGCATGCTCAAGTCTGAGGCCATGGGTTCACAAAGCACTTCTGGGCCCGCACTTGCACAAAACCACTCCATAAGAAGTGAGAGATTAGGGTAATGGACACATTTGAGGGAAGAAACAAAGAGGCAGAGCTATCATTGCTGCAGCTGGGTGGTGAGAGGGCCTGGGTGGTGGAGGGAAATGAGGACGAGCCACCAGGACACCAGAGCTCCCTGTTGCTCACTCCCAGGAGACACATGCATCTCATTCCCCCAAGAATCTTCGCCACCCATATAAAAACTAAGATGATTTGGTAGAAGATGACACTTACCCGGACCATGCATGGGCTTCAGGAAAGTCACGACTGTACTACGTTAGATGTGGTGTTGTTTGATTAACCCTGAATTCACTAGATGGTGGGAAGTGTCCATCACTTTGGTGAGGTGAAAATTCCCATACCAGTTTGGCCCCGTGAACTCATGCCATGACCCCCATGGGGATTCTGTCAGCAAGAAACCTCAATGTGCTTGTGAGGCCATCAGTCCAACACAAACACCAGGGCTGCCACTCACCCAGCCCATAATAGGTCACCCCACAGGGGCAGCAGGACCTCTCCCACCCCAGGATGGAGCTGTCAAATTACTGTCCTCAGGTCCCCAGGCCCTTGCTGCACTCGCTACACACACTGAGTTGGAGCAAAGCCTGCCAATTACAACACGGCGGCAAGCACTAAGGACAGGTGACCCTGGCTCTGCAGGACTTTGCGACATGGCCAGGCAGCAATGACCCTGAGGTAAAAAGAGTGGGAGTCTCATTCCCCAAGTCACAGTGTGCCCATCACGTGGGGTACCATCACCTGCATATAACGTGCCCATCACATGGGGTGCTGTCACCTGCATACAGTGTGCCCATCACCTGGGGTGCCATCACCAGCATACAGTGTGCCCATCACCTGGCAGGCCATCACCTGCATACAGTGTGCCCATCACCTGGGGTGCCATCACCCGCATATGGTGTGCATATCACACAGGGTGCCATCACTGGAGTTACCGTATGAGGATCATGTGTTTATGAAAACCACAGCATGTTACTTTTGGGGGACTTGGACTGTGGTTTGTTTCCAACTTTTCTTCATTACAAATAATGCTGCAATCATTTTAATCTTTCCTTTCCTTTCCTAATGATATTTTCTCAGGATAAAATTCCAAGTTTAAAATAATAAAATAATAAAAAATAACTCCTCTTCATCTCAATTTAAACAGCCAACAACAATGTATGAGAGTATAAGTTTCACTTCAATATCAGCAGTATTATATGTTGACGTTATCATGTTTGCAGATTCAGTAACTTTATTTTTTTGTGTGTGAAGACAGAGTCTCACTCTGTCACCCGGGCTGGAGTGCAGTGGTGCAATCTCAACTCACTGCAAACTCCATCCCCCAGATTCAAGTGATTCTCCTGCCTCAGCCTCCCGAGTAGCTGGGATTACAGGCACCCACCACCATGCCTGGCTAATTTTTGTATTTTTAATAGAGATGGGGTTTCACCATGTTGGCCAGGCTGGTCTCAAACTCCTGACCTCAAGTGATCTGCCTACCTCAGCCTCCCAAAATGTTGGACTTACAGGCATGAGCCACTGTGCCCAGCCAGATACAGTAATTTTAAAGCAATACTGTGTTAGGTTATTTTGCACTTAGTTGATTATTAATGAAGTTTATAGTTGATATGGTTTGGCTCTGTGTCCCCACCCAAATCTCATGTCAAATTATAATTCCCACTGTTGGAGGAGGGGCCTGGTGCGATGTGATTGGATCATGAGGGCAGTTCCTAATTGTTTAACACCATCCCCCTAATGCTGCTTGTTTGAAAGTGTATAGCACCTCCTCCCCATCACTCTGCCACGTGAAGATGGTGCTTGCTTCTCCTTTGCCTTCTGCCATGATTGTAAGTTTCCTGAGGTCTTGCCAGAAGCAGAAGCCTGTTCAACCCACAGAACCATGAAGAGATTAAACCTCTTTTCTTTATAAATTACCCAGTTTCAGGTATTTCTTTATAGCAGCATGAGAATGAACTAATGCAGAAAATTGGTGCCAGGAGTGAGGCATTGCTATAAATATACCTTAAAATGTGGAAGCTACTTTGGAACTGGGTAAGGGGCAGAGATTGGAACAGTTTGGAGGGCTCAGAAGAAAACAGAAGATGAGGGAAAGTTGAGAACTTCCTAAAGACTTTTCAGATAGTTGTGACCAAAATGCTAATACTGATATGGACAATTAAGTCCAGGCTCAGGAGTTCTCAGATGGAGATGAGGAACTTATTTGGAATTGGAGTAAAGGTCAATCTTGCTATGCTTTAGCAGAGACTAGCAACATTTTGCCCCTGCTCGAGGGATCTGTTAAACTTTGAACTTGAGAGAGATGATTTAAGGTATCTGCTGGAAGAAATTTCTAAGCAGCAAAGCATTCAAGACATGACCTGGCTGCTTCTAATAGCATCAGCTCATATGCATGTGCAAAGAGATTATCTGAAGCTGGAAATTATTTTTAAAAGAGAAGCAGAGTGAAAAAGTTTGGAAAATTTGCAGCCTAGCCATGTAGTAGAAAATAAAAACCCATTGTCTAGGGAGGAATTCAAAGCTGCAGAAATTTGCATAAGTAAAGGTGAATCAAACGTTAATAGCCAAGACAATGGGAAAAATGCCTCCAGGGCATTTCAGAGACCTAGGGGGGCAGCCACTCCCAACACAGGCCCAGAGGCCCAGGAGGGGCAAATGGCTTTGTGGGCCAGGCTGAGGGCCCTGCTGCTCTATACAGCCTTGGGACATGGTGCCCTGTATTACAGCTGCTCCAGCTCCAGCCATGGTGAAAAGTGGCCAAGGTACTGCTCAGGCCATTGCTTCAGAGGGTGTAAGCCCCAAGTTTTGATGGCTTCCACGTGGTGTTGGGCCTGTGTGTGCACAGAGGCAAGAGTTGAGGCTTAGGAGCCTCTGCCTAGATTTCAGAGGATGTATGGAAATGTCTGGATGTCCAGGCAGAAGTCTGCTACAAGGGCAGAGCCTTCATGGAGAACATTTATTAGGGCAGTGTGGAAGTGAAATGTGGGGCTGAAGACCCCACACAGAGGGCCCACTGGAGCACTGCCCAGTAGAGCTGTGCGAAGAGGGTCACCATTCTCCAGACTCCAGAATGATAGATCCACTGACAGTTTGCACTGTGCACCTGGAAAAGCTGCAGGCACTCAATGCCAGCCTCTGAAAGAAGCTGATGGGGCTGAACCCTGCAGTCCCACAGGGGAAGAGATGCCAAGGCCTTGGGAGAACACCCCTTGCATCACTGTGGCCTGGATGTGAAGTCAAAGGAGATTGTTTTGGAGCTTTAAGATTTAATGACTGCCCTGCTGGGTTTCAGACTTGCATGGGGCCTGAAGTCCCAATTTCTCCCTTTTGAAATGGGGGCATTTTCCAATGCCTGTACCCCCATTGTATCTTGGAAGTAATTAACTTATTTTGGTTTTACAGGCCCAAGGTGAAAGGGACTTTCTTTGTCTCAGATGAGATTTTGGACCTGGACTTTTGAGTTAATGCTGTAATGAGTTAAGACTCTGGGGGACTATTGAGAAGAAATGATTGTATTTTGCAATGTGAGAAGGGCATGAGATTTCACAGGGGCCAGGAGCAGAATGACACGGTTTGGCTCTGTGTCCCCACCCAAATCTCCTGTTGAATTGTAATTCCCAATGCTGAAGGAGGGTCCTGATGGGAGGTGATTGGATCATGGGAGTGGTTTCTAATGGTTTAGCACCATCCCCTACTACTGCTTGTTTGAAAGTGTATAGCACCTCCTCTTCCTCTCTCTCTCCTGCTCCACCATGTGAAGGTAGTGCTTGCTTCCCCTTTGCCTTCTGCTGTGATTGTAAGTTTCCTGAGATGACCTCAGAAGCAGAATCCTGTACAGCTTTCAGAAACGTGAGCTGATGAAACCTCTTTTCTTAAAAATTACCCAGTTTCAGGTATTTCTTTATAACAGTGTGAGAACAGACTAACACAATAGTTTTCCCTGCCTTGTGGTGCTTTACAAAGAGTACTGACCACTTATTTACATCCTGGGGTCAAAAGAAACCTAGAGCACACTGGTTGTGTAGAAAACAACATGTTATCTGTTGTGGTGGAGTTTCCACAAAAATATATTCAATGGAAATGGAAATGGGGGCAGAGAAGGGAAATGCAGGTGGAAAATCATGACTGTAACAATGTGGGTAGAAGATGTAGAGAGAGAAGGTGCTAAAAGTTGTTGAGTTTACCACATGCCACACACTGTCTTGAGGATTTTCTACACCTTATCACAAGACCCAGTGAGGGGCTCTCATCGTCCAGGGCTATGTGTCCCCTCCAAGGCCCATGTCAGCAAGATGACAAGAGCTGGGCTCTGAACCTCATCCTGCCACCACTTCCACAAGCACTGTATGTAACCCTAATGGGGTTTCAACATGGCTGACTAGCAGCCATACCCAAACTGGCAGCTTGGACTTCGATCGCATCTGAATTCAGAGCCTGTGTGTCCTGCGCAGTGAGAGGTTTGGGATTCTGTGCTGCAGAGCTTTCCTGGGACCCAGTGAAAAGAATGTGTCAGGCTCTAGGCTTGGACCCAGGAGCTTGCAGGCACATGCATGGCTTCTCCCCTGGCTGCTGCCCAGTGATGGCCATGACAGCACCTGACGGCTGCCACCCAGTGCCAGGCTAACACCACTGTGTGGAAACACACTTTGATTTCCCAATTATATTATTCACAGACACAAACAAAATATCCTTACACTGCCCAAACCAGTGTACCTATGTGCCAGGAGGTCACAGAGACCTGAGATTCAGGAGGTTGGGGCAACCCTTAAGTCAAGAGGTCAGGGCAACCCTAGAGTGAGGAGGCAACTCTGGGGACCTGGAAGTCAGAAAGCCCTGGGGGTGGCCTGGCCAGCTTTGTGCTGTATTTTGGGACATGAGATGGGGTCCAGGCTAGGTCCTTGGCAGCTCTGTGATCTTGGGCAAGTAGCCTGATAGCTCTGTGCCTCAGTTTTCCCATTGGCAAATGGAATAGCACCTGCCACATCAGATTTTTCTGTATCAGTCCTTGTGATAGAAAATAATTACACTATAGGAGGTCAGGGTTCCTCACCAGGTAAGAGGGTTGTCATGGTAGTCATTTGAGTTACTGTTTTCTTCCTTGTGCTCAAGAGGGCCCTCTGGGAAAGTCATTGTGGTTTCTTCGTCCTCTACAAGATTCAACATGGCCTCACCCTGATGGCTCTCTGATGCTGTCTGCCCCTCTCTCCTGCCCTCTGACCCCTTCTAACCAGGACACACTCTGCTGTCCTCTTGACTCCCCAGCATACTCTCCCAGTTTTAAGGTCTGACCCTTAATTCCATCAGCAAAGTCTCTTTTCCCATGTGACAGAACAGATTCACAGGTTCAGGGGAATAGGGCGTGGTCATCTCTGCAGGCCACTATTCTGGGGCCAAGTGGTACTTCTGACAAATACTTGTCATGTGCATCTGTTTCATCCTTGCCTGGAACTGTTAAGGTCTTATGACAGGGAACTTAGACTTTTGTGCTTTCAAAAGTAATTCAAGACTCCAGTCTAAGAACAAACCACTCTGTCCTCAGTCACGCCCAGGTGGCACATAGTGCAGGGAAGAGAGACCTGAGCAGGAACTGGGAACCGGGACCAAGCAGCCCCCGCTGCTTCACTCCAGTATTCTGCACAAGCCTCTCCCTTCTGCTGCCCTCAGTTTCCCCATCTGGAAAATGAATTGACGGTGCTAAGGGAGCTTTACCTTCAAACACTCTTATTCATTAGGTGTTGTTTTTAGAAAAAATGCGAAACAATTAAGTGATGTTAAAGTTTATCCACCATCCTGCCATCTGGATGTCACAAACGCTACCATTTCTGTGTGTCTCTTTTTGGATATGTGTGTACATATGTGCCTGTGTTAATTTTGTTCTTTTTTTTTTTTTTTTTTTTGACTGAAGCCTCCTCCTCCCGGGTTCAAGCAATTCTCGTATCTCCGCCTCCCAAGTAGCTGGGACTACAAGTGCACACCACCATGCCTGGCTAATTTTTGTATTTTCAGTAGAGATGGGGTTTCACCATTTTAGACAGGCTGGTCTTGAACTCCTGACCTTAGGTGATCCACTTGTCTCAGCCTCCCAAAGTGCTGGGATTACAGGCGTGAGCCACTGTTCCCAACCCTGTGTCATTTTTAAAATGAGATCACACTATACTGTCTATTCTATAGCTTTTTTCTCCTTTAATATATCACAAACATCTTCTCTGTAGTGTGTGTATGCACACATGTGTACATCCATGCACATACACATGTTCATACTCACATACTGGCTGCAAAGTATTCCTTCCCTCAGACTCATTCTAATTTATTTCATCAGTGTCCTTTTCCTGGCTTTGCACACTGCATCTACTTGGGCTTTTAAAGATAACACTCCATGGCTACCAGTAACAGGAAATAAGGAATGACTCAGTTTGATTATCTCCTGACATACTCATACAAGTGGAATTGCTGGTTCAAGGCCATCCATACTTTTAAGTGTATCATACATTCACACCAACTTGCACTCCAGAAAGGCTGTACCCCTAGAGCCCCACCCCCAGGGTAGAAGAATTTCGAGCCACTCTCAGCACTTGAACCTGGAGCCAGTCACCCGGCTGTGTTGCTCTGCGCCAACCAGGGCAAGTTGGGATGGCTCTCTGACAAACCCTTTCTAGTGCTCTCTGAAGCCTCAGGAAGAACCCAGGATTCAGGGATCTCAACCTCTCTTGCCACTGAGTGTTCTGAAAGCGGACAGTCAGAGGGTGAGGGTGAGCATTCACCGCAGGCCTCAGCTCTGCGTGCTGTACACAGGCCTGGGTGCTGAGAGCCGCTTAGCTCTGCAGCCGTGCCTCCTCATTTAGGTTCCTATGTGCAGATGTTTCAGAGCTGGGAAAGCCCTCACATAGCACTTCATTTTACAGAGAAAGGAGAGAGCCAGTGACAGCATTCATTCACCAAAATCACATGGCAACTTAGTGGCAAAGTTCAGAAAAACAATACAGAGTAGCAAGGGATAAAAAGCACTTATTTTGGAGTCAGACAGTCCTGGGTTCTTGTCTTGGTTCTGCTAAATACCACTAGGTAAACTCCAGCAATTTGCCCCACAACTATGGGCTGTCTTTCCCTTATTAAAACAGGCTTACTGGCCGTGCATGGTGGCTCACACCTGTAATCCTGGCACTTTGGGAGGCCAGGCGGGCAGATCACGCAGAGTTCGAGACCAGCCTGGGCAACATGGCAAAGCCTGTCTCTACAAAAAAGTACCAAAATTAGCCAGGCATGGTGGCATGCACCTGTAGTCCCAGCTACTTGGGAGGCAGAAGCAGAAGGATCCTTTGACCCCAGGAGGCAGAAGTTACAGTAAGCCAAGATCACATTGCACTCTAGCCTGGGTTACAGAGCAAGATTCTGTCTGAAAAAAAAAAAAAAAAAAAAGTAAGTAAATGAATAATAAAATAAAATAGGCACACTAAAAACTTTGCTTTGGGGTTGTTAGAAAACTGAGATTATGTCTAAGAACAAACTACCACAGATCATTCTAGTCGTTACTAGCTTCTGAATTGCTCTTTTTAGTTTCATTCCCCAAAAAAGTTAAGGCATGGTTAGAGATTACTATTAGTATAGATCAGCTTTAGTATAGATTGGTAAAGATTAATTTACCATTACTCTGTGGCACGTGTTGCCTTTCATTCGTGCAGTGGTTCCTAAGTGGACCTGCAGCAGAGCAACACCTGGGAGTCGTTAGGTGATACCAATCACGGGTCCCTGCCCAGGCCTGCCCAATCAGGAACTGGGGCTGGCCCAGCGCTCTGGGCTCTAACAAGCCCTCCAGGAGGTTCTGAGCAGCTCAAGTTTCAGAAGCACTCAATGAAGGACTGACTGGTAAGGAGTCTTCTGCAGAGAAACATACCTTGTAGTCCAGTGGTTGTGGGTCCTCTTTTCTTGACATGGAAACGTGTTTTTTTTTTTTTCCAGTTGCCTTGTGGATTGAGTTGGGGTGGTAATCTCCTTTCCCGTAGGTGGTTATGATGCACATCAAACAGTATTTGGCACAGGTGGCTTGTTGCTGGGGGGTGGGGGGGTGGGGCGCAAGTGCCCAGCCAGCCTTCACTTCCCACAGGCTCAGGTGCACACAACAGAAACCAACAAGGGGAAGACCTAGAGGGCGAGGGAAACCTGCCCCACACCTGTGCAATGGCGTGGCCGTCAGGCTAACTCTGGCTCGGGTGGGCTCCTGCATACCTACCTGGGCCTAAGTGGGGACACAGCAGGTATTTCTTGGTGCTGAGGGCCACAGGGTGGGCGCTGCAACTGCCCACTTGGAAGCCAGCCCCAGAGGCAAAGCAGGATGGAGCCTGGGGTGCAGGTAGGTGGGGAGGGGTGCAGCCTGGGAATGAGATCTAGCTGAATACAGTAAGAGGTGGCGGGTGGGTAGGAAGGAAGGGCCCTCAAGGCTGCCCGAGCAAGAGGTTGGTTGAGGACTGGCCTTAGGCCTGGCCCTGTCCTGAGCTGGCACAAAGCTGTGGCCTGGTCCTGGTGGCCTGTGGGTTGGGCAGGCCGGGCACTAACACCCTGGGGTCCTCGGGAGCCTTGCCCAGAGTCTCCTCTTGATGCCCACGACATGGCCTGCAGGAGAGATCTTCTGCCAGAGCCCTTGGGCTTCCACATCTCATCAGCCTGGGCTCTGAGGCCCCAGGTGTGTCCCAGGCCCTCCAGATTCCCCAGAGCCCACGCACAATCTCAGTGACATCAGGTGGGGTCAGACATTGTCCTGAGACACTGGGCATTGGTCCTCCTCCATCTCCTCCCCTGGCCTGTCTCATGAGGCCTTTGGAACCTCAGCATTAAGAACCACCTTAGCCACAGCCCTTAGGGAAAGCCAGGCCACCAAGGGGACCAGCAGCCCCAGGGCACAGTGACAGGACACCTCATGCTCTAGATGCAAAAGGAAATGCCATCCTGCAGAAGTAGATCACAATCCCACCTGAAGTTAAAACCTGTCCTTAGCACCCTGCGTTGCATACAGCTCTGGAGCCTACAGCTCCGCCTGCTGGATGGAGAAGTAACTCCCTCTCCCAACCCAGCAGTCCTGGGCACCCCATTCCTAGTTTCCCGTGCCTGGGCTTCTTCGTCAGAGAAGTAGGGATTCTTTTTCTATTTTTTATTTATAAATAGAAAATGCATGCCTGTGGTTTCAAAAGTGATCAAAAGTATAAGAGCATAAAATTTCAAAAGCATAAGATGCACAGTGACCACTGCTGTCCTCCAGCCCTTTCCCCACCATAAGGAAACATTGTTTTTAGCTGTTTCGAATATCCTTCTATAGAGTAACTCTCTAGAAGGGGAGTTGGTGTCCAAATAGAATACTAACTTACAAATTTGAGTGCTACCAAATTGCCTTCCATAGAAGATGTTCCAGTTTCCAAACTGCCTTCCATAGAAGGTGTTCCAGTTTCCTCCTTGTGTTGTCTAAAGTTTTCATACTTCTAAATTTTTGAAGTCCGATAGATAAAACCAAATGGGAATTTGGTTTCATTTTGATCTGCATTTTTATTACTGAGAATGAGGTTCAGCATGTGTATACTGAAGGACCAGTTTCTATGAACTGTTAAGAAACTGTGTGGATTTATCCATCAGGTTGTTGGATGTTTTTCTAAATAGGAAGATTCACTGCTTGTTTATCTTCTATAGAAATTGTGGTTCATCTTTTGTCTTTGCATTGGTGTATCTTTTTTCTTTCCTTTTTATTGTAGAAGTTTTTATAAGTTTATATGTAGTCTAGCTCTTTTATGGCCTCTATGTTGTAAGTCATAGCAAAGCCTTACATAAGTTTATAGATAATGCACTGATAGTTCCTTCTAATACTCTTATGGCTTTCTTTTCTACATGTAAGTCTTTAATCCACTTGGAGTTATCTTGGTGAACAATGTGATATAAGAACCCGACTTTGTTTCAGATTTTTAATTTTTTTGTTTTTTTTTCTGGTAATTTATGAATTTTTAAAATCTTAGATTCCTTGTCATTTATTTTAGTGTAAGCCATGAGTTACAGGGACTTGGCTTTGCTGTTATTATTTTTTTCCCAAGTGGCCAACCAGCCAGAAGAAGATGTGATGAAAGAGAACAAAAACACATTCTTCTCTAATTATTTGAGATGTACCTTCTGCCACATGACATCCTCCTATGCATGTCTGGGTCATCTGTTCTGGGCATACATTTGTAAAACATACTAAATTGTTTTCTCTGTAAGCTTTCAATATATTACAATATTTTATCAGAAAACATCAAATTATCAACATTTAAGTACTGATTTTTAGATCACTTTTATAAATAGATTAGTTAAAAGTAGTTTCTGTTAATAAAAATATACTTAATGTTACCTTGCAGTTTCTGTTTGATAAAAGTCCCAGTCTGTCTTCTCACCCCCATTTCTTAACTTTACTCTGAGATCTCAATCTCTTTTTTGAAGTTGAAGAATTTAAAGTCTTTCCAGTGCTGATTATTCTCCAAGTAACAAGATAATCTTCTATGGGATTTTGATTTTGTTGTTGTTGGTTTTTTTGTTGTTGTTGGTTTGTTCCTCCACCCGCCCGCCCCGTGATCTAGCATGGGCTTAAAAAGGTGAATCAGTCTCAGTTACTACTTTATTTCTGATTTTCTGTATTTTTTTCCTAGGAGTTCGCTCTATGAATGTTGATGCTGTATTGTCTGTTGTAATCATAACAGCTATGCATTTTGGTTTTGGGTTTTATTACACTGTACTTCCAGTTTTGGTCTTGTTTCATGTATTTTGCCATAAATTCAACCTTTTCCAATATAAATATTGATGTCCACATTTTTTCATTTGCATTTCTGTGGCATTATCTTTGCCCATAATTCTACTTTGAAGCTTTCTACAGTACTTTGTCTTAGGTATGTCTCACTGTATGCAATGTGTAGTTGGATTTTGCTTTCTAACCCAATCTCAGTGTTTTAATAGGTGAGTTTATTGTTTGCCTTTATTAACATGACAAATATATTTGGCTTCTAGTTCTTTCAGCTTACCAAAGGAGTCATATCAATGGTAAATAAATACATGAAAAGATGTTCAACTTCTTTACTCATTACAGAAATGCAAATCAAAACCACTATGCAAGTAAGATGCTGCTTGTGCAAATGAGATGCACTACTAGACTGTCAGAAAACTTTTTTAAAAATTAAAAATTGGCAGTGCCAAATGTGGGTAAGAATGTGGAGCAACTGCTGGCTGCGGTGGCTCACGCCTATAATCCTAGCACTTTGGGAGGCCGAGGCACGTGGATCACCTGAGGTCATCTGTTCGAGACCAGCCTGGACAACATGGCAAAACCCCATTTCTAATAAAAATACAAAAATTAGCTGGACATGGTGGCACATGCTTGTAATCCCAGCTACTCTGGAAGCTGGGCAGGAGAATCGCTTGAATCCAAGAGGCAGAGGTTACAGTGAGCTGAGATTGCACCACTGCACTCCAACCTGGGTGACAGAGCGAGACTCTGTCTCAAAAAAAAAAAAAAAATGTGGAGCAACTAAACTGTAAAGTAGCAGTTTTCCAGCTTGCCTGTACTATTCTTCCAACCCACCAGCAATGTACGGGATGCTGGTTGGTGGGATAGAAACATGGTGCAGGCAGGTTGGAAAGCAGCTTGGCAGTTTCTGATGCTGACTCATGCTGTGGAGTAAATCCTATCCTTCAGGTTATTTGGAGTTCACACAAATCCAGTTTTAAGGGCTTTGCTGAAGGAAACGATGTACAAAATAAACATACTCCAAGAGCAACACAGTAGAAGCTCTGTAAGTGGTCATGATCAACTCATCATCCCAAAAGGAGGAGGCACTCCCTCCCTCCTTTCCGGCCAAGACTGACGGGTTTGGGATGTGAAGCCAGACCTCCACAGAACAGTTGCTCCTGGGTAAGCCTTGGTTTCACCAACTCTAGTTCACACCTCATTGTTGCTGCTTCTGTTTCAGGCCAATAAGCCATCTGGGTTTGAATATTTCCTCTGGTGACTTGACTACAATTATACTTACCTCATAAGAATGCATAAGAAATCAATGAGAACAGATTTTAATGTTCCAGCACACTCTACTGAATAGATGGTTCCAAGAAGAACCTTCCTTAGACCACATTTTTTTTCAAACCTCTTCTGCCCTGGCCTCATTCTAAGGCCTTGGTGGGAAGTGAAACACATAGCTCTTTCTATACTATCTCATTATGCCACATTCAAATATTCTATTGTGCATGTTTTGTTCAAAAGAGTCAGTGACATGAGAAATCGTCAAGGATGTGGAAAACTATGTAACAATGTGTATTATGATTCCATTTATGCAGATACCTAAGTTTTTTCCTTTATATATGGAATGCATGTGTCATATTTGCTTACATGGAAATATGCTGGAAGGAGAGGTAACACAGTGCTAAAGGAAACTACCTAGAGGGAGAAGGACTAGAGAAAGGTTAAGACTGGACTTTCAACTGGACTTTCTAGTATAACTTGTTTGTTTCTATATTGTTTGACTTTAACAAGAGGAATTCACTTAGAAAATGAGAGCTGTGTTTAAGTGCTACAGCCCCTTCCCCTGAAAGCTGAGGGCAGGGTGGTTGAGGAAGGGTCCTCCCCAGAGTGGATGCAAAAACCATGTCAGAGTGCTGGCTTTGAAAAATACAGGGCTCATCTCCTAGGATGATGTAAGACTCTTTCCATTCTTTGTCCAGCCATCTGTGCTCTGAAGAGTGAGGGGAGTCCTGAGGCCTCACATTGGGGATGAGGTGGGAGAAGCCACAGACCAGGGACTGTGGCTTCTCCTTAAATGCAATTTTCACTATCTCTTCTATGTCAGCCAGTCCCTAAGATGGCCATCGGTGACCTTCACAATTTGGTAGTCATACCTTTGTGGGGTTCTCCCACACTGAAGAAAACTGACTGGTGCAAGCAATAGGTTTTGCAGAAATGAAGGAGTGTGACTTCTGAAGTTAGATTATACAAAGACATTGCAGCCTCCATGCTGTGCTCTTTTGGCCTACTCTCCTTGGAGAAGACTATTCTGTATCTGGAGGACACTCAACTAGCCCCTGGAGAGGCCAGGCAGAAATAAACTGAGGCCTCCCACCAATAGCTAGCACCAAATTGCAGGGCATGTGGGTAGTGAGCAACCTTGGCATAGAACCTCCATCCCCAGTCAAGCCTTCAGATGAATGAAGCCAATACCTCAATGACAGCCTCATGGGTGACCCCAAGCCAGAACTTCCCAGAGAGGCTGCTCCCAAATTCCTGACCCATAGAAATTACAATTACAGATGTCTGTTTTAAGCCACTATGTTTTGGTGTATTTGTTACCCAGTAAATAACTAATATACTTTCCCACCACTTTGAATGAATATCCCTAATCCATCTCAGGTTTAAAGCAAGTGCTCATCTATCTCTTTGTTCTAAGAGAAACTTAGCTCTCTATTACTTCACCATCATTAAAATGGTTTCTAGCTGTGCCTCCCCCAAAATTAACTACCAGATAATCCTCTCTGTGTACAAATGCATACAATAATTTAGCAAAGTGGTGACGTCCTTGAACTTATGACACAGTTATCAGCCTGGGAAGAAGCTGCAAGCCAGTCCTGAGCAGGTGGACTCCTAGGTGCAGCCCTCAGGGTTTCACCTTAGACTGGAGTGGACCTGTTTTCAGGAATGCTGATGTGCTTTTTTGAGTCTCTCCTAGGTACATTCTGCATTCTTGTGATTGCTGGCTCTGTCCAGGCAATGGACATGCACTTGCTAATTATACGGTATTGGCAGGCATGCATCAGGAAATGTTAAAATCATTCCATTTTTAACATTCTTTTCTTTTAGAAAAGTTCCAGTTTTTTCTACACCCTGAATGACAGTGGCTTCCTTAATTGATTTAGGATGTCATTGCCTGCAGCAGACATTGTAACTGGGCACTGTTACTCCTACTACCAAAAAATAAATGCCGGAAATTGTTCCATTCAAGTGGGATTAAACATAAAATGAAAAATCTGATATTGCTTTGGCAGTTACCTCCATTGGTAGTAAATCGGCCAGATGTGCGGAGATACCAGTTAGGAGCACGCATGTGTGTGTCTGAGACACCAAGAGATCATTACAAAGCAATTGGACAACTCAATCTGCTGTCAGGTCACTTTAACATGGACAGACTTCAAGGGGCACTGCAGAGGCACATACCTTATGGTGAACACAAATGTGCTTGCCGGGTATAGTTCATCAGGATCTGAGAAAAGGGTGTGAGTGCAGGAGCATGATTCACTTAAGGCATTCTTTTGGAAGAAAACATTGGCTGTGATGGAATTGTTACAGTCCATCCTGGGGCTTGGGGTTGGGATGTTACCTCCAGGGCACACAGCACCTACTGCAAGCCACCTGCCCAGTGTGCTTCACCTGTTCATAAAATACTACAATGTTTGTCAACAGTTTTGCCTTTTTATGTTGTGAGTCTACAAGTCAGGATGATTTCATTGACAATGCCTTACAGATTTTTCTTGGTGGAAAAATATGGTTACCTGAATGTTATCTATGCTTCAATCCTATTCTTGAAAAATACATCTCTGACAATGCTTACTGTTTTGACAATAATTACATCCATGAAAAGGCAAGCACAGAGGGGCGTGGTCTAGCCCTGTGCAGGGTTCCATCTCAGGGCCTGCAGTTCTGCCCCTGGGTTCTGCACACTCCCCTCTCTGGGCGACAACTTAGGTCTGCCTCATGGGGCCATCATGCTTAAATAAGAATGTGCCTGGGGTCAGAGTTTAGTGCCTGTCTCAAGGCTCCCCAGGACTTTCTAGGACTCAAAACTCTGTTTTTACTTTGCAGGATCTAGGATTGAGCTCCTCTGAGGATGAGAGCCCCTCTCTAGCAATCAGGAGCCCCACCTTGAGAAAGCCCCTGAAACACAGCACCCCTGAGGAGGCAGCCCTGGGTTGGAGCCCAAGGCCATCGGGAGGTGCCTCCTATCTCAGTGGGTCCCCAATGCCTGCACACTTCTCTCAGGACCTTGCATCCCACCCAGCAGGGGTCAGCCCTCCAGCCACTGTTAGGAAAAGGAGGCTTTCTACTCTCTGGGCCTCCAAGGAGTCCAGCTTGGATCTCTCAGCTCCTGGGGAGGAGCCGCCCACATCAGCCTCCTTAACCCAGCGGCAGCGGCAGCGGCAGCAGCAGCAGCAGCAGCAAGAGTCCCTCCGGGCAAAGAGCTGGGCACAAAACCCTGGATTGCCTGGGATCCTGAACACAACAGGGAGGAAGAGACGAGACCCGAAGAAGCGGGCAGCTGCGGTATGCATTAACCCTGTCCCTGCCCCATCCCTTTCCCCCAGGAGTTCTGGGTCCCTGTGGAAGATTAGGAGAGTGAGCACTGCTTGGGACATGGAGCACTCAACACCCTCCTTCCCCCAATTAATGCTCCCATGGCGTGGCATTGGGGGCCAACACACCCTTACTCTGCACATGAGGTCACATGGGACAGGATCAAGGCTGTCCAGCCTTTCTGACACCTGCTGCTGCCCTGTCCCAAGACAGCTCTCTGCTCTGAGGGCCCCCGTGACTGATGCTGCCTATGGTAAACATGAGCTTCCTGGCCTCATGGTCTGGCATCCAGACCCAGGCTGCCGCTGGCTGGCTGCTTTGTCATTGCTCTTTAGCTCACAGGAGTCTGGGTGATGACTCTTTCAGCTTTGGGGCTTTGCAGACATGTTGGGGTGACAGGGAAGGTCTGATATGTCATCTTGTTACAGAATAGCAGAAAACAGCCTATTCTAGTAAAAATCTGCCTGGCTGTGCTGAGTCTCTTGGCATCTTCCTATGCTTTGAAGAGGGAGCTGTTACATTCCTGGAGCACTCCTGCATTTCTAAGGACCTGGCTAGGGTGGCTCTGGTGTCTTTCCATGGACCATTGTGACAGGGATGTCCCACCTTCACCATAGCCAGGTTTGCAGGCCCTTGCCACAGCTGGAGAACCAGCAGGGCACACACTGTCTCAGACCTACTTTTTACTCTCAGAGGCCATCTTCTTCCTTTGCTAATTGGAGATGCTGTGAAGCTGAAAGGACCCAATGAGAAGAGGATTGCAAGGGCTCTGATCCCCAGGGTAGCAGCCAGTTGGGAGGTGCCCTGGCCCTCTCCTGGCAGAATTCTGCCTCCTCGCCCATTTCCTGGTTTATCCTCTGGCCTTGTTCTAGTAGCTTCCTGAGAAGGGGCACTTTTCCGGCCAGCAGTCTTGGAGCCCTTTCTCAGAACTGGAAGGCCCTGTGTGCCCCTGTCCCTGACTCCCACCTGCCCAAGCCTCTCCAGGTCCCTTTTGTGGTTCTTGGTGGTGCTGAGTTTCATTTTGGGGTGAGTAGTCTTGCTCAGCTGCAGGACACTCCCTGGGCCCATCTGACTCTGGAAGACCTTCCCCTACTTTTCCTTCCTAACCTTGGGCTCTGTGTTCTTTCTCCGTCTGTGATCCTCTGCAGTTGGATGTTGGACATCCTGATTGATTCTCTGAGTTTCTTTTCTATTTGCTATTTAGCCCTTTCTTCTACTTTTTAGGAGAGTTGCTCAGTTCTGTCTTCCGAGGTTACTGCATGATGATATTTTCTTCCTTGCCACACTCCCTCATGTTCTTTACCCTGGCTTGCTTGCTGTCTTCTCTCACCTTCTGAGGGTGCTGATTTTGCAGTGGAGTTTTCCAGCCTCTCTTCCATGCCCTGCTGTCCTGTGGCTGTGCCTGGCTGCTGCCTCCCGATTTGGAGGGGGCCATCACAGGGCTGGGTGGGAGCTGACGGAAAGCCCCGAGTTCCGAGTGGGAACTGTCCACCAAGGGTCACCCGGGGGTTAACTGCTTCTTCACTGCACCACATCTGCCACCTCTTGCTAGTCAGCATCCCCATGGGTTAATGTTCCCACCTGCGGCCAGGAGAGGTGGGACTGGCTGGGGTATTCTGGGAGCTGAAGGTGAGAAGGGACCTGAAGCTCTCACTATGGGTAGAGCTTGTGGGGAACAACCCATGTGGAACGCATGTTGTGGATGCTCCCGATGGAGCATCCCAGCGGCCCCCAGCTGAGCCTGGATCCCCACAAGGCCCCTCTGTGGGATCAGAGGCTATTGCATCTTCCTCAGTCGCTGTGACAAACTGAGTTTCTGGGAGTCCAGACAGGCAGTGCCTGCGCCACACAGCCCTCTGAGAGCCTCAGCTCTCAGCAGCCTCCCTAGAGGTCACCCTCTGTGGACGGACATAAACACTGGGCACCAGGAAGGCAGCCCCTGCCTCGGGTAGGGAGGGGCACTGGGAATTCGCTGGTCCTCCTACCAGATGATCATGGGATCTTGCAGACCCCAGCCTGGCCCTCTCTGCTGGCCAGCAGTGGTGCTTAGAGCTTTGGCCACTCTGTCTCTGCTCCAGGACGCCTCCCGGTGGCTCCTGCTGGCTCTGGCTCAGGCCTTCTGCTCTTACAGCTGGCCCTCTGGAGGCCACTCTCGTTCCTTATTCTCAGTCCTGTGGGTTTGCTTCTGTCTTACACTTTCAGGGCGTTAGGAAGACACTGACCACTGACCCATGGTGGGCCTGCCATTGTTGGCCAGCGGACCCCAGCTACACTCCACGTGATCTGACTCAGCCACCCAAAATCCCCAGGTTCCAGTCTCTACTCCATCCTGGCATCGTGTTTAGTGTCAGGAGTTTACCCATCCTCGTCTTCCCTGTGCTGAACTGGGGAGGCCTCCTTCATTCCCTGCTGCAGCTGCCCTAAACACCCTCCTAGAAGAGGGGGTTCTAGAGAGCACAGTTACAAAATCCCATCTAGACTGACCTATGCACCTGTTCCCACGCAGGCTCGTCTACTCCATGCTCGCAGCCTGTCTGCCCCTTCCCTGGAACTTTTTGTCCCTGTCCCCTCCTTTGTCAGACACAGACTTCATCTGCACCTTACCCCATTCACCTATACACTCGTCTGTCTCCACACCAAGAGTGGGCCCTCTGGGTGGCACAGTATCCCATTTGAAGTATGTTTGAAGCACACAGGCAGAATTGTATAGGGCTGGCTGGGCCAGCTGCAGACCTTGAGTGGGCATTTATTTTCTAAAGCACATTTTGCAGCAGAAGAGCTTGTCTCCAGTAAAGATGGATGCTGCTATGGGGTGATGCCTTTCCTTTAAACAGATGGAGCGAGTGCGACAGTGGGAGATCTACGTGCTTCAGAACATTGAGGAAGCCACCCAGCATGAGCTCACCATCGAAGATGACTGAGTGCTTGGTGCCAGGACAGGAAGGCAGGGTGCTCTAGAGCTGCCTGCCTTGGGCTGGCTTCATCGTCCACATGGTGCCCTCCTTGGGCTGGCCCCCAATGCTGTTGCCCTTCTCCATGGGGTGGGAAAAACAGGTTTGAGAAGATCCTGTTGCTTAGACTGTAAATGTGTTTCTGGGAGGCATTGACATTGATGAGGGTCAGCAGAGGTGGCAGGTTAAAGAAGACAAGGCTCTGCATGGTGTGTAACTTGAGCCCTGGGTTTTCCACTGCCCAGCTCTGGCCTTGGAGACAGCTCTCTGCTTGTCTGAGCCTCAGGTTCCTTACCTGACACATGAGGAAACCCCATCCCAGACTGATGAAATGACTGTGGAGCTGATGTCTAGGCGAGGGCGGCCGTAGCCACTCAGCCTTCTCAGGAAAGAGTTGGGCCAATGCCCCATGAGCATATTTGAGACAGCAGGATTGAAGGCCTGAAGCAGGAACTGGAAAGAAAATCTCTGCACTGGATGGTGGGTTTCCAACCCTATGGTTATGGTGGTCTCATTGGAGCACCAATGGTGAGGGATGTATGTTCCCTTCCCTTATGTGGAGAGGAACCAGGTTTTGAGAGGAGGGGAGTGCCCATAGTCCCACCCCTAGAGGGTACCTACCTCCTTCCTCAATAGGCTGTAGGAGAAACCAGACTGTGGGATCCCAGGATGTTTGCAGATAAAGGCAAGGAAGCTTAGAGGAACTCAGAGGCCAGTCCACCCACACTGCATGGCTGAGAAGTCTCCAGGAGTCACCACACCTGGTATCAGGGGCAGGGTAGGTATCCTAGTGAGCCTGAAATGCCACTCTAGGAAAGCCCCAAAACCGTGATTCTCACCTGGAAGGCATTCTGGAAATCTGAGAGTGCTGGCTGTGTTTGTTGAGTGTGTAGGGCTAGAGGAACTTAACCTTTAACAGTTACATGGGCCAACCCCCTACACTCTCCAACGCTGTGCTCCCTGCTTAACATCAGGGTCCCACCCAGGTGATCAATAATACGAAGGTAATACATATTGTAAGGAAGAAGAAAGAGATGTCCAGGTAGCTTCAGTTTAACCCAAAGTCAGCATCAATTCTCCCAAGTACAGGCATCTCAGCAAGACCTGTTTGTGTGGACATGTTATGGTTACTAAATACAGAGCTAGAGTTTATTCATATAAATGTTTGCATCATCCACTCTAAAAAGCTTGCTTTCTACTTCCTAAAAAGAATGCACACATTTCCAGCCTAGTCCTACACTGCCTCCCTTCAAGTGTGCGGACAGGTGGGCTGGCATCTGGAGTCAGTGAGAAGGGCAACCCCTAGATGAAATCTGAGACTGGCTTAAAACATAGGCTCAGACTGGCTTAAAAGATAGGACATAATAGATTCTAAGGGCATGTGAGGTCTAGGATGTTCAGTTTTAAGAGACAGGTGAAAAGTTTAGATCTGCAGGGTGGGTGGAAAATATTCCTGATCAATAATTGGGTTCTTCCTGGAAACACCCACATTTCTTTGGAGGTTTCCAACAGAGAATGAGATTCTTCACAGGAGGGATTAGATATAGCGGCTGCAGTTAGACAGTAACTTCATATTTCATTGGATGTTCTATATGAGTGATAAAAATTTATTTACTGTGTAGTGTGTTTAAACATTTATAGGTTTTATGAACTAGTTCCTCCTGTATAAGCTATTAAAAAGTTTACTTTTTTCTTTTTTTATAACTTATATATTATTGGGTTACAAAATTATCAGATTTAAAAAATGTTTATTTTACAAATTAGAGTACAAAGAAGCAGAAAAAAACTGCCTATATTGCACACCATAGAGATAAATACATCAGAGTAATTCTTTCCAGTCTTTACTATTAAAAATAAACTGTTTTCATGAGAACTATTCCCGTGGTCTGTGTTTGATGCAAAGTGATTCAGGCATGTAGTTATGTTTCTATCTCGTTTTTCAAAGAATGAAATTCAAATTCAAAATGAGTCCCTGGAGGAAGAAAAATAATGTGAGTGACTCTGGGGAAGTGTGTCCTTGAAAGATTGGGAATTATCAGCACTCAGAAGAATGTTTTCACATATAAGATGATTTCCTAGATATTCATATTGCATCTTCTACATATTAGCACAATGTACTTACTATGTTTTTACATATTTGGAGTATATGCAGTTATCCATAGGCACTCTAGTTAAAGTGTTCAAAATGCAATCTCTTGGATTTCACAAATGGTGCACATCACATGTTCCATCCATGGGAAGATACCTACAGGAAGCAGCTAAAGACAGAACAAGTCTTGCTGCCCCAGCGCCTAGACATGCCTATGGAACTGAGTCTCTGTTTGGCTGCTACAAAGCTTTCCAAATTCTTGGGGACAGGAGACGATGAGAAACTTAGAAAGGGAGACAGGGCATTCTCAGACTGAGGGACACGGAGAAATGAGTGCTGCCCGCTTATGTTAGACATAGGGCAAGATTTCTAAATGATCATCTTTGAGGAAAATAATAAACAGCTAAACAATAGCCCTGGTAATAACACCAACAATGCTCACTTAGAGGTAAGCATAATGTAACTTGCAGCAATTATTTGGGATAAAATAGATCTTAACTCTCACTGTGTATGCGAACCCATGTATTTTGCAGAAAATGCAGTTTTGAAACCTGTCAGGCCCCTGAGCCCAAGCTAAGCCATCATATCCCGTGACATGCACATACACATCAGATAGCCTGAAGCAACTGAAGATCCACAAAAGAAGTGAAAATAGCCTTAACTGATGACATTCTACCATTGTGATTTGTTTCTGCCCCACCCTAACTGATCAATGTATTTTGTAATCTCCCCTACCCTTAAGAAGGTTCTTTTTAATCTCCCCCACGCTTAAGAAGGTTCTTTGTAATTCTCCTCACCCTTGAGAATGTACTTTGTGAGATCCCCCCGCTGCCCACAAAACATTGCTCCTAACTCTACCGCCTATCCCAAAACCTGTAAGAACTAATGATAATCCCACCACCATTTGCTGATTCTCTTTTCAAACTCAGACTGCCTGCACCCAGGTGAAATAAACAGCCATGTTGCTCACACAAAGCTTGTTTGGTGGTCTCTTCACACGGACGCGCATGACAAAACCTATGAGGAAAGGAAGTGCATTCTTGTACAGTTTCTATTCAACTTAAAATGCCCACAAACTCATCTTTATTGAAATCAAACCCTTTTTCCCTAAAATAAATATATTTACACACAATGCCTGAACCCCTCTGCCTCCTTGTAGCCAAGTGTGGTTCAAAGACCTGATTTCTGGGCACTGCCAGCTTTGCGTTATAAGACACACCTATGTTATGTGTTTAAATCATCTAACTTGTATATCAGTTTTCTATTGTGTATTATTTTCTATTAGTGTTTCTGTTGCATTTTAATTTTTTATGGCAACATAACAAATGACCACAAATAGCACTCACAATATCCATTCATTATCTCACAGTCCTGGTGGCTCAGCTGGGTCTCTGCCTGGGCTCTCTCCAGGTGAGACGGTGGCTTCTTACCTGGAGAATCTGGGCAGGAATCCATCTCCAGCTTCCTTCAGGTTGGCAGGATCCAGTTGCTTGTGGTTGTAGGACTGAGGTCTGCTCCCTGTTCCCCTGCTGGCTGTCAGCTGGGGGCTGCTCTGCTCCCAGATCCTGAAGGCCGCTGCCTTCCTCATCACCTGGCTGCCTCAACTTTCAAGTCACCAGGGGCTGAACAAAACCTTTTCAGGTTTGGAATCCCTCTGACTGGCCGTTCCTGCTGCCAGCAAAAGTTCTCTGTTTTAAGGGCTCATGAGAGGTCCGGTGTGCCAGATCACAGAGCCCATCGCACTGTTGGAAGTGGTAGTGTCTCATCCCACTCACAGCTTCTGGAGACTGGGGTCATGGAATACAGAGGAGTGTCTTTAAAATTCTATCCAGCGCCATTCCCAATTTTTCCTCATTATAAATACCAGTGATAACCTTTGCATAAAAAAACCTTGTACTTGTGTCTACCAATTTTGTTAGATAGGATCCAGAAGTTGACTGTGTTAAAGGATGTGAATGCTTTATGGTCCTTGTTATGTTTCAATTAATGAAGTATGAACTCCCAGGAGCGGTGTGCAAGTGTGACCTCACTGTCATTTTGCCAGCATTATTGTCAGAGGCATTTAAACCAGAGCAACTCCATTTTAAATAGGAGCTGGGTAAAATGAGGCTGAGACCTACTGGGCTGCACTCCCAGACAGTTAAGACATTCTAAGTCGCAGGATAAAACAGGAGGTCAACACAGAATACAGGTCATAAAGACCTTGCTTATAAAACAGTTTGTGGTAAAGAAGCCAGCCAAATCCCACCAAAATCAAGATGGCCACCAGAGTGACCTCTGGTCGTCCTCACTGCTACCCTCCCACCAGCGCCATGACAGCTTACAAATGTCAGGGTAATGTCAGGAAGTTACCCTATTTGGTCTAGAAAGGAGAGGCATGAATAATTCACCCCTTGGTTAGCATATAATCAAGAAATAACCATAAAAATAGGCAACCATCAGCCCTCAAGGATGCTCCATCTATGGAGTAGTCATTCTTTTATTCCTTTACTTTCCTAATACACTTGCTTTCACTTTAATATATGGACTTGCCCTGAATTCTTGCATGAGATCTAAGAACCCTCTCTTGGGGTCTGGATTGGGACCCCTTTCCTGTAACATAATACACTTAAAAACATTTGGCACATTGAAAGATGTCTGTGGTCTATCATTCTTTTCAATTTGCATTTAACAGTTTCATTGAACATATATATGTTCATATGTTTTTGGCTTAGCTGTATTTCTCTGACAATTCTGAAACTGCTTCTGAAAATTCTATCAGTGAGAAAATTATGACAGTGAAAGAGATGTGAGCTAACCCACACCCCATCTTGCCTTTCCCTTAATTATTCCTGGGCTGTTGGGCCAAGCTAACTCTGAGAGACTTTTTTTTTTTTTTTTTTTTTTTTTGAGAAAGATTCTTGCTCTGTCACCCAGACTAGAAAAAGAAAATCTTTCTTTTTCTCTCTTTCTTTCTTTCTCTTTCTCTCTTTCATCTTTCTTTCTTCCCCTTCCTTCCCTTCCTTCCTTCCCTTCCTTCCTTTCCTTCCTTCCTTCGTTCTTTCTTTCTTTCTTTCTTTCTTTCCTTCCTTCCTTCCTTTCTCTCACTCCAGTGTCCAAGCTGAAGTGCAGTGCACTGAACATGGCTCACTGCAGCCTTCACCTCTTCAGCTCAAGCAATCCTCCAACCTCAGCCTCCAAGTAGCTGGGACTACAGATGCATGCCACCATGCCCAGCTAATTTTTGTATTTTTTGTAGTAACAGGATTTCACCACATTGCCTAGTCCGGTCTCAAACTCCTGGCCTAAAGAGAGCCTTACACCTTGGCCTCCCAAAGTGCTGGGATTATAGGCATGAGCCACTGCACCTGCCCAGGAACAGAATATCGACCGCCATTTTAAAAGAATTCAAGAAGTTTGCTTGAATTCATGATCAAGCAGCTCACCAGCTGGGAATAATATAATGCCAATTTTTAGAGTAATGGCTAAATAAATCAGGATATAGCCATAGAACAGAATACTATGTAGAAAGCGAGAATGAAGTATTCCTTTATTTCTTCTTAAGGAAATACCTCTAAGCATAACATTGAGAAAGAATGAGGTATTCCTTTATTTCCTATTAAAGAAAGAACTCTAATCATAGCTTTGAGTGATAAAAGCAGGTCGTACGCTATAATAACATTTAAATAATGCACACAAAATATAGCATATTTTAATTATATAGGAATGTTTATATGCATTCCATATTGCGACAGTTAATTTTACATATCGCATGGCTAGGCCATGGCCGAATACTATCTTAGATGTTTTTGTAAAGGTATTATTTAGGTAAGATTAACATTTAGATCAGTGTACTTTGAATAAAACAGATTACTCTCCGTAGTGGGATGGGCCTCACTTAATCAGTTGAAGGCCTTAAAAGAAATAAGGCTGACCTCCCCCAAGGAAGAAGGAATTACATCTCCAGGCTTTCTTTGGACTCAGGGTGCAACATCACTTCTTCCCTGGGTCTCCACACTGATGGCTGGAGTTACCCTGCCTGCATATTTTGGACTTGCCAGCTTCCACAATTGTGTGACCCAATCCCTTACAATAAATCTCTCTCTCTTCTCTCTCTCTTTCTGTCCCCCTCTCTCTCTCTCTCTCTATATATATATATACACACACATAAATATATATAGATATATACACATATGTATATATACATAAACCTATGTATATATACCTATTCCTTACCAATTCCTTACAATAAATCTCTCTCTATTCTCTCTCTTTCATTCTCTCTCTCTATATATATATGCATACACACATATATATATACATGTATGTATATATACATAAATATATGTATACATAGATATGTGTACATAGATATGTATGTGTACGTAGATATGTTTATATAGATATGTATTTGCACATATGTATATGCACACTTATCTATGCATACCTACATATATTTATGTACACATATGCATGTGTATGTGCACGTATATGTATGTGTACATATATGTATATGCATATATACACAGGTGCATGTATACATGTGTATATATACATGCATATACACATGTATGTATACATGTGTACATCATATATACATATATGTGTATACATACACATATATGTGCATAGATATATATGCACACACATATATATACACACACACACGCAAATGCTCACCCATGCACCTGCTCATACACACACTTCTGGAATTGGGTAGGGAAGGAAGGACAGAAGGGACCAGGGACATTTTAGACTTACCTGAATTGTTTTCATTTTTTAACAAAGAAAACGTATGCAAGCATTAATTTTGCAATTAAAAGGCATTCAAACATTTTGCTGCAGGCACTGACCAATATCCCCTGTGAAATATCGCTAATGTCATGTTACTTACCCCTGTTAATGTTACAAAATTACACTATTTCTGTTTTCTGCTTTCCTAGTTTCCTGTTGCACCGTTTTTGATCTCTGCATGGTTCCACTGTCATCTAGCTTTTTGAAAAACTCATTTTGTTTGCTCTCCTTCCAGGTCCTGGCTTCCTGTCCTGGCCATCCAATCATATCCACCCAGAGCAGGCCAGGTCTGAACCGTCTATTTTCTTCCACTGACATAGAAAGATGAGATGCGTCAGCACCCTTGCAAACATGAAAGCCTAGCCAGTGAAGTGCTGAGTGCTGGAAGCTTTGCCTGGGCATGAACAGGTAGAGAAACTGGAGATTCTGTATCAGATGAAGTGACTCAAAGGGACAGAATGGCCATCTTTGGACAGTTTAAGAGCTTTCATAAGGAAGAGTAATCAGAACTCACTTCATGTGGTGCATGGTGCTGAATCAACAAGATAAGTGTTCCCAGGAAGCAGATTTCAGCCCATCTCAGCTCACTTCAACCTCTGCCTCCCGGGTTCAAGTGATTCTCCCACCACAGCCTCCCGAGTAGCTGGGATTACAGGCATGTGCCACCATACCCAGCTAATTTTTGTATTTTTAGTAGAAACGGGGTTTCACCATATTTCCCAGGCTGATCTTGAACTCCTGAGCTCAAGGGATCCACCCACCTCGGCCTCCCAAAGTGCTGGGATTACAGGCTTGAGCCACAGCGCCTGACCTATATGCGTATTTCATGTCCAAAGAAAAAAGGACTATAAATAAATATGAGAGTCTTGTTATGTGTGCTGAAGTGTTTAGGGGTGAAATGTACTAATGCCACAATTCATTTTGAAATGCCTCCAAATAGGATGGTTTGAGGGATGGATAGTTGAATAGATTATATGATAAACTGAGCATAATGAAATGTTAATTGTAGACTTCAGGGGTGGGTATGGATGTTCACTGCAAAATTCTTTCAACTTTTCATTAAGTTTGAACATTTCTTAAAAGTGTTAATTCATTTATTTTTTAGAGACAGGGTCTTGCTCTGTTTCCCGGGCTGGAGTGCAGTGATGTGATCCTAGCTCACTGCAGCCTCAACTCCTGGGCTCAAGGGATGCTCCCTTCTCAGCCTCCCAAGCTGAAACTACAAGTGTGCTCCACTGCATTTGGCTAATTACCCAGGCTGGTCTCAAACTCTTGTCCTCAAGTGATCCTCCCACCTCGGCCTCCCAAAGTGTTAGGATTACAGGTGTAAGCCCCACACCCCAAACGTTTTTATAATAAAACACTGAAGGGAAATTCTGATGCTGAGACCCTGCACTTACATCTGTTAATGAGATCTTTCCTCAATTAAATATACTGCCATTGGAAATTGGTACATTTCTTCGTCAAGGGCAACAGTTTGTCAAGGGCAACATACACATATTCCTGGGAGAAGTGACACTGTGGGAGATTGTTGAGCTTTTTTACCCCTGAAAATGAACTTGTCGGGGAATACGTTCATGATCTCTCCACAGGTTCTAATAATGAGGGGAGACCTGGGTTCTGCACCTGGCCTTGTTGTCGTGGTTACTGTTGCTTTCAGGCGATGGCACCTGTCCTCCAGGTGTGAGTTTGGACTTGTACTCGCTTTAGCCATATATGGCCACCAGAGGGCGGAGTTACCCAACAGTTGCCTGGAGCATCCACACTCTTCAAACTCACAGCTTGAAATGTCACCTGCAGCCGTCCGAGGTCATCCAGTTATTTTCTTTTTCTTTTCTTTCCTTCTTTCTTTCTTTCTTTCTTTCTTTCTTTCTTTCTTTCTTTCTTTCTTTCTTTCTTTCTTCTTTCTTTCTCCCTTCTTTCCTTTCTTCTCTTTCTTTTTTCTTTTTTCTTCCTTTCTTTTTCTTTCTTTCTCTTTCTTTCTTCTCTCTTTCTTCCTTTCTTTTCTCTCTCTCTCTCACTCCCTTCCTTCCTTCTTTCCATCTTTCCTTCTATCCTTCCTTCCTTCTCCCCTCCTCTCCCCTCCCCTCTTCTCCCCTTCCCGACAGAGTTTCGCTCTTGTTGCCCAGGCTGGAGTGCTGTGGCACGCTCTCGGCTCACTGCAACCACTGCCTCCTGGGTTCAAATGATTCTCCTGCCTCAGCCTCCCAGGTAGCTGGGATTACAGGTGCCCACCATCGTGCCCAGCTAATTTTTGTATTTTTAGTAGAGACGGGGCTTCCCCATGTTGGCCAGGCTAGTCTTGAACTCCTGACCTCAGGTGATCCACCCTCCTTGGCCTCCCAAAGTGCTGGGATGACAGGTGTAAGCCACTGCGGCTGGACATCCACGGCTATTTTCATCATGCCTCACCTTCCCCTGTTGGTTCAGTGACCCTCAAAGGACAGAGCCTCTGTGCCATGGGCCCTTCCCCCGGATCTGTGCATTGCCTAATATGACTGGACCCTCCTCCTCACCCCTCATCCTGCCCCAGCTCCTCTGATGACATCATCGGCTCTGGAGCCGCCACTCAGCCTCTTGCAAGAGGGTCCCCTCCCTCCGACCCCACTGGCCCCTCAGGACCCCAATTCCGCTGGCACCATCTGGAGCAGGGAGTCTTTTTTTTCTCCTATACCCCACGTACTGCAGAATCTAAAGTAGGGTCTATATCCTCCATGCTTCCTGTGGTTGCGTCCAAGACATTTCTCTTCCAAAGGCAGCAGAGTCACCTGCTGTCCCTCTCGGTGACTGCTGTCTGCTGGTCTTCCCCTTACACCTCCTCATCCACTGAGGACTTGGGCTTTCTGTTGACAGTGTTCTCCATCATTCTTGTCATCTCGTTAGAGGGGTTGCTGCCTGGCATCCCCTCTACATCCCCCAGGAGGTTTGCAACAGTGATTTCATACAAGACGTTGGCGTCGTCACCCACGTGGACATGCCAGGCTACTCCCTGAGGGCGTCATCACCCACGTGGACAGGCCAGGCTACTCCCCGAGGGTGATGTCACCCACGTGGACAGGCCAGGCTACTCCCTGTCTCTCTGGGCACCAGGACTGCTGCAGCTCCAGTGACCTTTTCCAGTGTGCCTCTCAGCCACCTCTCCCTGCCTGCGGTCACACCTGGGACCCTCCATCACCCAGAAAGGAGACTTCAGACAGCTCCCCACTGACCTCTCCTCTCTCGTTCCAGAACTCTCCACTTGGCCTCGTAACCTCACTGTCACTCTCTCTGTGTCCACTGCCTTCCTTAATCATCGTTCATAATTAAAATCAACTCCTGCAGGGCGAGGTGGTTCACACCTGTAATCCCAGCACTTTGGGAGGCCGAAGCGGATGGATCACTTGAGGTCAGGAGTTTGAGACCAGCCTGGCCAACATGGCGAAACACCCATCTCTACTGAAAATACAAAAATTAGCCAGGTGTGGCGGTGGGCACCTGTAATCCCAGCTACTGGGGAGGCTGAGGCAGGAGAATCACTTGAATCCGTGAGGTAGAGGTTGCAGTGAGCTGAGATCACACCACTGCACTCCAGCCTGGGCGACAGAGGGAGACTCCGTCTCAAAAAAAAAAAAATCAATTCCTTTGTCTCTCTCTCTCCTGACATTGTTCCCCTCAACAAGGGTGACATGAACGGGCTAGATGTCTTGCGTCTGCACCTGGACAGCCAAGCATCACTGGGAAAGCACACACTCAGCTAAACTTTTACTTTATTTATTCATCTATTTATTCATTTGTTTATTTATTTTAGAGACAGCTTCTCACTCTGTCACACAGGCTGGAGTGCAGTGGTGTGATCAGAGCTCGCTGGAGCCTCCACCTCCTGGGCTCAAGCGATCCTCCCACCTCAGCCTCCCTGGGAGCTGGGATCACAGACGTGCACCACACCATGCCCAGCTGACTTTCTAATTTTCTGTAGAGATGAGGTCTCATCATGTTGCCCAGGCTGCTGTTGAACTCCTGGCCTTAAGCAATCCTCCTCACCTCAACCCCTCAATGTGCCGGGATTACAGGTGTGAGCCACCATGTCTGGCTGTACTGCCCAGGCTGGAGCGCAGTGGAGCGATCTCGGCTCACTGCAATCTCTGCCTCCTGGGTTCAAGCGATTCTCCCACCTCAGCCTTCTGAGTAGCTGGGATCACAGGTGCCCACAAACATGCCTGGCCAGCTTTTATATTTTAAGTAGAGATGGGGTTTCACCATGTTGGTCAGGCTGGTCTCAAATTCCCGGCCTCAGGTGATCCACCTACCTTGGCCTCTCAAAGTGCTGGGATTACAGGAGTAAGCCAGTGCTCTCGGCCTGGACAGACTTTCACTTTAAATTCACAGACTTCAAGTAGGCTGCCTGGCAACCCCTTTACATTCCCCCAGGAGGTTTGCAACAGTGATTTCATACTTCCTCTCTCTCTCCTCAAACCTCCTGTGCTTCCTTCCCTCCCTCTCTTCTGCTCAGCTGAAGCTCACTTCTCTAACGTTATTAGAAGACATCAGAGTGAATGTTCTTTTTTTTTTTCTCTTTTTTGAGACAAAGTCTTTCTCTGTCGCCCAGGCTGGAGTGCAGTGGTGCAATCTCACTCCAAGCTCTGCCTCCTGGGTTCATGCCATTCTCCTGCCTCAGCCTCCCTAGTAGCTGGAACTACAGGCGCCCGCCACCACGCCCGGCTAATTTTTTGTATTTTTAGTAGAGACGGGATTTCACTGTGTTAGCCAGGATGGTCTCAATCTCCTGACCTCGTGATCCACCCACCTTGGCCTCCCAAAGTGCTGTGATTACAGGCGTGGACCGCGCCCAGCCCAGAGTGAATATTCTTATCTTCCCACCACCCACCGACTATGTCTCTGTTCCTTCCACTGTCACTGTGTAATAATTGCCCTTCTGGGGCTGGGCATGGTGGCTCATGCCTGTAATCCCAGCACTTTGGGAGGCTGAGGTGGGAGGACTGCTTGAGGCCAAGAGCTTGAGACCAGCCTGGGCAACATAGTGAGACTCTATCTCTACAAAAAGTTTAAAAATTAGCAAGGGTCTGGGTGCGGTGACTCCCACCTGTAATCCTAGCACTTTGGGAGGCTGAGGCGGGCAGATCACCTGAGATCAGGAGTTCAAGACCAGCCTGGCCAACATGGTGAAACCCTGTCTCTACAAAAATACAAAAATACAAAAATTAGCAGGGCCTGGTGGCATGTGCCTGTAATTCCAGCTACTTGGGAGGCTGAGGCAGAAGGATCACTTGAACTCGGGAGGCGGAGGTTGCAGTGGACTGAGATCATGCCATTGCACTCCAGCGTGGGTGACAGAGCAAGACTGCATCTCAAAAAATTTAAAAAAGTAAAAATAAAAGTTAGCAAGGCATGGTGGTGTGCACCTGTGGTCCCAGCTACTCAGGAGGAGCTGGGAGGATTGCTTGAGCCCAGGAGGTCAAGGCTGCAGTGAGCTGTGATTGGGTCACTGCACACCAGCCTGGGCGATGGAGTGAGACCTTATCTCTTAAAAAAAAAAAAAAAAGAATTGTCCTTTTTATTGATGAAGCCACAGACCACCATGAGCTGTGCTTCCTATTCCTTCTGGCTTTCCCAAGCTTTTCTTGTCCACCGGAAGCTTTCACTAGAAGGTAGAGGACTGGCTCTGTAGTTGGGAACTACAGTTGGGAACATTCAAGAATATTCTATTAACATATTTACATTTTTTAAATATTTGGTTTTAAGAATATCAGCCCCCTTGGCCAGGCACAGTGGCTCACGCCTGTAATCCCAGCACTTTGGGAGACTGCGGTGGGCGGATCACCTGAGGTCAGGAGATCAACGCCAGCCTGACGAACATGGTGAAACCCTGAATCTACTAAAAAAATACAAAAATTAGCCAGGTGTGGTGGTGGGTGCCTGTAATCCCAGCAATTTGAGAGGCCAAGGCAGACAGATCACCTGAGGTCGGGAGTTCGAGACCAGCCTGACCAACATGGAGAAACCCCGTCTCTACTAAAAATACAAAATTAGCCGGGTGTCATGATGCATGCCTGTAATCCCAGCTACTCAGGAGGCTGAGGCAGGAGAATCGCTTGAACTCGACAGGTGGAGATCATGCCATTACACTCCAGCCTGGGCAACAAGAGTGAAACTCCATCTCAAAAAAAAAAGTCAGCTAGCTCATGTCTTTTTATTTTTATTTTTGACACAGGGTCTTGTTCTGTTGATCAGTTTGGAGGGCAGTTGTACAATCATAGTTTACTGCAGCCTTGACCTCCTGGATTCAAGGGATTCTCCCATCTCAGCCTCCAGAGTAGCTGGGACCACAGGCATGCACCACCATGCCTGGCTAATTTTTATATTTTTTGTAGAGATGGGGTCTCTTCATGTTTCCTAGGCTGGTCTCCAGCTCCTGGCCTCAAACAATCCTCCTGCCTCAGCCTCCCAAAGTGCTGGGATTACAGGCATGAGCCACCACGCCCAGCCTCTTTTTATAATGTACTGAAACACTCTTTCAAAGTACTGGTGAGTGCACAATACAATTTTCCTTTAGGTTCAGTTTTTCTATCCCAGAACTTGCTGAATCTGAATCCCAGCCTTGTGCATTCCTGGACTCTGTTTCTGCCATTCACTCTGAGTGTGGGATGCAGAAACAGCTTTTTAGATACTGGTGCTTAATTAACTCCCAAAGGCATGAAGAAAAAGGTCTTTGGGCCAGGCGCAGTGGCTCACACCTGTAATCCCAGCACTTTGGGAGGCTGAGGCAGGTGGATCACTTGAGGTCAAAAGTTCGAGACCAACCTGGCCAACATGGCAAAACTTCGTCTCTACTAAAAATACAAGAATTAGCCTGGCATGATGATGGGTGCCTGTAATCCCAGCTATTTGGGAGGCTGAGGCAGGAGAATCGCTGGAACCCAGGAGGCGGAGGTTGCAGTGAGCAGAGATCACACCACTGTAATACAGCCTGGGCGACAGAGTGAGACTCAGTCTCAAAAAAAATTAGAAAAAAGAAAAAGGTATTTGCACATTTCTGATCACAGGGGCCCTGAAGATGGGTCTGCTGGCCTTTTACTATTCTCAGAAACCTGCTTGGTGTTTGGGAGGAGGGTTGAGAAGGGGGCAAGAGCTGACCTTCTTCGCCCTGCAACTGCACGCAGGGGTGGCTGTTCTGTGTTCAGTCAGGCGCTAGACTCCAGACCTGTGAGCCCTCACATGTTTTCCTCCCCTTCTCTGGCCAGGCGCTGGTTGGCCCACATGCCCTTAGCTTTCAGAGCATCCAGCTCTGCCAACCTTGCAGGAAGATCCGGGGGTAGGGGGTTCGGGGAAGAATCTTTATTGGGGCCATACACACTGCAGCCTTATAGGATGGGTGGGGCAGGAGCCAGGGCCCAGTTGACCCTGATGAAAAGCTTAATAGAGATATGTAGCCCAGCTCTGGCCAGGCACAGTGACTCTCATGCCTGTAATCCCAGCACTTTGGGAGGCTGAGGCGGGTAGATCACTTGAGCCCAGAAATACTAGACTAGCTTAGGCAACATGACAAGACACCCCTCTTTATTTTATTATTTTTTATTTATTTACTTTTTTGAGACAAAGTTTTTCTCGTTTCGCAGACTGGAGTGCAACCGCACGATCTCGGCTCACTGCAACTGCCTCCTGAATTCAAGCGATTCTCCTGCCACAGCCTCCTGAGTAGCTGGGATTATAGGCATGTGGCGCCATGCCCAGCTAATTTTTGTATTTTTAGTAGAAATGGGGTTTCACCATGTTGTCCAGGCTGGTCTGGAACTCCTGACCTTAGGTGATTCACCTGCCTCGGCCTCCCAAAGTGCTGGGATTACAGGCGTAAGCCAGGGTGCCTGGCCAATGCCCCTCTTTATAAAAAATGTATAAAATTCGCAGGGTGCGGTGACTCTTGCCTGTAATCCCAGCACTTTGGAGGCTGAGGTGGGCGGATCACGAGGTCAGGAGATCGAGAGCATCCTGGCTAACATGGTGAAACCCATCTCTACTAAAAATACAAAAAATTAGTAGTCCCGGCTTCTCAGGAGGCTGAGGCAGGAGAATGGTGTGAATCCAGGAGGCGGAGCTTGCAGTGAGCCGAGATTGTGCCACTGCACTCCAACCTGTGCAACCGAGCGAGACTCTGTCTCAAAAAAACAAAACAAAACAAAACAAAAAACAGAAAAACAATTATAAAATTAGCCGGGTGTGATGGTGCATGCCTGTAGTCCCAGCTACCAAGGAGGCTGGGGTGGAGAATGTCTTGAGCCTGGGAGGTTGAGGTTGCAGTGAATTGTGATCATGCCACTGCACTCCAGCCTGGGGGACAGAGCAAGATGAAAGAAAGAAAGAGAGAGGGGCGGGGGGAGGGAGGGAGGGAGGAAGGAAGGAAGGAAGGGAGGGAGGGGAGAAAAAAGAGAGAGAGAGGGAAAGAAAGAGAGAAAGCAATTATTATAATATGATGGTCAAAGTGTTCTTATTCAGTTAGCCTCTCACCAGAGCTTAGCGGAGGGGTCTTCAACTCTAGACTACAAGTTAAGGCAAAGTTTTCAGAATTGAGTTTTTTCCTGTTTTTGTTTTTTTGTTTGTTTTTGAGACAGGATCTCGCTGTGTTCCCGAGGCTGGAGTACAGTGTTGCAATCATAGATCACTGCAGCCTGGAACTCCTGGGCTCATGTGATCCTCCCATCTCAGCCTCCCAAGTACCTGGGATTACAGTAGAGAAGCACCACCATGCCCAGCTAATTTTTAAATTTTTTTGTAGAGACAGGGTCTTGCTATTTGCCCAGGCTGGTCTCAAACTCTTGGGCTCAAGCAATTCTTTCTCATTGGCCTCCCACAATGTTGAGATTACAGGTGTGAGCCACCATGCCCACCCAGAGTGATTTTTTTCTTTTTGAGACGGAGTTTCACTCTTGTCATCCAGGCTGGAGTGCAGCGGTGCAGTGGTGCAGTGGTGCAGTGGCGTGATCTCGGCTCACTGCAACCTCCGCCTCCTGGGTTCAAGTGATTCTCGGGATTACAGGTGTGAGCCACCGTGCCTAGAGTCCATATTTTGGAATATTTTCGATCTGTGGTTGGCCGAATCCATGGATGGGGAACCTGCAGTTATAAGGGTCAACTGTACTGGCCTCGTCAGTCTGGAAATGCCCCTTCTTCTGTTTTCTGGAGATTACGTGTAATTGGTGTTGCTATTTCTTTAACTATGAGCAGACTTCTCCAGTGAAACTATCTGGGTCTGGAGATACCTTTTTTAAGAGTGGGAGGAAAGAGTTAACACAACAGGTCTGATTCATTCATTTCTCACTTATTTCTATAGCCAAAGCATGGCCATTGGTCAAAGTCTGAAAACCAAACTCCTGGAATATTCACATAGCTACCGGGTCAGATGTTATTCTCCACGCCCAAAACAGTGAGCCCAGATGAACCAGGCTGTCAGCAGGTTTAAAGTAAACATACAGATTCATGATGCTTGGCCAGGCTCAGTGGCTCAGGCCTGTAATCCCAGAATTTGGAGAGGCCGAGGCAGGCAGAATCGCTTGAGGTCAGGAGTTCAAGATCAGCCTGGCCAGCATGGCAAAAACCTGTCTCTACTGAAAATACAAAAAATTAGCTGGACGTGGTGGTGAGTGCCTGTAATCTCAGCTACTTGGGAGACTGAGACAGGAGGATCATGTGAACCCAGGAGACAGAGGTCGCAGTGAGCCAAGATCACACCACTGCACTCCAGCCTGGGTGACAGAACGAGACTCTGTCTCAAAAAAAAAAAAAAAAAAAAAGCCACAGTGAGCTATGATCATGCCACTGCACTCCAGCCTAGGAGACATAGTGAGACCCCATTTTTGAAAAAAAAAAAAAAAGAATAAAAGATTCATGATGCCCAACCTGGTGGTTTAGGGCTGTTTGGTCACATGGCAGGAATGTCACCCAGGCTGGAGTGCAATGGTGTGATCTCAGCTCACTGCAACCTCCGCCTCCTGGGTTCAAGTGATCCTCCCGCCTCAGCCTCCCAAGTAGCTGGGATTGCAGGTGTGTGCCACCATAGCCGGCTAATTTTTTTACATTTTTAGTAGAGATGGGGTTTTACCATGTTGGCCAGGCTGCTCTCGACCTCCTGACCTCAGGTGATCCGCCCCCGTCAGCCTCCCAAAGTGCTAGGATTACAGCCATGAGCCAGATGGAGTCTTGCTCTTGTCTCCTAGGCTTGAGTGCAGTGGCACGACCTAGGCTCACTGCAACCTCCGCCTCCCGGGTTCATGCGATTCTCCTGCCTCAGCCTCCAGAGTAGCTGGGATTACAGGTGCCTGCCAACATGCCCAGCTAATATTTTTGTATTTTTGTATTTTTAGTAGAGATGGGGTTACACCATGTTACCTAGGCTGGTATCGAACTCCTGACCTCAGGTGATCCACCCGCCTTGGTCTCCCAAAGTGCTGGGATGACAGGCATGAGCCACCACGCCCAGCCTTTTTTTTTTTTTTTTAAATAAAGATCTGATCTTACCATGTTGCCCAGGCTGGTCTCAAACTCCTGGACTCAAGCAGTTCTCCCATCTCGGCCTCCCAAAGTGCTGGGATTACAGGGATGAGCCACTGTGCCTGGCCTAACCACACAAATTTTGACTCCAGAACTCAAGTGCGATTTCCTGGGCAAGGACATCTCACACAAGTCCTTGCAGTTTGCTCCTGGAAAAGATAAGTCTGTGCTGTCCCTGCAGAGGTTAAGTATGCATTTGACCTTCCAGCCTTCATCTATTAATATCCTTTTTCCTGCTGTCTTTGTATTGTATCCTCCACTGTAATAAACCTTCACCTAGAGTATAACTTGATCTAGAGTCACATGGGTCCTTCCAGGGAATCACCAAACTAGTTGTATGCGACCATGAAGACAAGAAATTCTTTTATTAAAACTATGAATTCAAGGACAGGCGTGGTGGCTTACACCTGTAATCCTAACACTTTGGGAGGTTGAGGTGGGTGGATAGCATGAGGTCAGGAGTTCGAGACCAGCCTGGCCAACATAGTAAAACTCTGTCTCTTCTGAAAATACAAAAAATTAGCCAGGTGTAGTGGTGGGCACCTGTAGTCCCAGCTACTTGGGAGGCTGAGGCAAAAGAATCGCTTGAACCCAGGAGGCAAAGGTTGCAGGGAGCCAAGATTGTGCCACTGCACTCCAGCCTGGGTGATAGACTGAGACACCATCTCAAAAAAAAAAAAAAAAAAAAAAGGATTCAGCTGGGCCTAGTGGCTCATGCCTGTAATCTTAACACTTTGGGAGGCTGAGGCAGGTGGATTGCTTGAGCCCCAGGAGTTGAAGACCAGCCTGGGCAACTTGGCAAAACCCCATCTCTACAAAAAATAAAAATCTAGCTGGGTGTGGTGGCGGGCGCCCGTAGTCCTAACTACTCAGGAGGCTGAGGTGGGAAGATCACCTGAGCCCAGGAAGTCAAGGCTGCAGTGAGCCGTGATTGTGCCACTGCACTCCAGTATGGGTGACAGAGTGAGATACAGTCTCACAATAAAATAAAATAAAAATAAAAAACCATGAATTCAATTTTTAAAATTGTTACAAGATTTTAAAAATTATGTTTCCTATGGAGTGTTTTTTGGTAGTTTGTAGTTTTCAAGGAATTGGTCCATTTCATCCAACTTGTTGGATTTATATGGGTAGAATTGCTTAGTATTCCCTTATTATCCTTTTGTTAGTTGTTTTGTTTTGTTTTGTTTTGTTTTTTGAGACAGAGTCTCACTCTGTCACCCAGGCTAGAGTACAATGGCACAATCTTAGCTCACTGCAACCTCTGCCTCCCTGGTTCAAGCGAGTCTAGTGCCTTGGCCTCCCGAGCACCTGGGATTACAGGTGCCCGCCACCACGCCTGGCTAATTTTTCTTTTTTTTTTTCTTTTGAGACAGAGTCTTGCTCTGTCGCCCAGGCTGGAGGGCAGTGACCTGATCTCACCTCACTGCAACCTCCACCTCCTGGGTTCAAGCGATTCTCCTGCCTCAGCCTCCTGAGTAGCTGGGACTACAGGCGCCCACAACCATGCCCAGATAATTTTTTGTATTTTTAGTAGAGACAGGGTTTCAATGTGTTAGCCAGGAAGGTCTCGATCTCCTGACCTTGTGATCTGCCCACCTCGGCCTCCCAAAGTGCTGGGAATACAGGCATGAGCCACCATGCCTGGCCTAATTTTTGTATTTTTAGTAGAGACGGGGGTTTCACCATGTTGCCCAGGCTGGTCTTGAACCCCTTACCTCAGGTGATCCACCTGCCTCCACCTCCCAAAGTGCTGGGATTACAGGCATGAACCACTACACCGGCCTTGTTTTGTTGTTTTGTTTTGTTTTGTTTTGTTTTGAGGTTTTGAGACAGAGTTTCGCTCTTGTTGCCCAGGCTGGAGTGCCCTGGCACGATCTAGACTCACTGCAACCTCCTTGTCCCAGGTTCAAGCGAATATGGAACGCAACACAAATTTGCATGTCATCTTTGTGCAGGGGCCATGCTAATCTTCTCTGTATCTTTCCAATTTTAGTATATGTGCTACCGAAGCATGCACAATTTTTGTATTTTGTGTAGAGATAGGGTCTTGCCATGTCACCCAGGCTGGTCGCAAACTCCTGAATTGAAGTGATTCGACCACCTCGGCCTCCCAGAGTGCTGGGATTACAGGCATGAGCCACAACACCTAGCCTCAAATGGAAATTTTAAAACAAAAATACAATAACAAAAATTTAAAACTCACTAGATGGACTCAATTAACAATATGAAGGTGAGGAAGAGTCAGTAGACAAACGTGGATTGATAGAAAGCATTCAAACTGGCCGGTCAAGGTGGCTCATGCCTGCAATCCCAGCACTTTGGGAGGCTGAGGTGGTGGATCATTTGAGGTCAGAGTTCGAGACCAGCCTGGCCAACACGGCAAAGCCCCGTCTCTACTAAAAATACAAAATTAGCCAGGCATGGTGGCACACGCCTGTAATCCCAGCTACTCAGGAGGCTGAGGCGGGAAATTGCTTCAACCTGGGGAGGCAGAGGTTGCAGTGAGCTGAGATCGCGCCATGGCACTCCAGCCTGGGCAACAAGAGCAAAACTCCATCACAAAAAAAAAAAAAAGTGCTGAAACTGAGGCCGGGCGTGGTGGCTCATGTCTGTAATTCCAGCACTTTGGGAGGCCAAGGTGGGTGGATCACCTGAGGTCATGAGTTTGAGACCAGCCTGGCCAACATGGTGGAACCCCGTCTCTACTAAAAATACAAAAATTAGCCAGGCTTGGTGTTGACTGCCTGTAATTCCAGCTACTCAGGAGGCTGAGGCAGGAGAATCGCTTGAACCTGGGAGGTGGAGGTTGCAGTGGAGCCGGGATCGTGTCACTGCACACCAGCTGAAATGACAGAGCAAGACTGCATCTCAGAAAAAAAAAAAAAAAAGAAAGAAAAAAAAAGATCAATGGGATTACTTGGTGTGTTTCTGTTTCTTTCAGGGAAATTTATCAGAAGAAAGAGAAAGGATATTTCAGTTTTCTCTGAAAAGCTGATTTTGAAAAGAGCCCTATATCTTATACATAATTTCCCCATGATTCTCCAGAATTCTAAAAAGGGAAGCACATTGTTAATGTTAAAAGGTTTTTTCCTAGGGCTATTTTTGGACTGGACAGAAAAGCAGAATAGTTTGTGTTTTGTGTGGACTTCAGAGTGCATTGAAGGCTGTAAAATAACCGATCTTGTTAGACATCTGTATCCAAAGTCACAGCACTCCAAGCATAGTATAACCCTTGTATATTACTAAAGACTACCCCATTGTTATGTTTTTGCCTTTTTTTTAATAAACCGGCTTTACTGAGACATAATTTACGGACAATAAGTTCTACATATTTGAAATATCAAGTAGATGACTTTTATCAAAGGTATAAAACATTTTCACCTCCTTCCCTCCCCTTTACAGGCAATCTCCCTTTCACTCCCCACTCCAGGCAACCACTCATCTGATTGTTCTCTCTATAGGTTAACTTTGCCTGTTCTAGAATTTCATGTAACTAAAATCACACAGTATGTGCCCTTTTGTGTTTAACACGTCTCACTGAGCACAATGTGAGATTCACTCACACTGCATGCATCAGTAGGTTCCTTTTTATAGTTGAGTGGAGGTTTTGGTCTGAACATACCACAATTTATTTATTCTCCTCTTGATTGACAAAAGGGTTGTTTAGGATTTTTTGGCTAAGTAAATCTCTTTTGAATGTTATTGGACTAGAATTTTTTTTTATTTCATTATTATTATACTTTAAGTTTTAGGGTACATGTGCACAACGTGCAGGTTTGTTACATATGTATACATGTGCCATGTTCGTGTACTGCACCCATTAACTCGAGATGGAGTTTTGCTCTTGTTGCCCAGGCTGGAGTGCAGTGGCATGATCTTGTTTCACTGCAACCTCCACCTTCCAGTTTCAAGCGATTCTCCTGCCTCAGCCTCTCGAGTAGCTAGGATTACAGGCACCCACCACCACGCCCAGCTAATTTTTGTATTTTTAGTAGAGACGAGGTTTCATCATGTTGGCCAGGCTGGTCTCAAACTCCTGACCTCAGGTGATCCGCCTGCCTCGGCCTCCCAAAGTGCTGGGATTATAGGCGTGAGCCAGCGCACCTGGCCATGTTTTTGCTTTTATGAGATATTCATTGGAATTAGAATTTGTTTGATGCCGCTTCAGGATATCAGTAATTATTAAAAGAAAATGTGACTTTTTAACAAAGCAGTCCAGGAATACATTGTAGAGAAAAAAGATGACTGCTTAAAATATGGCTATGGTTAAAATGTTGTCTATATTAAGGAACCTTCGTGAGATCCCCGACATCATTGTGAACACAATCTTTTGTGATTATGTTACATGATTTTCATCTTTTTTCAATTTATCTAAGTGCTTGGCCATAAAGACACAACTGACCACGCTTAACCCCTCTTGAAGACATTTTTAAATCTCTACATGAATACTAACTCCAACATATCTATCTTGTTTTTACCACAAGCATTTTGAAAAAGCAGAGTAGGCCAGGTGCAGTGGCTCATGCCTGTAATCCCAGCACTTTGGGGGGCTGAGGTGGGTGGATCAGCTCAGGTCAGGAGTTCGAGACCAGCCTGGACAACATGGTGAAACCCCGACTCTATTAAAAATACAAAAATTAGCTGGGCATGGTGGCAGGTGCCTATAATCCCAGCTACTCAGGAAGGAGGCTGAGGCAGGAGAATCACTTGAACAATCCAGGAGGCAGAGTTTGCAGTGAGCCGAGATCTCACCATTGCACTCCAGCCTGGGTGACAGAGCAAGACTCTGTCTCAAAATAAAAATTAAATAAAAAAAAAGAAAGGAAAAGAAAAATCTGATGAATGGGGAAAATCTATATGTATTCTTAGAAAAAAATGCTTTTCAGGGCTGGGCGCGGTGGCTCACACCTGTAATCCCAGCACTTTGGGAGGCTGAAGTGGGTGGATAACCTGAGGTCAGGAGTTCAAGACCAAATTGACCAACATGGAGAAATCCTGTCTCTACTAAAAATACAAAATTAGCCAGGCATAGTGGCACATGCCTGTAATCCCAGCTACTAGGGAAGGCTGAGGCAAGAGAATTACTTGAACCCGGGAGGTGGATGTTGCAGTGAACCAAGATTGCACCATTGCACTCCAGCCTAGGCAAAAAGAGTGAAACTCCATCTCAAAAGAAAAGGAAAAAACGCTTTTCAAATTTTTGCATTTCTGACAACTGGATGTCCCCACCTGCCAACCAGTCCTGTGGCCCCCACTCAGGAACTGACTCAGCCCAAGAGGACAGCTTTAATTCTCTATGATTTCATCTCCTGCACCCAACCAATCAGCAGGCCCCCTATCCTAGCCCCTTGCCCACAACACTATCTTGGAAAAATCCCTCTTCTGCAAGACGTTAGCAAGATTGATTTGAGTAATAACTCCATTTCCCACGTGGCATAGCTGGCTTCGCATCAATGAAACTCTTTAACGCCATGGTCTTCAGTGGATTTTGTTTGTGTGGTAGTCAGGAAGAACCCCTTGGGCCATTACAAACATGGGGACATGTAGAGGACCATTTTAGGGACCCCATTCTATTGAGTGCCATGAATACAGAAAAAATCGTGATTCCATTTACATGTTTTAGAAGTGAGAGAAACTCCAAATATGATATGGTCAAGTTGTGCAACAGAATTCAGAATTTATTCAATATTACAGTGTTTATATCACAGAGAACATCTTTGTCACTTATACAGGCAGTTTTCCCTGGGGCTCACATGCTATTGAACACTGTAACGTTTATTTTGGAGAGAATCTGTGGAGATGGGGGAGGCATCGTCAACATTCCAATGCAGCATCAGCTAATTCACATGCAACAAAGAGTCTATCAATGCAGAAATGTGCAAGAGCTTTTGGAAAAGTATAGCTCATTCAACATCAGAGAATTCACAATGGAGGAAAATCGTATGTGTGTAATGGACGTAAAAATGCTTTGAGATGGTGCCCAGAGCTAATCAGACATTCTGGGATTTTGTAGCACAGAGGGGCCTTGTGAGTATAATGGATGAGGAAGAACCTTCAATCAGAGTTCCATACTTAGACAATATCAGCTAATTCAGGTGGGACTTTAAATGGTCATACGTAATGAAGACGGAAAACTCGGGGAAGCATGGGGAATATGGAATGTGAGATCATCCACACTGGAAAGAAGTCTTAGGAGTACAATGAGTGTGGAAAATCACTTGGGGACAAGTTTAGCTTTCTCATCATTGGAGAATTCACACACAAAAAAGGAATGAGCTTGGACGGATCATGGGAGAACTTTCAGGCACTAATCAGGCTAATTCATCCCGGAGAAAAACCTTGATGATGAAGAAGGGGAAAAAGTCTTCCAGTTTTTTTCCTTATTGGATTTCAGAGAATCCTCAGTGACATATAGAGAAACTTGCTGGAGGAATTCAGGGTTTATTAAGATTCACGTTAAAACATTAATCCCATTAAAGTAGGAGTTTAAACTTTTTTGCTTCTTTCACCCCAATCAAAGTTTTCATTCCTTACGTCTCTGTTGAGGGAATGAAGCAACAGGCAAAAATCAATGGTGCACTGGCTTTGCCTTTCAAAACATTACACAATATGTGGGGTGCAGAAGGACAGCATTGAGAGGTGCTGGGTTTGGTGCCAGAATATGGCAGTTGCAAATTCTAATATCATCACAACACACTCATAGGTAGGCCCCATATATCTGATGAACTTCCAGGACCACATCTCTACAAATGCTGAAGATTATTTGGAGATGGGAAAATGTGGCTGCAGGTGCTTTTTCTCCAGGTCTGAGTAAAATGAAATAGTGGGTATTTCTAAGATACATTAGGAGGATGCCAGTTTCTCTTTGTTTCATATTTTCAAAAACAGAGATTTAAAGAGGATGGGCTAGAGCTCTTACGTTCAGCTTCTTATTCCATAAGGGAAGAATCAGGCGTATTTCTTGTGTTGAAGCAACACACACACACACACATACACACACACACACACACACGCACATGTTGTTTGGCAAAAGTCAGACCAGAAGAAAGCTTCTCTCCTACCAGCCTCATTCCTTGGCCTTGAACCAGCATTCTAAGTCTTCCAATACATCCTTGTCTCTCCCTACAGTAACTCTCCCATTGAGTTCTGTTTTTGTTTGTTTTTTGAGAAGGATTCTTGCTCTGTAGCTAGGCTGGAGTGCAGTGGCACAATCTTGGCTCACTACAACTTCTGCCTCCCAGGTTCAAGTAATTCTCCTGCCTCAGCCTCCCAAGTAGCTGGGACTACAGGCATGTGCCAACACGCCAGGCTAATTTTTGTATTTTTAGTAGAGACAGGGTTTCAGTATGTTGGTCAGGCTGGTCTCAAACTCCTGACCTCTTGATCCACCTGCCTTGGCCTCCCAAAGTGCTGGTATTACAGGCGTGAGCCATCATGCCCGGCCCATTGAGTTCTTAATAGAAGTGAGTTAGGTTTTGTAGATTTTTGGCTCCTAGCTTTGCTTAGAGAAGCCAGAAAGAGGCTCAGTGGCTCACACCTAGAATCCCAGCACTTTGGGAGGCCAAGGCAGGCAGATCACAAGGTCAGGAGTTCAACACCAGCCTGGCCAACATGGTGAAACCCCATCTCTACTAAAAATACAAAAATTAGCCAGGTGTGGTGGCATAAACCTGTAATCCCACCTACTGGGGAGGCTGAGGCAGGAGAATCGCTTGAACCTGGGATGCGCAGGTTGCAGTGAGCCGAGATCGCACCACTGCACTCCAGCCTGGGAGACAGAGTGAGACTCCATCCTAAGAAAAAAAAAAAAAAAAAAAAAAAGAGAGAGAAGCCAGAAAGAAAATGTAGGAAAAAAGAGGAGAGGCAGGGGAGATGAGGAATGAACAAAGTTGCAGAGGGGTTGGGGTGGGGGGCGGTGGCTATGCACATAGAGAATGGCAACTGAGGACACCTTATTCCTGAGAACTAAGGTGGCACTAAGGTTGATGGCTAGAGAGTAACTGAAAGGCCTATTTCCCACTAGGCCAGTTTAGTTCCAGCTGCCATCAACTTTTTCTAGTTAGTTCCCTTGCTCACACTCAAAATCTCAGGCATTAAAGCCCCACTGAGTTACCACAATTCATCGAGTCCTGTTTTAGAAGATGTCTAAGGCTGGGCAAGGTAGCTGACACCTGTAATCCTAGCACTTTGGGAGGCCAAGGTGGGTGGATCATGAGGTCAGGAGATGGAGACCATCCTGGCCAACATGGTGAAACCCTGTCTCTACTAAGAATACAAAAAAAAAAAAAAAAAAGTTAGCTGGGCATGGTGGCACTTGCCTGTAATCTCAGCTACTTGAGACCCTGAGGCAAGAGGATTGCTTGAACCAGGGAGTCAGAGGTTGCAGTGAGCCGAGATCACACCACTGCACTCCAGTCTGGCAACAGAGCAACTCAGTCTCAAAATAAAAAAAGAAGATGTCTGGAACTTGCATGAATATCTCTTTCTTTCCTTGTCTATGTCCCCTAGGCCTTGGGGTTAGGACTCTGAGCTGGGATTCCTCTGTAGGCTAAGACCAATCCTCATTCTTATTCCCTCCATATGAGCAATAATTTGATTTCTAATGTCTAAACTTAGGTTGATTTTCCATTGGGAGTTACAGCAACAGTCACGGGGTTCTGAGAAGCGGTGAGGGATGCTTTAGGCTGCAGGTAGCAGAAATCTGCCCAGAAAATAAAGACACGTGACTTACAGATCAGTAAGACTGGAAGTGGGGGTTCCAGGATAGGTATGGTGGCTCAACGCTGTCATGGAGGACATAGGCTCTGCCATCCTCAGTATGTGGGCTTTTCCCCTTGGTCTTGTTGCCTCGTGGTCTCAAGATGGTCCCAGCCATCTCGCCATATGTTTTTGTTTTGTTGTTGTTGTTGTTGTTGAGACGGAGTCTCTCTCTATCACCCAGGCTGGAGTGCAGTGGCATGATCTCGGCTCACTGTAACCTCCGCCTACAGGTTCAAGCGATTCTCCTGCCTCATCCTCCGAAGTAGCTGGGATTACAGGCATGTGCCAGGACATCCAGCTAATTCTGCATATTTAATAGAGACCAGGTTTCACCGTGTTAGCCAGGCTGATCTCAAACTCCCAACCTCAGGTGATCCACCCACCTCGGCCTCCCAAAGTGCTGGGATTACAGGCATGAGCCACGGTGCCTGGCCCACAATTTTTGTATTTTTAGTAGAGACGGGGTTTCACCATCTTGGCCAGGATGGTCTTGAACTCTTGACTTCGTGATCCACCTGCCCTGGCCTCTGAAAGTGCTGGGATTACAGGCGTGAGCCACCATGCCCGGGAAATGGGATGGCGTGCTGCATGGGCTGGAAATCCCTCTACGTTCTAGCAGCACAGCTAAGTCACCCACCCACTTCTAAGCCAACTGACAGCAAAGGGAACAAGTGGCAAACTGGCTGCAATGACACCCACAGGCAGGAGGTCCCCCTGGGATGGCTTCTCTCGGCCCTTTTTGGAGTCCCAGCTCAGTTCCTGCCCTGTCCTCCTTTATCCTCTCGCCAAAACCAAGCTCATTTTCCCTCCGCAAGGGGATTTTCTCCATGGCTTAGCTTATTTTGGTTTTGCTTCAATCGCCAAGTTTCTTCTCCGGTGTAATTCTGGCCAGCACACTGGTCTGACCAGGCCCTACTTGCCCTTAGGACATCTTGTTGCTCATTGATTCTACTGTCTGGTTTTTCCACTCCAATTTCCAAAAGGGGCCATCTGACTGGCCTGGCTGGCTTTCCCTACATTTGTGAGCCAGATGACTTCAAAAATCACTGGCCAGCTGTATGTGATCCTGGTCCACTGAACTGTATATCTGGGGGCTTGGGGGGTGGCAGAGAGGCAGGGTCACATGGTGTGACACAGCTGCCTGGGCAGCGGTTTCCATGGAGAGGCTGGGGGTAGCACAGGTGATGGTGCAATGGTGTAGGGTATCCATAGAGGGTTCTCAGAGCCCAGCAACTGTACAAGATGACAAGGCTACTCTGTCAGGGAGAGAGACCACATGGAAGAACATGAGGCATCAGTCATGTGACTGCAAAAGCCACTTTGGACATTTCAGCCCCAATAGCTGTGGAGGAGAGGAGACCTCAGACATAGTGGAGCAGAAATAAACTGGAACACAAGACTCACGGAGCTGAGGGCATCATCACAGATTCTTGAGTCCCAGCGGCCTCAAGGCTTCCATGGCTCAAGAATGTCCCCCAATTCCCACAGCAGAAATTCCAGTTGCTGCAGGTAGAAAGCTTGAGTTCTCTCATGAACATGGCTTTAATAGTGATTGGAAGTGTTTCTTGCCTACTGGATTTAGGATGTTGAAAAACTTTTTTTTTTTTGAGACGGAGTCTCATTCTGTCACCCAGGCTGGAGTGCAGTGGCATGATCGCAGTTCACTATAACCTCTACCTCCCAGGTTCAAGCGATTCTCCTGCCTCAGTCTCCCGAGCAGTTGGGACCACAGATGTGCGCCACCATGCCTGGCTAATTTTTTTTTATTTTGTTTTTGAGCTGGAGTCTTGATCTGTTAACCAGGCTGGACAGCAATGGCGTGATCTCGGCTCACTGCAACCTCTGCCTCCCGGGTTCAAGTGATTCTCCTGCCTCAGCCTCCCAAGTAGCTGGGATTACAGGCATGCACCACCACACCCGGCTAATTTTTGTATTTTTAGTAGAGATGGGGTTTCTCCATGTTGGCCAGGCTGGTCTCAAACACCTGACCTCAGGTGATGTGCCCACCTTGGCCTCCCAAAGTGCTGGGATTACAGGCATGAGTCACCGCACCCGGCCTTGGGAAACTTTTTGTGGCTTTGACAGGCTGAAGAAGGAACTGTGGAGGCAGGACTATTTCAAGATGGCCCTGTTACAGACAGAAAATGGGCTGGTTCTTCCAGCAAATGGAATTTTAAAATTCTTCAATGGAAAAATGAGAACTTTTAGAAACATGGGTGATGGGCAGAGCTGGATTTGAACCCCTGCTCTTCTACTTACTAGCTGCATGACCTTGGGCAAGTTATTTAGCCTCTTTAAGTCTTATTTTTTTCATTTGTAACAAGAGGATAGAAACACACCTCTTTCACAGGGTTGCTGGTAGGACTAAATGAGATACTGCATGGGAAACAATTGGCACCACTGGCCCAGGACACATGATGGTGACTGCGATTGTGAGTCACTTATGCACTTGGCAAGTGAGGGCCAAAGGCCCAGTGAGAGACCCAGCTAGAGCTTCAGGGCACTGGCTTGGCTCTTCTTAACAGGGATCTGGTGCCCTCCATGGTGGGGACTGGGGATGGGGTAGGGGTGTCTTTACAGCTCTCCATCTAGATCCAGTTTCTTGAGCAACTTTATAGAAGCCTCTCATTTTATTTATTTATTTATTTATTTATTTATTTATTTATTTATTTATTTTGAGATGGAGTCTAGCTCTTGTCACCCAGGCTGGAATGCAATGGCTTGATCATGGCTCACTGCAACCTCCGCCTCCCGGGTTCAAGCAATTCTCCTGCCATAGCCTCCTAACTAGAATTACAGGCCTGCACCACCATGCCCGGCTAACTTTTCTATTTTTTTGTAGAGACGAGGTTTCACCATGTTGGCCAGACTGGTCTTGAACTATGGACCTCAAGTGATCCACCCGCCTTGGCCTCCCAAAGTGCTGGGATTATAGGCATGAGCCACCATGCCTGGCCCTCTCATTCTCTTTAGAATGGCCTTTGCTACCCCCATGGGGATGCCTAGCTTCTCCAATAGCCTTCACCTGGTCTTTCTTCCTCCTCTCTTTATTCCTCCTCTTTCTTTCTCTCCTACTCTCTCTCTCTCTCTCTCTCAGGGTCTTGCTCTGTCACCCAGCCTGGAGTGCAGTGGTATCACATCTCACTGCCACCTCGAACTCCTGGGCTCAAGCAATCCTCCTACCTCAGCCTCCTGAGTTGCTGGGATTACAGGCATGCTCCACTACACCTGGCTAATTTTTAAATATTATTGTTTGCAGAGACAGGGTCTTGCTATGTTGCCCAGGCTGGTCCAGAACTCCTGGACTCAAGTGATCCTCCTGCTGTGACCTCCCTAAGTGCTGGGATTACAGGTATGAGCTACCATGTCCAGCCAGGTTATTAATGTCAATCTCCGTCACCTCCACCTGTTTTTGTAATTTCTTATCCAATTTGGCCTGGGGATCATCACCAGAGGAGGGATTTGAGAGGGTATTCTTTTTTTTTTTTTTGAGATCGAGTCTCACTTTGTTGCTCAGGCTGGAGTGCAGTGGCACAATCTCGGCTCAGTGCAACCTCTGCCTTCCAGGTTCAAGTGATTCTCCTGTCTCAGCCTCCCGAGTAGCTGGAATTACAGGTGCGCACCAGCATGCCCGGCTAATTTTTGTGATTTTAGTAGAGACAGGGTTTCACCATGTTGCCCAGGCTGGTCTCAAACTCCTGGGCTCAAGCAATCTGTCCACCTTGGCCTCCTAAAGTGCTGGGATTACAGGCATGAGCCTCTGCGCCTGGCTGAGGATATTCTGGAGGCTCACTGTAAATGGCATTCCAGCTATACAATTCCAGGACTTGAGCAATGAAGCCAGCAACCGGCTGTCTCCTGTGGCCTGCAGAGAACTGGGTAAATACACGAGCATCTGGTAAGCAGACAGAGAGGCAGCTGGCCAGGGAACTCCCTTTCCTTCTCTCCTGAATGCTGAATGACCTGCTGACATGTTCGGCAAGTCAAAGTTCAGCAGTGTGGAAGACTTGGCTTTCTAGGAAATGCAGTTCTCACAGGCAGCGCCAACACTAAGAACTAGTTCTTACCATCTGTGTCAAGATAACAAGAATTTTAACTTACTAGGTTTTTTTTTTTTGTACGAAGTCTTGCTCTGTCACCCAGGCTGGAGTGCAGTGGTGTGATTTTGGCTCACCGCAACCTCCACCTCCCAGGTTCAAGCAGTTCTTCTGCCGCAGCTTCCCAAGTAGCAGGGATAACAGGTGTGTGCTACCACACCCAGCTAATTTATGTATTTTCAGTAGAGTTGGGGTTTTACCATGTTGGCCAGGCTAGTGTCCAACTCCTGACCTCAGGTGATCTGCCTGCCTCGGCCTCCCAAAGTGCTGGAATTACAGGTGTGAGCCACTGTGCCTGGCTAGTAACTTTTAAAGTTAGAAGGGAGCTCCAAGGCTATATAAAACTCTGGACTTGGCTGGGCGTGGTGGGTCACGCCTGTAATCCCAGCACTTTGGGAGGCCGAGGCAGGTGGATCATGAGGTAAGGAGTTTGAGACCGGCCTGGTCAACCTGGTGAAACCCTGTCTCCACTAAAAATACAAAAATTAGCCGGGCATGGTGGCACTCACCTTTAATCCCAGCTTACTCGAGAGGCTGAGTCAGGAGAATTGCTTGAACCCAGGAGGCAGAGGTTGCAGTGAGCCGAGATCACACCACTGCACTCCAGCCTGGGCAACAGAGCAAGACTCCATCTCACAAAACAAAAACAAAAAAAACTCTGGACTTGCACACAAATTTGTTCCCTCTCAGAGGAGATTGACATTTCACCACCAACAAAAGGTGAGAGGCCTTTTCTGTCCTGTGTCCTTGAGACCCAGAACTTAGCCATATATCAATGGGATGATGTCCTCCCCAGGGGCAGGAGCAGACCCAGGTGGGACATTTCAGCACAGTCCTTAAGGTCTGTTCTCCTCGCTACCTCCAAGAACTCCTTGGCTGCCTGGGAACCAGAGTGCAACATTCATTCAACAGATACTGAGTGCATACCTACTACGAGCCAGATGCTAAGCTGGGCACTGTGGACACAGAGACAGGCCTAAGGCATAGCCTTGCTTTCAGAGAGCCCCAGGTTCACATCGAGGGTGGTCCCTGAGCTGGTCATACTTAACTAGGACTGTGAATGCACAGCTCCCCAGCAATGGTGACTTCTATTTTTTTTTTTTTTTTTTTTTTGAGAGCAGTCTTTCTCTGTTACCCACGCTGGAATGTTACCCAGTAGAATGCTCTCAGCTCACTGCAATCTCCACCTCCCGGGTTCAAGCGATTTTAGTGCCTCAGTCTCCTGAGTAGCTGGGATTATAGGTGTGCACCACCATGCCTGGCTATTTTTTTGTATTTTTAGTGGAGATGGGGTTTCACCATGTTGGCCAGGCTGGTCTTGAACTCCTGACCTCAGGTGATCTGCCCAACTTGGTCTCCCAAAGTGCTGGGATTGCAGGTGTAAGCTACCACCGCACCTGGCCAACAACACTGACTTCTTGCTTGTTCCTTGCCTTTCCATCCCCAAAATTGTTCCCAGGGCCTAGTGTAATACAGGGCAACTAGCAACAACTCTCAGGCAGAGCTGAAGCTGTGGAGACCAAGCATCGACCACCTTGGCTAATGCGGCTGGCCTGCCTGGGGCTGGAGGTTGGGAGGGGAGGAAGAGGTGGCAGTAAGTATAAGATCACCTTCCTCCCCGTGTGACCTTCAAGGGGCAACCACCCTGAAGAAGGCGGGCTACATCTTCAGTGGAAGGTAAATGACCTGAACAACAAACCCATCTGCCTAGATGACATCGTCACAGTTATAAGCAGTCTCCTGTCCACACAGTCCGCCAAGCCACCCTGAGTGTCTCAGGGTTCAAAGGATTCTTGGACCATCCAGAGGACAAGGGGCGGCCCCTCTTCAAAGATCTCTCAGTCTGCTTCAGAAGAAAAAGTCATCAAAAGATAATGAAGGGCTAAGTGTGGCATGAGTGTTAAACGGGTTTCACAGGCAGTGCATTCTCATGAAGGGAAGCAGGGGAGCAGGGCTCCAGGCTCACAGCATCCCAGGAAGGCTTCAGGGAACAGGTGGGCTTTGGGCCAGGCTTAAAGGATGGGCAGAATGCGGAGTGGCAGGGGTGGGCACCCCACTGCATTCCAGGGGGCGCTGACCATCAGCAATGACATGGCACTCAGAATACAGTTTGGGCTAAGCACGGTGGCTCATGCCTGTAATCAGAGTGCTTTGGGAGGCTGAGATGGGAAGACTCCTAGAGCCCAGGAGTTCAAGAGCAGCCGGGGCAACACCGTGAGACCTCATCTCTATAAAAAATTTAAAAATTAGCCAGGTATGCTGGCGTGTGCCTGTAGTTCCAGCTGCTCAGAAAGCTGAGGTGGGAGGATCACTTGAGCCCAGGAGGTCAAGGCTGCAGTAAGCTATAATCATGCCACTGCATTCCAGCCTAGAAATGCAGAGCAAGACCCCATCTCTTAAAAAAAAAAAAAAAAAGGTACCACTTTGGGGAAATTGCAGACTCTAAGCCTAAACTCTACTGGCCTGATACACATGGCAAAACACTTGGTCAGGATTTGCAGTAGAATATCAAAGAACTCACAGGGCAGAGGAAAGCTTCAAATATTATGAATGAGGGAAAATTTCCATTCATCTCATAATTCATACTAGAGAGACTCCCAGTGAATGGCACTAGTGGAGGAAAATCCTCAGACGGAGGCGAGCTGTTATTGGAGATGCGAAAATCACAGGGGAGGACAAAGCATAGAAGCGCGTGGAACCATGTCACAGCTTGCACCTGAAAGCATCACACGGGAGAGAACTTGCATCCTCAATGAATGGCATTCCAAAAAAGCGCAACCGCATCAAGCATCAGACAAGCCATTCTGAGCTCAGTCTTTGCAATGTAATGAATTGGGGGTGGTAATCATTTGAGAAGAAATCAGCCCTTACTCATCAGCCAATGGTTCCGACTGGAGAGAGGGCGGGTGCTCATCATGGATGATGAAGCTCTCGGGGTGCTCCGATCACATATAACAAAGGAGGCTGCAGAAGGGGCCTGAGGAGGGCTGTCAGGGGGTCCTAAGGGTACACGTGACATAAAACGTTCACAAGAGGAAAACATTTCAGATGAAAGGGGCGAACTTAGAAAGTGATTTCGGGCCGGGCACAGTGGCTTGCACCTGTAATCCCAGCACTTTGGGAGGCTGAGGTGGGGCAGGGGGAGGGGAATCACTTGAGGCCAGGAGTTCATGACAAACCTTAGCAACATAGCAAGACCCCATCTCTACCAAAAATAAAAAATAAATCAATAAAAAATTTTTAAAAGCTTTTTTTGGAACTTGTCCTCTTAGAACCAGGAATGGCTGTGGGGAACGCAGATACCCTTCAGAGGAGTCTGCTCAGAGGACACAATTGTGCACATGTGATCCTTGGGGTGACTTGCAGGGGTACCCTCATGCCATGCACAAGAATCCAGCCCAGCAGTTCTCAAAGTTTCCTTTTCCCACAGAGCTATACATTTTCTTTATCTTCCCTCCTCCTTCCTCTTTGTCCTTTGGTAAAGTCCAATGTCAATTTTTCTGTTCCTTGTCGTTGCCTTGGGAGGGTGTCCTGGCACCTGTGTGTTCACATGTTCTCTGCCTGGCCTGCCTATCAAGAGGCTGGTGGCAGGCCAGACACAGTGGCTCACCCCTGTAATCCCAGCACTTTGGGAGGCCAAGGTGGGCAGATTGCCTGAGGTCAGGAGATCAAGACCAGCCTGCCCAACACAGTGAAACCCCATCTCTACTAAAAATACAAAAATTAGCTGGGCATGGTGGTACATGGCCTGTAATCCCAGCTATTAAGGAGGCTGAGGCAGGAGAATCACTTGAACCAGGGAGTTGGAGGTTGCAGTGAACTGGGATTGCACCACTGCACTCCAGCCTGGTGACGGAGTGAGGCTCCGTCTCAAAAAACAAAACAAAAAAACCCAGACATGGTGGTGGGTGCCTGTAATCCCAGCTACTTGGGAGGCTGAGGCAGGAGAATCACTTGAACCCAGGAGGCAGAAGCGGAGGTTGCAGTGAGCCGAGATCACACTACTGCATTCTGGCCTGGGTGACAGAGTAACTCTGTCTCACAAAAAAAAAAAAAAAAAAAAAAAGGAGGCTGGTGGCCACTGGGGATCATGCCCCAGGGGATACTGTGATGGCTGCTTCATTCATTCCTTCATTCTTTTCATGTCTTTGGAGCATCTATTCCGTGCCTGGCACTACTCTTTGTCAGGGGATAGAGGAAAGGGCAACCTTGGGGAGGACAGAGGTGGGTCAGGAAGTAGCGGCTGCTACTTGAGATTGCAGGAGTGTGTGTGTGTCCCAAGGTTCCAGAGGTGAGTGAGCTTAGGCAGGGGCACTGGGAAAGAGGGAGGAAGACCCTGATCTAATGACTGCCTACCATGTGTCAGGCTGGCGGGCAATGTGTCACAGCAACCCTGCAAGCTTGGTCCCATTTTCTCACTTTGCAAATGAAGAAAATAAGGTATGTGCACAGCTGGTAAGTGGTAGAGCCAGTTCTGAGGCTGGGTCGGCCTTCCTCCAGATCCCATTTCTTTTATTTATTTATTTTTAGTTTTATTTTTTTCTGAGACAGAGTCTTGCTCTGTCACTCAGGTTAGAGTGCAGTGGCACTATCTCGGCTCACTGCAACCTCCACCTTCTGGGTTCAAGCGATTCTCCTGCCTCAGCCTCCTGAGTAGCTGGGATTACAGGTGCGGGCCACCACACCGGGCTAGTTTTTTTATTTTTAGTAGAGACAGGGTTTCACCATGTTGGTCGGGCTGGTCTTGAACTCCTGACCTCATGGTCTGCCCACTTCGGCCCCGCAAAGTGCTGGGATTACGTAGGCCTGAGCCACTGCACCTCTTTCTGGCTTCTCTAAGCAAAGCTAGAGGTTTCACCATGTTAGCCAGGCTGATCTCAAACTCTCAACCTCAGGTGGTCTGCCCGCTTCAGCCTCCCAAAGTGTTGGGATTACAGGCGTGAGCCACCACACTCGGCAAATGGGATGGCGTGCTGCATGGGGTGGGAATCCCCATACGTTCTACCAGCACAGCTAAGTCACCCGCCCACTATGCCCGGCTAATTTTTGTATTTTTAGTAGAGATGGGGTTTCACCATGTTAGCCAGGCTGGTCTCAAACCCCTGACCTGAGGTGATCCAACGGCCTTGGCCTCCCAAAGTGCTGGAATTACAGATGTGAGCCACCATGCCTGGCCTCTTTTTTTTATTTTTTAGAGACAGGGTACACCTGTCACCCAGGCTGTAGTGCACCGGCGTGATCATGGCTCACTGCAGCCTCAACCTTCTGGGCTCAAGCTATCATCTTGCCTCAGCCTCCCAAGCGCTGGGATTACAGGCATGCACCACCACACCTGGCTAATCTTTGTTTTTTGTAGAGATGGGGGTCTTACTATGTTGCCCAGGCTGGCCTCAAACAATCCTCTTGCCTTGGCCTCCCAAAGTGCTGGGATTACAGGCGTGAGCCACCGCGCCCAGCCCGAATCCCATTTCTTTCCACCATCACAAGGAACAGAACTAGTCCTTCAGCAGCACTGTTCCTTGGGATGTGTCTGCAGAGGCTTGGGAGACAATGAGAGGCACCTGGTGAACAGGGAGGGAAGGGGATGGAAGGAAGTACACTGGCTTTTGCAGACACTTCTCAGGGAACAGGGAAGAATACACTCATTCATTCCTTCATTCACACATTTAGTCAATTTTTTTTTAGAGACAGGATCTCATTCTGCCAGCCTGGCTGGAGTGCAGTGGCACAATCATGGCTCACTGCACCCTTGAGCTCCTGGGTTCAAGCGACTATCCCACCTCGGCCTCCTGAGTAGCTGGGACTACAGGTGCACGCCACCACACTTGGCTAAGCTTTTAATATTTTGAAGAGATGGGGTCTCAGTATGTTGCCCAGGCTGGTCTCAAACTTTTGGTTTCAAGTGATCCTCCCAACTTGGCCTCCCAAATTGCTGAGATTAAAGGTGCGAGCCACTGTACCTGGCCATATTTAGTAAAATCCTTACTGAGCCCTGTGGTGTGCAAAGCATGGTATCGAGGTGCTGGGCATAGGTGTGCATGAGGTTGACACGTGCTCACCCTCATGGAGCTTCCATCTGAGAAGGCAGGCAGACACTCCAGTGTGCTAAGTGGTGTGACAGGGGCTCATTGGGCCCAATGAGAAGCTCAGAGAATTACACAGACTCACAGGGTGGAGGAAGACTTCTGGGAAGAGGTAACTGCTTATGAAATACTGGGAAGGCTGGGCACAGTGGCTCACACCTGTAATACCAACACTTTGGGAGGCTGAGGTGGGAGGATCACAAGGTCAAGAGATCGAAACCAGCCTGGCCAACATGGTGGAACCCTGTCTCTACTAAAAATATAAAAATTAGCTGGGTGTGGTGTCGTGTGCCTGTAATCCCAGCTACCTGGGAGGCTGAGGCAGGAGAATCTCTTGAACCCAGGAGGTGGAGGTTACAGTGAGCCGAGATCATGCCACTGCACTCTAGCCTGGGCCACAGAGTGAGACTCCATCTCAAAAAAAAATAAAAAATAAAAAAAATAAAGAAATGCTATAAAGACCCTTCCAGAAAGGTGCATACAGGAGGGTCTGCTGGTGGCAGAGATGAGTGATAGCAATTGCAGCTGACATGAGCCCAGTGCTGTCTGGTAACAGCATGTGGGGGTGGCTGTGGCAGGGAAAAAGGCCAGAAGCAGGGCCAGGGCATCGGGGCCTGACAGGCCTTATAAGGAGTTCACAACTGGGTCCTGGGCAATGATGGGAAACCAGTGAAGAGCATGAAGCTGGGGGAGATGACCTGCGAAGCCTGAGGCTACAACACAAGGGGAGAGCTGTCCAAAGGTTCACCAAATTCAGGCCGGGTGTGGTGGCTCATGCCTGTAATCCCAGCACTTTGGGAGGCCGAGGCTTGGTGGATCACCTGAGATCAGGAGTTCAAGACCAACCTGGCCAACATGGTGAAACCTTGTCTCTGCTAAAAACACAAAAAACTATCCGGGCATGGTGGTGGGTGCCTGTAGTCCCAGCTACTTGGGAGGCTGAGGAACGAGAACCGCTTGAACCCGGCAGGCGGAGGTTGCCATGAGTTAAGATCGCACCACTGCACTCCAGCCTGGGCAACAGAGCAAGACTCTATCTCAAAAAAAAAAAAAAAAAAAAAAGGGAAAAAAGCAGCATGCAGGAAGTTCTGCCGGTGGCTGAGGTGAGTGATCGCAATTGCACCTGACATAAGGCCACTGCTGTCCAAAAACAGAGAGTGTGGGGTGGCAGGTGACAGGGAAGGAGGCCGGAAGCTGGACCAGGACATCCCGGGCCCGACAGGCCTTATGGGTCCTGGGCAATGATGGGACATTGGTGAAGGGTGTGAGGCTGGGGGCGATGACCTGCAAAGCCCAAGGCCGCAACATGAGGGCAGACGAATTCGGGCAGAATGGTCCAAGAGTGAGCACATGAGTTCTTTTTTTTCCCTCATGAACCAAGGTTTCCAAGCGGCACGCTGAGCAGTAAGCAATAAAGCTAGGAGTGACTAAGGGTGATCTGAGTGAGAGCTGCCAACACCAGGTGCCAGGGCTGAGATTTCCAGTTTTCGGGCTGATGTTCCTGAGCACATATCCCCCTTTTGTGGCTGAGAGCGCTGTTGCTGCTGAAGAGACAGGCTGAGGACCCCGTCCAGCCTCTCATCCTGAAAACCACAAGATATGGTCCAGGGGCCAAATCTACCTTGGGGACCCCAGGAGATTTCCCACTTGGTTTTTAGAAAAATCTGATTAAGGCTGGGCGCAGTGGCTCACGTCTGTAATCCCAGCACTTTGTGAGGCCGAGGTGGGAGGATAATCTAAGGTCGGGAGTTCCAGACCAGCCTGACCAATATGGAGAAATTCCATCTCTACTAAAAATACAAAATTAGCCGGGCGTGGTGGCACATGCCTGTAATCCCAGCTACTCCAGAGGCTGAGGCAGGAGAATCGCTTGAACTCAGGAGGCAGAGGTTGCCATGGGCTGAGATCGTGCCATTGCACTCTGGCCTGCGCAACAAGAGCAAAACTCCATCTCAAAAAACAAACAAAAAAAAAAAACAAAGAGAAGGCAATGTGGGGACATAGCAGAGACTGGATAAAGAGAGTACATGTGCAGGTTTGTTACATGAGTGTATCATGTGATGCTGAGGTTGGGGGTATGAATGATCCCATCACCCAGATAGTGAGCATAGTACCCAATAGGTGGCTTTTCTGCCCTTGCCTTCCCCCTCTGTTCCCTCTGCCCCCTCCAGTAGTACCTTGTGTCTGCTGTCCCCATCTTTATGTCCATATGTACCCAATGTATGTCCATATGTCCCACTTGTAAGTAAGAACATGCAGCATTTGGTTTTCTGTTTCTATGTTAATTCTCTTAGGATCACGGCCTCTAGCTGCGTCCATGTTGCTGCAAAAGTCACATTCTTTCTTATGGCTGTGTAGTATTTTACAGTGTATATGTACCACATTTTCTTTATCCAGTCCACCATTGATGGGCATCTAAGTTGACTCCATGTCTTTACTATTGTGAACAGTGCTGTGATAAACATACAAGTGCATGTGCATTTTTGGTAGAATGATTTATTTTCTTTTGGGTCTATATCAAGTAATGAGATTGCTGGGTAAATGGTAATCCTGGACAGATTCCTTGAGGCCAGGAGTTTGTGACCAGCCTGGGCAACATGACAAAACCCCATCTCTACTAAAAATACAAAGAAATTAGCTGGGCATGGTGGCACATGCCTGTGGCCCCAGCTACTTGGGAGGCTTAGATGGGAGAATCACTTGAACCCAGGAGACAGAGGTTTCAGTGAGCTGAGATCACACCACTGCACTCCAGCCTGGGTGACAGGGCAGGACTTTGTCTCAAAAAACAAACAAACAAAAAGACAATGTGAGAATGTTGAAAACTCAGAGAGAAGAGCAACTCTCACAGATAGAGATCCAGATAACATTAGCAGCTGATTTCTTGGCAGAAACCTTGAAGGCCAGTAGGCAGTGGATTATATATTTAAAATAATGAAGAAACCTGTCAATTGAGAAATCTACAGCTGGAAAACTTATCCTTCAAAAATGAGGGAGAAATTAAGACATTTCCAGATATTTTTTTTAAACTGAAAAAAATCCATTTATCCCTGAATTTGCCATTCAAGAAGTGTTAAGTCCTTCAAGTTGAAACAAATGAACTCTAGGCAATAACTATATAAGTAACTAAGCAAGCTGTATGAATATACAAAGCTCTCTGGTAAAGGTAAATACATAAACAAACATAAAAACAGTCCTATTGTAATTTTGGTTTGTAACTCTGCTTTTTATTTTCTACATAATTTAAAAGGCAAATGCATAAAATGTAATTGTAAATCTGTTAGCTGGTACACAATGAATAAAGATATAATTTGTTACATCAATAACATAAAAAGAGTAGAGCTATATATATAGCAGTAGAATTTTGGTATGTGATTGAACTTAAGTTGAAATAAATTCAAATTAAAATGTTATAACTCTAGGATGTTATATGTAATTCTCATAGTAACCAAAAACAAAATATACATAGAATATAAACAAAAGGAAATGAGACTAGAAACAAAATGTGTCACTACAAAAAAATCAACTAAAGATAAAAAAGAAATAAATAATTGAGAAAATGATTGGCAAAAATCAGTAACTCTGAGGTATTAAAACTTTCCATGCTACATAAATCTGAAAACTCTATTTCACATAAAACTGGAGCTGAAAGAGACAAATATTTACCTATAAAGTTAAAAGTTATATAGGGAACAAACACTAATTTTTTTTAGAAAAAATTATAAAAAGAGTAAAAATATGCCTTATACTATCATAATTTCATGTTTTACAGCTCTGGGAAAATAGAAAATAAAATGTTCTGTTAGCATGACTCCTTCTGTGCCCCCAAAAAACCCTATGGATTGCATCATTATTACCTAAAAAGTCTATTCTCAAATGCAGCAGAGTGATATTTTTTACAAGGTAGATATTAATTTTAGATATGGAATAATATTGGTGATTTCAATTTTATAACATTGGGTTAAGATGAAAGAATGAGAAGATAAAGGTCCCTCAGCAATATAACTCACAAACATGTTCAGAAACAGTAAGAAGTTACATTAATTATCTTTTGAAAGTCAATAATCTACATCTTTAATGTATGCATATAGCATAGCTAATGTACTATCGCTGGGTCCATTTATTCAATGAATAATTGCCGCTATGTGTCAGACATTTTTCTAGGCCTAGGAATGGATACATAAGTGAACAAAGCAAAGATTCTGGTTCTTGTAGAGTTTCCATTAAAAGACCATTTAGTAAAACTTTTCTTCCCCCAAATTATAAAATCTGTAAGATGATTTAACAACATGTATAAAAAGTCCTTGTGGGTCAGGCACGGTGGCTCATACCAGGTGTGGTGACTCACAGCACTCTGTCACACAGGCTGGAGTGCAGTGGCACAATCTCTGCTCACTACAACCTCTGCCTCCTGGGTACAAGCGATTCTCCTGCCTCAGCTTTCTGAGTAGCAAGGACTACAGGTGCACACCGTCACGCCTGGCTAATTTTTGTACTATTAGTACAGATGGAGTTTCACCATGTTGGCCGGGCTGGTCTCGAACTCCGGACCTCAAATGATCCGCCCACCTCAGCCTCCCAAAGTGCTGGAATTACCCATGTGAGCCACAATGCCCGGCCTTATTTTCTACAACTTTGGTAACTTTAGCATATACCTCAAATCTGTAAGACATAATATAATTCAAATGCAACTCATGGCTTTTCATTGTACTCTTTCTCTAGCTTTTGAATTATTTATTCTAATATCAGTTTTAATTCTGACACAAAAGCATGGGAGTTCTAATCAAAATCCAACCTTTTATCATAAAAACTATGAAGAAATTATGAGTAGAATTTAAAAAGGAAAATAGGCCTATTAATTAGATTTGTCTTTGTAGCATTTAACTCTATAATAAATAACATAATATTTTATGCCTATGAGTCCCCAACAAAGCCTCCAGCTTCTATTTAGATATAAAATGTAAAAGTCACTACTGGATCCACAAGCAAGACTATGGTAAAGAAATTTCTCCACCTAACCAGCTCCTTTTACATATGTTACATGTTTCTTTTGTTTTTTCATTTTGGCAAATATTGTCATCTTCGTGTTTGTCTATGTCCTAAGTGCTGGGATACAGAATCTGAAAAGATGGACACAGGACCTGCCTTCAAGGAGTTCACCTTTTTTTTTTTTTTTTGAGATGGAGTTTTGCTCTTGTCGCCCAGGCTGGAGTGTAATGGTGAGATCTCGGCTCACTGCAACCTCCACCTCCGGGGTTCAAGTGATTCTCCTGCCTCAGCCTCCCAAGTAGCTGGGATTACAGGTCCCGGCCACCATGCCTGGCTAATTTTTGTATTTTTAGTAGAGACAGCGTTTCATCATGTTGGTCAGGCTGGTCTCGAACTCCTAACCTCAGGTAGTCGACCCACCTCGGCCTCCCACAGTGCTGAGATTACAGGCATGAGCCACCACGCCCTGCTAGGAGTTCACGCTTTAGTTGGGGAAAATAAACAATAAGCAAGCCAATTTTTAAAATGAGAACTGCAATTAGAGTTAAATGCTACAAAGACAATCTCACAGGAAGATGGGATGTAGAATGATAAGGCTCTCAGAATAGTAACAGAAACTATTGCTTCTTACGATGCTTGTCTTTCTTTGTATCAGTGCTCAGCTGAGTCTGCAGTGCTTCAGAGGCAGCTTTCATTTTATAAAAATCTATGATTTCTCCTTCCAGTTGTTTTTTCTCTTCCTCGAGCTTCCTTATCTCCTCCTGTTGAATCATTTTAAGATGCTCGAACTTGTCGTGCAGCTGTGAAACCAATGTGCAGTTGTGACACCAAAGCACAGTGTGGCTGAACACCCAAAAGAATATGCTTTTTTCTGATTATCAAACAAACCCAAATCATCACAGTAGAGCATGATCTTAATAACAATCTCAAAAACTCAGGAGTAAACACTCAGATATGGAATTTTTCTTTTCTTTCTTTTTTCCTTTTATAAGATGGAGTCTCACTCTGTTGCCCGGGGTGGAGTGCACCGGTGTGATCTGGGCTCACTGCAACCTCCATCTCCCAGTTCAAGTGATTCTCCTGCCTCAGCCTCTTGAGTAGCTGGGACTACAGGCATGCACCACCACTACAGGCGTGTGCCACCACACCTGGCTAATTTTTGTATTTTTAGTAGAGATGGGGTTTTGCCATGTTGGCCAGCCTGGTCTCGAACTCCTGACCTCAGGTAATCCTCCCGCTTTGGCCTCCCAAAATTTTTTTTTTTTTTTTTTTTATATAGAGACAAGGTCTCAGTATGTTGCCCAGGCTGGTCTCAAACTCCTGAGCTCAAGTGATCCTCCCACTTCAGCTTCCCAAAGTGCTGGGACTGACTGGATGCAGTGGCTCATGCTTGTAAACTCAGCATTTTGGGAGGCCAAGGTGGGAGGATCGCTTGAGCCCAGGAGTTCAAGACCAGACTGGGCGATATAACACAATAGTAAACTTCAACAGGAGAGATAATCTGTAAACTTGAATATAGATCTTCTGAAATTATCCAGTCAGAGGACAAAGAAAAAAGGAGTAAAAAAGAGAAAAGAATGCTGGGCATGGTGGCTCAAGCCTGTAATCCCAACACTTTGGGAGGCCGAGGCAGGCAGATTAAGAGGTCAGGAGTTCAAGACCAGCCTGGCCAACATGACAAAACCCCATCTCTACTAAAAATACAAAAATTAGCCGGGTGTGGTGGCACACACCTGTAGTCCCAGCTACTTGGGAGGCTGAGGCAGGAGAATCGCTTGAACCCAGGAGGCGGAGGTTGGAGTGCAATGTGAGCCGAGACCACACATTGCACTCCAGCCTGGGTGACAGAGCACAACTCTGTCTCAAAGAAAAAAAAAAAAAAAAGAAAAAAAAAAGAGAAAGAGAAAAGAAAGCCAACAAGACACCATTAGGCAAACCATTGTCAGGTTATGGGAGTTTGAGAAGGAAAGTAGAGAAAGGAGAAGAAAGCTTATTTAAAGAATGGCTGAAAACTGCCTAAATCATGGGAAAGATTTAGACATCTAAATCCATGAAGCTTAAAGATTCCTAAAGAGCTTCAAACCAAATAGATACTCAACAAGTCACAATATAATCAAATAGTCAAAAGTTAAAGAAACGTTGCAGGTCAGGACAGAATCGAATAATACATTCAAAGTGCTGAAAGAAAAAAACTGCCAGCAACTAATACTATGTCTGACAAAGCTGTCCTTCAGAAAGAAAGAAGAAATAACGTGTTTCCTCGACAAACAAAGTTGAGGGCATTCAGGACCACTAGATCTACCTTAAAAAAATGCTTAAGGGAGTTTTTCAAGTAAAAATGAATGAAGTTGGGAGCGGTGGCTCATGCCTGTAATCCCATTTTGGGAGGCCGAGGTGGGTGGATCACCTGAGGTCAGGAGGTCAAGACCAGCCTGGCCAACATGGTGAAACCCCACCTCTAGTAAAAATACAAAAAATTAGCCAGGTATGAAGGCCACTGAGATCGTGCCACTGCACTCCAGCCTGGGTGACAAGAGTCCAACTACATTTCAAAAACAAAAAACAAAACAACAAAAAAAAACAAAACATGAGGCCTGGCCTTCTGCTCCTCTCCAACCCCTCCTTCTCTGGGCCCAAGCCACCTTGGCTGAGGAGGGGGCTGAGGAGGTGTGAGCCCCTGCCAGGAACCCCCTGCCCGGACCAAGTACTCGGCCCACAGGCCTGCGTCCAGCGAGGCCTCTCGTGGCGTCAGCATGTTCATGTGGAGGAATGTGGAACCTCGCTCTGTGGCCATGTTCCCCTGGTACTCCGTCCCCTTCCTGACCCCTCCCTGCAGCCACACGAGGCCCGGCAACCTGCCAGTCACTCAGTGGCCTCCAACCAGAGCAAACAACCTGCCAAGTTGGCAGCTGTTGCTCATGAGCGTCCACCAGGTGGGACAGGGAGTGTTGACCCTGCGCGGCCCCCTGGAGCCACCTGCCCTGAAAGCCCAGGGCCCGGAACCCCACACACTTTGGGGGTGGTGGAACCTGGTAAAAGCCCACCTCCCACCATGGAGGAGGAGCCCTGGGCCCCTCAGGGGAGTCCCTGCTGGACAGTGAGACAGAGAATGACCACGATGAAGCTTTCCTCTCCGTCATGTCCCCTGACACCCAGTTGCCTCTACCACTCAGATGATGTCAGGCCCAGTCCCTCAGTGCCCTGCGCAAGGAACAGGACTCATCTTCTGAGAAGGATGGATGCAGCCCCAACAAATGGGACAAGGACCACATCCGGTGGCCCATGAGTGGTGGTCATGATCTTCAGCAAGCGGCACCAGGCTCTGGCAGGGCGCACCAGGGTCACCCCAACCAGGATAACTGGACCGTCAGCCAGATCCTGAGCAAGCGGTGGTACACCCTGGGGCCCAATGAGACGCAGAAGTGCTACGACCTGGCCTTCCAAGTGAAGGTGGCCCACTTGCAACAAGGACCGAAAGAAGTCCAGCTCAGAGGCCAAGCCCACAAGCCAGGGGCTAGCAGGAGTGTACAAGGGCTCGTGGGAGCGGAGCATATCAGAGACGGGCACTGCCACTGCCCCTGGGGTGTCCTCTGAACGCCTGTCAGTTGCGGCCCAGACACTCCAGAGCTCGGATACCAAGGAGCAGCTTCTGTGGGGCAGGACGGCTGCACACAGTCAGGGAACCTGGCTCAGCCTGGCCCAAGCCTTCTCCCACAGCAGGGTACACAGCCTGGACGGCAGGGAAATAGACCGTCAGGCACTACAGGAACTGACACAGGTGGTGTCTGGCACTGCATCATACTCTGGCCCAAAGCCTTCTACTCAGCATGGAGCTCCAGGCCACTTTGCAGCCCCTGGTGAGGGAGGTGACCAGTGGGCAGCCCTGCTGCTGCCCACCTGAGCTGCTCATTCCCAGCACATGGCCGGTGAGGACACAGCGAGTGACGAGGAGCCCATGGTCATCCATGAGGAGGAGGGCGTGATGATGTCATTGCTGATGACGGCTTTAGCACCACTGACACTGATCTCAAGTTCAAGGAGTGGGTGACCGACTGAGAGTGGGGACGACTCTGGGGAGGAGCCAGAGGGCAACAAGGGCTTTGGTGGGAAGGTATTTGCACCTGTCATTCCTTTACTCCTGCCGCCCCTTGCTGGATCCTGAGCCCCCAGGGTCCCCCGATCCACCTGCAGTTTTTGGCAAAGTCTATGGTCCCACCCCGTCCTCCTCCTACACACTCCTATGCTTCCTCCTCAACCTTGGCACCCACCTCCTTACTGGGCCCAGGAGCCTTCAAAGCCCAGGAATCTGGTCAGGGCAGCAGAGTGGGCCCATGGCCCCCACCCCTGGGGATGGGGGCCCAGGGACGCCTTCCAAGGCGACCTGTTTCCTCCCAATGGATCCTGCCACCTTCTGGTGCAAGAGACCTGAAAGTGTGGGCAACCTGGAGCTACCAGGCCCCTCAGTCATCACGGTCCCTCCCAACACTAAGGCTTTCCTAGGCAGAAGCTGGGCTGAGCCACCCGGGGGGCAGAGCCTGAAGAGGAGAAACTGACTGGGCTTTGGGGGTCAGGGCAGAGGGAACCCCACGGACATGGATCCCGCACTGGAGGACCCCACCACGCTCAAATGCAAGATGAGAAGATGCTCCAGCTGCAGCCCAAAGCCCAACACCCACAAGTGTACGATGTGTGATGGGGACAGCTTCCCCTTTGCCTGTACAGGTGGGAGAAGCCGAGGACGGGCTCAGGGAACCAGAGACCGAGAAGGCAGTGTCTTCACTGCACGTGCCCTGGACCAGTGCCGGCCCTGATCATGCAGCTCTTCCAGGCCTACTGCTTCTTCCTGTCCACTAGGCCACAGCCGCCCTCCAGGCCCACTATGCACACATCCTCCCCTCCAAGGTTTGTTCTGCCCCTGCCCTGACTCCCAGCCCTGTGGGGGTCCTGACCCCACCTCACCTGGCTCAGACTCTGACGCTGCCCTGGCTGCCCCACCACTGCCTCTGCCCGAGAGTCACGTGAGGCTGAGAGTAGAGGCAGGGGCAGCAGTGGTGCCAGTTGGGGGGCGGTCCAGTGGGAGGAGCCTCAGCCTCGCGGGCTGCTCCGTGGGACTGATGACTGCATGATCTTCTGGGCACCTCACGGATCTTCAACTGCAGGTGAAACGGATGCTGGTGGTGAGTGCAGGGCCGCTGGGAGCCGCTGCATGGGTCCCAGAGGCTGGACTGGAGCAGGTGCCAACTGAAGCTGCTGGGGCAGCATGAGCAGGATGTTCTGCACACAAACCTTGGAGAAGAAGATGTGTGCATAGCGGGTCCACTGCTGCTGCCCCTGCCCTGACTCCCAGCCCTGTCTGACCCCACCTCACCCTGCTCAGGCTCTGGCGCAACCCTGGCTGCCCTGCCACTGCCTCTGCCCCAGAGTTGGGGCCTTGACAGCCTGGCTGGAAGGGGACACCCCAGCCCTGCCTCAACACCTGGGGGTCTCCATAACTACCACAGGCAGGTGGGCGACCCCAAAGAAAGATCCCAGGACTCACAGTACCCCCTGAGAACATGGACAGTATGTGGGGGTAGCAATGGAGGGCAGGATGGTTATCTTCTCCTGGGTAAAGCCATTTAATCCTTTCAGTCTGGGACAGAATAAGGCCTGCCTCTTTCTTTTGAGACGGAGTCTTGCTCTGTCGCCCAGGCTGGAGTGCAGTGATGCGATCTTGGCTCACTGCAACCTCTTCCTGCTGGGTTCTCCTGCCTCAGCCTTCCGGGTAGCTGGGATTACAGGTGCACGCTACCACGTCCGGCTAATTTTTGTATTTTTAGTACAGATGGGGCTTCATCATCTTGGTCAGGCTGATTTCGATCTCCTGACATCGTGATCCACCTGCCTCCACCTCCCAAAGTGCTGGGATTACAGGCGTGAGCCACCACACCTGGCCAAGGCCTGCTCCTCTTATATATACCCCCTAGCCCTGCAGCTGTGCCGGGGAAAGCTGGGCAGTTTCCCTCCTCCGAGCCCCTGTACATACCATGAAGTGTGGGACCTTCAGAGCTTTTCACTTTTCGGAAAATAGCTCCTGCTGGGGCTACAAGATGGAGTGTGAAGAGGGCCTTGGGCCACAGGGAGGCGCCTGTGGAATAGGGGGAGTTCATGCACCCTTTCTTTCCCCAGAGGGGCTGGACTCAGGTGAGTATGGGGGTGGGGGCTCCTGCACTTCGACACAGGCAGCGGGAGGGTTTTCTCCCCATTTCCTCTGCACTCCCAACTTGAGCTGTACTTTTTAAGAAAGTGATTCACCCTGCCTTTGCCCCCTTCCCCAGAACAGAACACGTTGATCATGGGTGGTATTTTTCATTGTGCCAAAAAGTTGCCATGACCGTCATTAAACCTGTTTAACACCAAATAATAAGGAAAATAAAATAAAAAATTCAGGCTTGGTGCAGAAACTCACTCCAAATAAATTACATACGAAAATATTTATATAATGGTAGCAATATTCCAAAATTCCATATTTTGGGATTTATACACAAAAGATAAACAAATTAGAGGCCAAAAGGCTGCCGGAAGGGAAAAACGGGGCCTGGAAAGGCCGTTGTGAGGAATGAGCTGGGCCTAAAGAGGCCACTGGCAGGCAGGAGCTGGGCCTGCCAAAGCGGCCGAAAGGCAGGAGCTTTCGACTGGGGAGGCCGCAGTGAGGCGAGAGCTAGCTGGGCGTGGAGAGTCCGCTGTGAGGCTGAGGCTGGGCCCGTGCAGGCCTTCGAGAGGCAGGAAGCCGGGCCTGCAAAGGCCGACTGGAGGTCAAGTTCTGGGCCTGAAGAGGCCACCAAAAGTCAAAAGCGGGGCCTGGGAAGGCTGCTGAGAGCCATGAGCTGGGCTGGGCCAAAAGAGGCCACTGGGAGGCAGGAGGAGCTGGGCCTGGAGAGGCTGACTCGAGGAAGTTTTGCACCTGGAGAGGCCAAGAGGACGGAGCTGGGCCCAGGGAGGCCAACTTGCAGCTCTTCCAGGCCCACTTCCAGGCCGACTTGAGGACAACTTAGGCCTGCAGAGGCTGCCGGGAGGCTGGAGCTGGACCTGGAGAGGCCGACTTCAGGACGATTTGGGCCTGCAGAGGCCGCCGGGAGGCCCAAGCTGGGCCTAGAGGAGCCCACCGACCGGAGGCCGTTTGGGACCTGGAGATGCCATCGGAGGGCAGGAGCTGAGCCTGGCGAGGCCACCGTGAGGCCTGACCTGGGCCTGGGGAGCTTGGCTTCAGGAAGTTGTGGGCCTACCAGGGCCACTGGGAGCTGGGCAGGAGCTGAGTCCAAAGAGGTTGTTGGGAGGCCGGAGTCGGGCCTAGAGACGCAGCCGGGAGGAAGAGCTGGGCCCGGAGAGGACGCCGGGAGGTTGCAAGTGGGTCTGGAGAGGCCTGGCCTCTGCCTCCCGCATGGCGGCCTCTGCAGGCCCAGCTGTTCCTCCCGGCTGCATCTCCCGGCCCACCCCCTGCCTCCCAGCAAGCAAGCTCTTTTGGCTCAGCTCCCGCCGGCGTTTGTAGACCCCGAAGTTTCTGCAGCCAAGCTCTTCAGGCCCACATCCTGCCTCCCAGTGGCCTGTACAGTCCCAGCTCTGGCAGGAGAAGAGCGTCTGCAGGCCCCACTGTTGCCTCCCAGGGGCGTCCCCAGGCCCAGCTCTCGCCCCACCGCGGCCGCCCGGGGCCATGTCCCTGCCTGCTCCCGGCAGCCTGCGTGCGGCCCTGCTCCTCCCTCACGGTGGCCTGTTGAGGCAGGGGCTCACGCTGACCTCTCTCAGCCTGGGAGGGGCCGGTGTGAAGCAAGGGCTCATGCCGACCTCTCTCAGCATGGGAGGGGCCAGTGTGAGGCAAGGGGTCAGTGTGGGAGGGGCCGCTGTGAGGCAAGGGGTCAGCGTGGGAGGGGCCGGTGTGAGGCAAGGGGCTCACGCTGACCTCTGTCAGTGTGGAGGGGCCGGTGTGAGGCAAGGGGCTCACGCTGACCTCTGTCAGTGTGGGAGGGGCCGGTGTGAGGCAAGGGGCTCACGCTGACCTCTGTCAGTGTGGGAGGGGCCGGTGTGAGGCAAGGGGCTCACGCTGACCTCTGTCAGTGTGGGAGGGGCCGGTGTGAGGCAAGGGGCTCACGCTGACCTCTGTCAGCATGGGAGGGGCCGGTGTGAGGCAAGGGATCAGCGTGGGAGGGGCCAGTGTGAGGCAAGGGGCTCACACTGACCTCTGTCAGCATGGGAGGGGCCGGTGTGAGGCAAGGGATCAGCGTGGGAGGGACCGGTGTGAGGCAAGGGGTCAGCGTGGGAGGGGCTAGTGTCAGGCAAGGGGCTCACGCCGACCTCTGTCAGCGTGGGAGGGGCTGGTGTGAGGCAAGGGGTCAGCGTGGGAGGGGCCAGTGTGAGGCAAGGGGCTCACGCCAACCTCTCTCAGCGTGGGAGGGGCCGGTGCGAGGCAAGGGGCTCAGGCCGACCTCTCTCAGCGTGGGAGGGGCCGGTGCGAGACAAGGGGCTCACGCCGACCTCTCTCAGCATGGCAGGGGCCGGTGCGAGGCAAGGGGCTCATGCAGACCTCTCTCAGCATGGGAGGGGCCGGTGTGAGGCAAGGGGCTCATGCGGACCTCTCTCAGCGTGGGAGGAGCCAGTGTGAGGCAGGGACTCATGCCTCTGGACAGGGTGTCAGAGGCATGCGTTGGGCATCAACAGGCCACCGTGAGGGAGGAACTGGGCTGCACGCGGGCTGCCGGGAGGCAGGCAGGGACTTGGCCCCGGGAGGCCGCCGTGGGGGCGAGAGCTGGGCCTGGAGAGGCCTCTGGGAGGCAAGAGCGGAGCCTGCAGAGGCTGTTCTACAGCCAGAGCTGGGCCTGTACAGGCCACCGAGAGGCAGTAGGCGGGCGCGAAGAGCTTGGCTCGAGAAAGTTCGGGGCCTACAAAGGCGGCTGGGAGCTGGGCAGGAGTTGAGCCAAAAGAGCTTGCTTACTTGCTGGGAGGCAGGGCCGGGAGACGCCGACTTCAGGACGACTTGGGCCTGCAGAGGTCACCGGGAGGCCCAAGCTGGGCGTGGAGGAGCCCACTGACCGGAGACCATTTGGGGCCTGGAGACGCCATCGGAGGGCAGGAGCTGATCCTGGAGAGGCCACCGTGAGGCCTGACCTGGGCCTGGGGAGCTTGGCTTGAGGAAGCTGTGGGCCGACCAAGGCCGCCAGGAGATGCGCAGGCGCTGAGTCCAAAGAGGTTGTTGGGAGGCAGCAGTCGGGCCTGGAGACGCAGCCGGGAGGAAGAGCTGGGCCCGGAGAGGACGCCGGGAGGCTGCAAGTGGGTCTGGAGAGGCCGACTTGAGGAGGCCCGGCCTCTGCCTCCCGCATGGCGGCCTCTGCAGGCCCAGCTGTTCCTCCTGGCTGCATCTCTCGGCCCAGCTCCTGCCTCCCAGCAAGCAAGCTCTTTTGGCTCAGCTCCCGCCGGCGTTTGTAGACCCCGAAGTTTCTGCAGCCAAGCTCTTCAGGCCCACATCCTGCCTCCCAGTGGCCTGTACAGTCCCAGCTCTGGCAGCAGAAAGCATCTGCAGGCCCCGCTGTTGCCTCCCAGGGGCGTCTCCAGGCCCAGCTCTCGCCCCACCGCGGCCAAGTCCCTGCCTGCTCCCGGCAGCCTGCGTGCGGCCCTGCTCCTCCCTCACAGTGGCCTGTTGAGGCAGGGGCTCACGCTGACCTCAGCGTGGGAGGGGCCAGTGTGAGGCAAGGGCTCACGCTGACCTCTCTCGGCGTGGGAGGGGCCGCTGTGAGGCAAGGGGCTCATGCTGACCTCTCTTGGCATGGGAGGGGCCGGTGCAAGGCGAGGGGCCAGTGTGAGGCAAGGGGCTCACACCGACCTTTGTCAGCGTGGGAGGGGCCAGTGTGAGGCGAGGGGCCAGTGTGAGGCAAGGGGCTCATGCGGACCTCTCTCAGCATGGGAGGGGCCGGTGTGAGGCAAGGGGCTCACGCCGACCTCTCAGCGTGGGAGGAGCCAGTGTGAGGCAGGGACTCACGCCTCTGGGCAGGGTGTCAGAGGCATGAGTTGGGCATCAACAGGCCACCGTGAGGGAGGAACTGGGCCGCACGCGGGCTGCCGGGAGGCAGGCAGGGACTTGGCCCCGGGAGGCCGCCGTGGGGGCGAGAGCTGGGCCTGGAGAGGTCCCTAGGAGGCAAGAGCGGGGCCTGCAGAGGCTGTTCTACAGCCAGAGCTGGGCCTGTACAGGCCACCGAGAGGCAGTAGGCGGGCGCGAAGAGCTTGGCTCGAGAAAGTTCGGGGCCTACAAAGGCGGCTGGGAGCTGGGCAGGAGTTGAGCCAAAAGAGCTTGCTTACTTGCTGGGAGGCAGGGCCGGGAGACGCCGACTTCAGGACGACTTGGGCCTGCAGAGGTCACCGGGAGGCCCAAGCTGGGCGTGGAGGAGCCCACTGACCGGAGACCATTTGGGGCCTGGAGACGCCATCGGAGGGCAGGAGCTGATCCTGGAGAGGCCACCGTGAGGCCTGACCTGGGCCTGGGGAGCTTGGCTTGAGGAAGCTGTGGGCCGACCAAGGCCGCCAGGAGATGCGCAGGCGCTGAGTCCAAAGAGGTTGTTGGGAGGCAGCAGTCGGGCCTGGAGACGCAGCCGGGAGGAAGAGCTGGGCCCGGAGAGGACGCCGGGAGGCTGCAAGTGGGTCTGGAGAGGCCGACTTGAGGAGGTTCTGGGTCCGCAGAGGCCGCCGGAAGGGAAAAACTGGGCCTGGAAAGGCCGTTGTGAGGAATGAGCCCCATGGGCCTGAAGAGGCCACTGGCAGGCGGGAGCTGGGCCTGCCAAAGCGGCCGAGAGGCAGGAGCTTTGGACTTGGGAGGCCGCAGTGAGGCGAGAGCTAGCTGGGCGTGGAGAGTCCGCTGTGAGGCTGAGGCTGGGCCTGTGCAGGCCTTCGGGAGGCAGGAGGCCGGGAAGGCCGCCGGGAGGCATGAGCTGGGCTGGGCCGAAAGAGGCCGCTGGGAGGCAGGAGGAGCTGGGCCTGGAGAGGCTGACTCGAGGAACTTTTGCACCTGGAGCGGCCGCCGAGAGGCCGGAGCTGGGCCTGGGGAGGCCGACTTGAGGACGACTTGGGCCTGCAGAGGGCACCGGGAGGCAGGAGCTGGCCCTGGACAGGCCGACTTGACAACAGTCTGGGCCTGCAGAGGCCGCCGGGAGGAAGAGCTGGGCCTGGAGAGGCCGACTGGAGGAAGTCCAGAGCCTGGAGAGGATGCAAAGCAGCAAACGCTAGGCCTGGAAAGGCTGCCCTGAGGCACGGGCTTGGCCTACAGAGGCCACTGGGAGGCAGGAGCTGGGCCCGCAGAGGCTCCCGAGAGCGGGGAGCATTGCCCCAGGAGGCCACGGTGAGAAAGAGGTGGGCCTGGAGAGCCCACTGTGAGGTAGAGGCTGGGCCTGTAGAGGCCGCCGACAGGCAGGGGCTGGGCCCGTTGAGGCCACGAGAGGCATGAGCTGAGCCTCAAGAGGCCAGTGTGAGGCAGGAGCTGACACTTGGGCAGGTTGCAAGAGGCATGAGTTGGGCGAAAAGAGGCCACCGTGAGGGAGGAGCTGGGCCCGTACAAGTTGCCGAAAGGCAGGCGCAGCTTTGGACTGGAGAGGCAGCAGACAGGGAAGAGCTGGGCATGGAGAGTCTGCTGTGAGGCAGAGGCTGGGCCTGTACATGCCCTCGGGAAGCAGGAGGCTGGGCCTGGAGAGGCCGACTTGAGGCAGTTTTGCTCCTGCAGAGGCCACTTACAGACAAGAGCTGGGTGTGAAGAGGCTGACTTGAGGTCGATTTTGGCCTGCAGAAGCCACCGGTAGCTAGGAGTTGGCCCTGGAGAGGCTGACTTGAGGACAATTTTGGCCTGTAGAGGCCACTGGGAGGGAGAGCTTGGTCTGGAGAGGCCAACTGGAGTAAGTTCAGGGCTTGGAGAGGATGCACAAAAGGAAATGCTCAGCCTGGAAAGTGTGCTGTGAGGCATTAGCTTGGCCTACACAGCACTTGGAGGCAGGAGCTGGGCCTGCAGAGGGTGACTTCAGGACGATTTTGGCCTGCAGAAGCCTTTGGGAGGAAGAGCTTGGCCTGGACTGGCTGACTGGAGGAAGTTTTGGGACCGGAGTATGCGTCAAAAAGCAAAAGTTAGGCTAGGAAAGGCCACTTCGCGGCATGATCTTGGCCTACAAAGGCAATTGCGAGGCAGGAGCTGGGCCTGTAGAGGCTGCCGAAAGGCAGGAGCTTGGCCTTAGGAGGCTATGCTCAGGCAAGTGGTGGGCCTGGAGGGTCTACTGTGTGGTAAGAGTCTGGGCCTGTGTAGGCCGACATGAGGCAGGAGCTGAGTTAGGAGAGGCCAACTTTTGGAGAATTTGGGCCTGCAGAGCCTGCCAGGAGGCAAGAGCTGTGCCTGGAGAGTCTGTCTTTTAGCAAGAGCTGGGCCTAAAGAGACCATTGTGAGGCAGCAGCTGCCTGGGAGGCAGGCAGATTCGTGGCCTGGGGAGGCCACCGTGAGGCAAATGCTCAGTTTTCGGAGGATGCTGTGAGGCAGGGAGAAACTTGGCTTTCGGTGGCCGCAGTGAGGGAATAGTTTGATTGCTGAGGCTGCCGGGAGGCCGAAGGTGGGCCTGGAAAGCTTTACTTTAAGAACTCTGTGGCCTACAGAGGCTGCCAAGCAGCTCAGCAGGAGTTGGACCAAAGGAGGTTGTTGTGAGGCAGGAGACGGGCCTGTAGACGCACTGGGAGGATGAGCTCGTCCTGGAGACGCCGAGTTAAGGACATTCTGGGCCTGGACAGGCTGCAAAAGGCAAAAGCTGTGCCTGGAAAAGTCGCCGTGGGGCATGAGCTTGGCCTAAAGAGGCCATTGCAAGGCAGGAGCTGGGCCCGTAGAGGCTGCTGAAAGGCAGGAGCTTCGCCTGAGGATGCCACAGTGAGACACCATCTGGGTCTGGAGGGTCCACTGTGAGGCAGAGGCTGGCCTGTAGAGTCCGACAGTAGACAGAAGTTGGGCAAAAGGCTGATTTGAGGAAGTTTTGGGCTTCAAGAGTCAGCCAGGAGGCAGGCACTAGGCCTGGAAATGGCCCGACAGTCATGAGTTGGGCCTAAATGGGCCACTGTGAGGGAAGAGCTGTGCCTGTTGAGGCTGCTGGCAGGCAGGCAGAAACTTGGCCTGGGGCAGCCGCCATGAGGCAAGAGCTGGGCCTGGAGAAGCCCCTGGGAGGCAAGAGCAGGGCCTGCAGAGGCTGTTCTCAAGTCAAAGCTGGGCCTGTTCATGCCACCAGGAAGAAGGCAGGCCTGGAGAGTTTGACTTGAGGAAGTTTTGGGCCTACATTGGTCGCTGTGAGCTGGACAGGAACTGGGCCAAAAAAGGCTGTTGTGAGGCAGCAGTTGTGCCTGTAGACTCAGCCCAGAGGAAGAGCTGGGCCTGGAGAAGCCCCCATGAGGCAGAGGTTGGGCCTGTAGACGCTGACAGGAGGCAGGAGCTGGGCCTGGAGAGGTCAACTTGAGGAGATTTTGGGCCTTCATAGGCCACCAGGAGGCAGCAGTTGGGACTAGAGAGGCTGACTTGAGGAAGTTTTGGGCCTGGAGATGACGTCCTGGGACAGGAGCTGGGCCTGGAGAGGCCACCGTGAGGCAAGAGCTGGATGTAGACAGGCCAGTGTGAGGCAAGACCTGGGCCTGTCTAGGCTGCTGGGAGACAGGCAGGAATGTGGCCAGGGAAGGTTGCCATGAGACAAAAGTTGGGCCTGGAAAGGCCCTTGTGAGGCATGAGCTTGGCCTAAAGAGGCCACTGGGTGGCAGGAGCTGGGTGTGTAGAAGCTGCTGAAAGGTTGGGAGCTTGGCTTGGGTGGTCCACAGTGAGGCAGATACTGGGCCTGAAGAATCTGCTGTGAGGCAGATGTTGGGACTGTAGAGGCTGACAGGAGGCAGAGGCTGGGCCTGGAGAGGCTGCCAAGATGCAGGAGCTGGGCCTGGAGAGGCTGCCAAGAAGCATGAGCTGGGCCTGGTGAGGTCGACTTGAGAAAGCTCAGGGCCTGGAGAGAAGGCTGGGAGGCAGGAGCTGGGTCTAAAGAGGCCATTGTAACGGTGGAGCTGTGCCTGTGGAGGCTGTTGTGAGGCAGTAGCCTCATCTGCAGAGACTGCCGTGAGGTAGGGTATGGGCCTAAATAGGCCATTGTGAGTCATGAGCTTGGTCTGTGGAGGCTGACTGGAGAAAGTTCTGGGCCTGGAGAGGCTGCCGGGAGGTAGGGGCTGGGCCAAAAGATTTAAGCACATTACATTTATTAGACACTTTATTTCCATTATTACACTGTAATATATAATAAAATAATTATAGAACTCACCATAATGTAGAATCAGTGGGCGTGTTAAGCTTGTTTTTCTGCAACTGGATGGTCCTACCTGAGCGTGATGGGAGAAAGTGACAGATCAATAGGTATTAGATTCTCATAAGGACAGCGCAACCTAGATCCCTCACATGCACGGTTCACAACAGGGTGCGCTCTCCTATGAGAATCTAATGCTGCTGCTCATCTGAGAAGGTGGAGCTCAGGCGGGAATGTGAGCAAAGGGGAGTGGCTGTAAATACAGACGAAGCTTCCCTCACTCCCTCACTCGACACCACTCACCTCCTGCTGTGTGGCTCCTTACGGCTCCATGGCTCAGGGGTTGGGGACCCCTGCTCAAGTGCATCCAAAACAACCCTTCCCACACCAGTCTTCACAGTGGTCAAGTGCAGCAACCACTTAGCTCCCAAGGCATGTGCCTCAGCTGGCATTTCGTCACAATCAACAGTAAGTGGTAGCTTGAGTCATTGTGAGGTCACTTCCTGGAAATCACCAGCATCCCATTTCCCACTGGCAAAGAGCTCAGCACTGCCCCCTGGGAAACCAAACCTATGCCCAAATCCCATCTGTGTGGGTTTATCTCCTGGGACCCTTCCTAACATATTAGAGTCCAATCAGGAAGCATAAACTGCTCAAAAGTTTAAAGTGGTAAAATTTAATACAGAGAATTATTCATTATAACAGGTGAACAGCATAATGAGAGATTGGCTAGCACAAAGTAAAGAGAACTCTAGAGAATATAGGACTAGCCCAGGCCAGGCATGGTGGCTCATGCCTGAAATTCCAGCAATTTGAGAAGCTAATGCAGGAGGATTGCTTAAGGCCAGGAGCTAGAGACCGGTCTGGACAATACAGTGAGACCCTGTCTCTATCCAAAAAAAGAAAAAAATTAGCTGGGAGTGGTGGTGCACACTTGTAGTCCCAGCTACTCGGAATGCTGAAGTTTGAGCCTGGGAGGTCAAGGCTGCAGTGAGGCATGATTATGCCACTACAGTCCAGCCTGGTGACAGAGCAAGACCCTGTCTCAAAGAACAAAACAACAACAACCATTTACAGACAGAAAAGAAATAGAGCTAATAAGCTAAGGGAAGATGTTGAAATGTGACAAGTAAAGTAATATGAGGTCTTTTATCTATTTAAAATAATCAAACAAAAAATGACTTACTAAATTATAATACCCTGTGCTGGCAAAGGTGCAGTGAAATGGGCACTTTCTTATACTATGAGGGATGTTTAAATTGTGTATAAGCCTTCCAGGGTAAAGCTTGTCAATTTTTAAAAATAATACAGACAGGGTCTCACCATACTGCCATATTGCCTCCTCCAACTCTTGGCCTCAAGCAATCCTCCTGTCTTAGCCTCCCAAAGTGCTAAGATTATAGCTGGGAGGCACCCAAAACCTTGTCCATTTACATCAAGGGTAAGGAGAATGTCCATTCACCATGACTCACAGTAATCTTACTTCTGGGGAGACAATTCAATCTCAACAAAAGGTCATCTGTACAAACACAGTAAAAATCTGGGGAGTAACTGAAGACAGAGTTGGTAAGTGAAATAAGAAACAGTTATAAGAAATTAAACTATGGTATCAATAGGCACCTGGTAAAAGGTCAGTTGATGTTAGCTGCTACTTTTTTGTTGTTCTGAGACAGGGTCTCACTCTGTCACTGAGGCTGGAGTGCAGAGGCCTGATCATGACTCACTGCAGTCTCAGCCTCCTTGGGCTCAAGTGATCCTCCCAGCTCAGCCTCCCAAGTAGCTGGGACTACAGGAACATGCCACCACACTAGGCTAACTCATGTATTTTTCTATAGGGATGGTGACTCCCTTTGTTTCCAAGGCCTATCGCAAACTCTTGGCCTCAAGCCATCCTCCTGCCTCAGCCTCCCAAAGTGTTGCGATTACCAGTGTGAGCCACCACACCTGGCCAGCTGCTACTTTTATCAATATTATTATTCCACTCAATTAAAAATTATTATTTTCAAGGCTATGCAACAGTATGTATCTTACAGCGTAATTGTAAAAACATATACTGTTGTCCCTCAGTATACAGAATTAGTTCCAGCCCCCCATCTCTGCATATACCAAAATCCATGCTTACTCACGTTTCGCTGTCACCCCTCTGGAATCCACGTATAGGAAAATTCCAAATATTAGTTGGGCATAGTGGCAAGCACCTATAGTCTCAGCCACGTGGGAGGTTGAGATGGGAGGATCGCTTCAGCCTGGAAGGTTGAGGCTGCAGTCAGCTGTGATAGCACTACTACACTCCAGCCTTGGACAAGAGAGGGAGACCCTGTCTCAGAAAAAAACAAAACAAACTAAAACAGGTTAGAAATTGTAATGAGGTCTGTTGGGCAAAATTCCATATAAGCAAAGTATAAATTAATAAAGCAAATGGTGATAAATTAGTATGATTGACTTTCTGGAGTTTCTGACAATAAAAGTAAGGAAAATGCAAAACACAAAGACAGAGAGTAAAAAGAGAAATTAGGAAAGCATTCTACATGTTTAATAGGAAGACACTGGCCATGTTCGTGCAGCGGCAGTATGTCATGATATGACATACCTTGGAGAGAAGTTAACAGATGAGGAAGTTGATAAAAATGATCAGAGAAGCAAAATACTGGTAGCGACACTCAAGTAAACCATGAAATTTCCATAACTTATGTCAGCAAAGTGGGAATATTGTACAGTGTGTGTTGAAGTTCCTATACAACATTGTTTATCTGCCTTTTGTTTGTTTGTAAGGAATGTATATACTAAAAGTTCTTCTTGCTATCAAAAGAATATGTGTGAATAAGTCATTTTAACTTATTCTTCTGTTTTATCTTCCTGCCATCATCCCACAGCCTTACTTTAGAAATTTTTTTTTTAGAAAATTGAACAAGTGCTCCTTGTGATGGCACATACCTCTAGGATGGGAGGCAGGGGTGGAAGGGTCACTTGAGGCCATGAGTTTGACACCAGCCTGGCCAACAAAGTGAGACCCCATGTCTACAAAACAATTTAAAAATTAGCCAAGTATCGTCATGTATATCTACAGTCCCAGCTACTCAGGAGGCTCAGGTAGGAGGATCCTTAGCCCAGGAGTTCAAGGCTGCAGTGAGCTGTGATAGCACTACTGTACTCAAGCCTGGGTGACAGGGTGAGACCCCATCTCCTAAAATAAAAAACAAAGAAAAAAAATAGTTCAAGTAGCAAGTTGTATGTGGCTTACTCTGAATATTTCTAAACTAGAAATTCTCAATCTTTTGGGGTCTAACATCCCTTTACATTTTTTAACTTTATTGAAGAACTCTAAGACTATTTCTTTCTGTAAATAATTATATTAAAACTAGAAAATAAGACAAAAATTTTTAAATATTATTCATCACATATTAAAGCCATTACATGTTGATATAATACAAGATTTTAAAAATATTTAATATTCATCACATATTAATAATAAAACCATTACATGTTGATATAATACTTTTGTTTTTTTCTTTGAGACAAAGTCTTGTTCTTTTGCCCAGGCTGGAGTGAAGTGGCGCAATCTCAGCTCATTGCAACCTCCGCCCCGCAGGTTCAAGCGATTCTCCTACCTCAGCCTCCCAAGTAGCTGGGATTACAGGCGCCCACTACCATGTCCGGCTAATTATTGTATTTTCTTAGTAGAGAAGGAGTTTTCTTAGTAGAGAAGGCTGGTCTTGAACTCTTGACCTCAGGTGATCCATCCGCCTGGGTCTCCCTAAGTGCTGGGATTACAGGTGTGAGCCACCGCACCCACCCCGATTAATATATGTTTTAAAACACTGATTAGACATGCAACAACACCGGGCAGGGGTCTCCTCATTCCCAGCGACACAAACCCCACTGCACGGCTGAGGGGTTGCAAGTGCTGCAGAGCCAAAAGGCTCTGACTTGAGATTTCATTATTTTACTTGTATTTTTATTTGTATTGTGAGACAGGTCCTGCTCTGTCACCCAGACTGGAGTGCAGCTGTGCACTTACAGCTCACTGCAGCCTCGACCTCCTGGGCTCAAGCCATCTTCCTGCCTCAGCTCCCCAGTAGCTGGTAGTACAGTTGAGTGCCCCCATGCCTGGTTATTTTTTTAATTTTTTTGTAGAGTGAGGGGTCTTGCTATGTTGCCCAAGCTGGCCTCAAACTCCTGACCTCAAGAGATCTGCCCACTTCAGCCTCCTGAGTAGCTGAAACTACAAGTACACATCACCATGCCTAGCTACATTTATTTAATTTTGAAAAATATTTTTGTAAAGAGCAGATCTTGCTGTGTTGTCCAGGCTGGTCTTGAACACCTGCCCTTAAAAGATACTCCCACCTCTGCTTACCAAACAGCTGGGACTACAGGCATGAGCCACTGCAATGAGCCTGAAGAGATTTCTTTAATCTAGCATCCCATACTTGGTAGGATTGGGAAAGGCAGTAGTGTTTTTTAAAATTACTTAATAATTTCAGTAACAATCAAACTCAACCTTGACCCCTGCCTTCTCTCACACCCCATATCCAGTCTGTCAGGAAATCCTGTTGACTGTCTTCAACATGTACTAAAGATCCCCACCCAGTAACTCCCTGGCCTCCTCCCCTACTTCTCCCCTCTGACCATCTCTCAACACCACCACGACCCTGGTCAGGACCACCATCATCTCCCGCCTGGATGTTGCCAAAGCTTGGCCCCCATGCTTCTACCCACATCTTCCCACAGTCTTTCTCAACTCAGCAGCCAGACAATGCTTTTAAATTGGGAGACAGATCATGTCACCTCTCTGCTCAGAACCTTCCCGCAGTTCCCATCTGAGTCAGAGTAAAAGCCAAAGCCCCAGGAATAACCTCCCAGGGCTTATGTGATCTGTACTGATCTCCACCCAGCAATTCCCTGGCCCCCTTCCCCTAATTCTCTCCCTCTCTCCGTCTGCTCCATGGGCCTCCTTCCAGAGCCGCAGACACACCTCAGACACTTTATTCTATTGTTTCTGCCTACAAGCCTCTTCCCTCAGCACCTTGGCCAGCTCCTTCCCCTCCTTCAAGTCTTTACTCAATTTTCACTTAGGAGGCCACCCCTGACCATTCTATTTAACATTGCCATCTGTCCCCATGCCCACCATGCTCATTTCTTCTTTCTTTACTTTCTTCTTTCTTTTTTTCAAGATCTCACTGTCACCAAGGCTGGAGTGCAGTGGCGCAATCACAGCTCACTGCAACCTCAAATTTCCAGGCTCAAGTGATCCTCCCACCTCAGTCTCCCGAGTAGCTGGGACTCCAGGTTCATGCCATCATGCCTGGCTAAATTTTTTAGTATTTTATTTTATTTTATTTTGAGACAGAGTTTCACTCTTCTTGCCCAGGCTGTAGTGTAATGGTGCAATCCCAGCTCACTGCAACCTCCACCTCCCAGATTCAAGTGATTCTCCTGCCTCAGCCTTCCAAGTAGCTGGGATTACAGGTGCGTGCCACCACGCCCAGCTAATTTTTCTATTTTTAGTAGAGCCGGGGTTTTGCAATGTTGGCCAGGCTGGTCTCGAACTCCTGACCTCAGGTAATCTGCCCACTTCGGCCTCCCAAAGTGCTGGAATTACAGGCATGAGCCACCATGCCTGGCCAATTTTTTCATTTTTTGTAGAGACAAGGTCTTACTATGTTGCCCAGACTGGTCTTGAACTGCTGGCCTCAAGTGATCCTCCTGCCTAAATTCCTAAAGTGCTGGGATTACCGGCATGAGCCATCATGCCTGGCTTCATGTTCATTTCTTCTTGCTGCTGCAACATAGTTTGCAGTTTCCTACATTTAGTGGCTTAAAACACCACAAATCTACCATCTTACAGTTCTAGGGGCCAGAAACCCAAACTAGGTCTATTAAGGCTAAAGTCAAGGTGTCAGCAGGGCTGCATTCCTTCTAGAGACTCTAAAGTGTTCCCTTGGCTTTTCTAGCTTCTAGAAGCCACCCCCATTCCTTGGATCATGGCCCCTGACTCCATCTTCAAAGCCAGAAGTGAAGCATCTTCAAATCTCCCTCTCTTACCTCTGCTTTCATCACCACATCTCCTGCTCCAATTCTGAATCTCCTACTCTCTTTCTTTTATAAAGACCCTTGTAATTGCTGGGCATGGGGGCTCCCACCCAGAATCCCAACACTTTGGGAGGTCAAGGCAGGAGGAACACTTGAGGCCCGAAGTTTGAAACTAGCATGAACAACATAGTGAGACCCCCGCCTCTAGAAAAAAATAAAAATAAATATTAGCCCAACATGGTGGTATGCGCCTGTAGTCCCAGCTACTTGAGAGGCTGAGGTGAGACAATCGATTTAGCCCAGGAGTTTGAGATCAGCCTGGACGACATAACTAAATCTCATCTTTACAAGGATGAGGTGGGAGGATCACTTGAGCCCAGGAATTTGTGGCCAGCTTGGGCAACAAAAGAAGACCCCATCTGGCCAACATGGTGAAACTCCGACTCTACAAAAATGAGCTGGGCATGGGTGACATGCATGTGTAGTCCTAGCTACTTGGGAGGTTGAGATGGGAGGATCGCTTGATCTCAGAAGGCCAAAGCTAGAGTGAGCTATGATCACATCACTGCACTCCAGCCTGGATGACACAGGGAGATTCTGTCTCAAAAAAAAGAAAAGAAATATATATTTCATCTCTGTCCCTGGTTCCTGGCACAGAGCTTCTAAAGCTCTTACAAAGACCTCAGTGATAGATGTGACAGGAACATCTTTTGTTTTAATATTTGGTCTTGGTCCCAGGTTTCTAACACAAGAGCCTCTAAGAATTTTGGGATCTCCAGCATGGTAAGAATGCATTTGGGGATGTTGTTGAGATGACTGGGTGACTGCAAGCTCCTAGATTTCTTCAGGAGGAGGGCTGATTGCCAATGGAAGCAACCACATGATTAGACGCTTGGAACTTTCAGCCTCATGCACTGAACTCCAGGAGGAAGAGGGGCTGGAGACTGCCTTAATCACCAATGGCCAAAGATTTTATCAATCATGCTTGCATAATAAAGCCTCCATAAACACCCTGAACAGGGTTTGCGGAGCTTCCGGGGTTGCTGAACACAGGAGATGCTGGGAGGGTGGCATGTTCAACAGAGGGCATGGGAGCTCTGTGCCCCTCCTAACTTACCTTGCCCTGGGCATCTTTCTTTTTTTTGAGATAGGGTCTGGCTCTTTTGTCCAAGCTAGAGTGGAGTGGCACAATCTCAACTCACTGTAACCTAAGCCTCCCCAGTCCCCAGCTCAAGGTGTCCTCTCACCTCAGCATCCCTAGTAGTTGGAACTCTAGGTGCACACCACCACACCCGGTTATTATTATTTTTTTGTTTTTTGTAGAGACAGGTTTTCACCATGTTGCCTAGGCTGGTCTCAAACTCCTCAGTTTAAGCGACGTTCCCACCTTGGCCTCCCAAAGTTCTGAGATTACAGGCGTGAGCCACTGCATCCAGCATGTACGTCTCTTTCATTGGCTGTTTCTGAAATGTATCCTTTGCAATGAACCAGCAATAGGAGATGAACTGGCCAGATGCGGTGGCTGACATCTGTAATCCTAGCACTTTAAGAGGCAGAGGTGGGAGAATCACTTGAGACCAGGAATTTGTGGCCAGCCTGGGCAACACAACAAGACCCCATCTATACAAAAAATAAATTAGCCAGATGTGGTGGTGCAGGCATGTAGTCTCAGCTACTAGGGAGGATGAGGTGGGAGAACCACTGGAGCCCAGGCAGTCAAGGCTGCAGTGAGCTATGACTGCACCACTGCACACCAGCCTGGGCAAAAAAATAAGACCCTCTCTCTTAGAAAAAAAGAAAATAAACTGTTTTTCTGAGTTCTGTAAACTGTTCTAGCAAATAATTAAACCCAAGAATAGAGTTATGGGAACCCCCAATTTGTAACAGGTTGGTCAAAAGTACAGGTGACAACCTAGGACTTGCCATTGGCATCTGAAGTGAGGATGGTCTCGTGGGACTGAGCCCGTAACTTGTGGGGTCTGTGCTAACTCCAGGCAGTGTCAGAATAAAATCATGGGATACCCAGTTAATATCCAGAGCACTGGAGAATTTGGTGTAGAAACTCCATACATACATTCAGTCGGAAGAGTGTGAGTAGAGACAAACATGGGCTTTTCTGTCACCTGTCTACCTGCTTAACTGCATAGGAGAGGAAATACGTGGTGCTCATGAACAAAGCAAACATTAAAGTCAGACCAGACCCAACATTTGACTCAGTCTTAATATCCAGGTGAGCTTGGGCAAATCATTCATTATTCCTAAGGCTTCATCACTCCATTCATAAAATGGGGATAACTGTGGCACCTACCTGTGATTCTGTGAGAATTAATGAAATATTATGCTTGGGGTTATTATGATCATTCTATTCCAAACTATTTGACAAGGACAGTGATGAATGATGACATCAAAAAATCAGAAACTGCAATGAGGTCTCTCAGGCAAAATTCCATACAAGCAAATTACTGTCTCTACAAAGCATTCCTGCCACACCTAATTCACCATTCCCTGAACAAAATATGCCATCTTCGTTGTTCAGGTCTGTACAGTGCTGGTTTCCCTTCCAGGGCAGTTTGCGCTATCCCATCCCAGCCCATTCCCCATCCCTCCACCTCCCCCTTCCCTCCCCTCTCTCATACAACTCTTCCTCATCTTTCAGGACTTGGCTTCAATGTTACCTTAACTGGAAGCTTCTCTCACTCTCCAGAAGAGCTTCCCATTGCACTTGATGCATGCACTATTATTTGATCATTTTTAACTTACAGTCCAAATCTTTTTGTACCTGAATAACATGTTGCCCAGTCAGTCTCTCTTCCTGGATTCAGAAGTCTTTCATGGTAGATCCAGCTGGAAGTGACAAAAAGACATCTTTTGACATAAAGGGATGACACAGACAGACATAAGTTCTTAAACGTCTTAAATGTTATGTGAAAATTAAACAGAATTCAAAGACTTGTGGGGAACACTTAGGAGGGAAAGTTACTGGGAATGTCATAAAGGGTTAATTTTTATTTTATTTTATTTTATTTTATTTTATTTTTTGAGACAGTTTCATTCTGTCACCTAGGCTGGAGTGCAGTGGTGCAATCAGGCTCACTGCAGCCTTGACAACCTGGGCTCAAGTAATCTCACTTAATTTTTATTTGGTTTAAGAAAGTCTTGGTTGAAGGTGGTGGCTTATGCCTGTAATCTCAGCACTTTGGGAGGCTGAGAGAGGTGTATTACTTGAGGCCAGGAGTTTGAGATCAGCCTGGGCAATATATTAAGACCCTGCCTCTACCAAAAAACAGAGTGAATGTGTGGAAGACAATTTTTCCACAGATTGGGAGTGAGGGAATAATTTCAGGATGATTCAAGTGCATTACATATATTGTGTACTTTATTTCTATTATTACTACATAGTAATATATAATGAAATGATTCTACAACGCACTATAATGTAGACTCAGTGGGATCTCTGAGCTTGTTTTCCTGCAACTAGACTGTCCATCTGGGGTGATGGGAGACAGTAACAGAATATCAGGCATTAGATTCTCATAAGGAGTACACAACCTAGATCCCTCGCATGCACACTTCACAACAGAGTTTGTGCTCCTATGAGAATCTAATGCTGCTGCTGATCTGACAGGACATGGAGCTCAAGTGGTCATGCAAGCGATGGGAGGGGCTAGAAATACAGATGAAGTTTCCCTTCACTCGCCTGCTGCTCACCTCCAGCTCTGTGGCCCTGTGGTTGGAGACCGCTGCTCAAGTGCATTCGAAAGGATCCATCCCATGCCATTCTTCAGAGTCATCTTTACTGCTGCAGTGGTCAACTTGTAGCACCCCTAAGCTCGCAGGACATATGCTTCAACTGGCATTTCACAATCAACACTATGTGGTAGCTTGAGTCATTGTGAGCTCACTTCCTGGAAATCACCAGCATCCCATACCCCATTAGCAAGGAGCTCAGCACTGCTCCTTGGATAACCAAACCTATTCCCAAATCCCATCTGTATGCGTCTATCTCCTGGTACCCTTCCTAGCATCAATTCTGTATTTGTAGGAGTCCAATCAGGAGACACAAACCACTCAACAGTTTAAACTAGAATGAGCAAGGTGGCTCACACCTGTAATCCCAGCACTCTGGGAGGACAAGATGGGTGGACTGCTTTGAGCTCAGGAGTTTGAGAACAGTCTGGGAAACATGGCAAAACCTCGTCTCTACAAAAAACACAAAAATCAGCTGGGTGTGGTGGCACTTACCTATAATCCCAGCTACTCAGGAGGCTGAGGCAGGAGAATTGCTTGAGCCTGGCAGGTGGAGGCTGCAGTGAGCAGAGGTTGTGCCACTGTACTCCAGCCTGGGTGACAGTGTGAGACCCGGTATCAAAAAGAAAAAACGTATATATATGTAAATTTAATATAAAAAGTATTAATTTCGGCCAGGCACAATGGCTCATGCCTGTAATCCCAGCACTTTGGGAGGCCAAGGCAGACAGATCACCTGAGGTCGGGAGTTGGAGACCAGCCTGACCAGCATGGAGAAACCCCATCTCTACTAAAAATACAAAATTAGCTGGGCATGGTGGCACATGCCTGTAATCCCAACTACTCGGGAGGCTTGAACCCGGCAGGTGGAGGTTGCGCTGAGCCGACATAGCGCCATTGCACTCCAGCCTGGGCAACAAGAGTGAAACTCCATCTCGAAAAAAAAAAAAAGGTATTAATTTTTACAGAGGATCAGCACAATGAGGGACACACTAGCAGAAAGTAAAGACAACTCTAGAGAATATGGAACTAGCAGAGGCCAGGCATTGTGGCTCATGCCTGTAATCCCAGCAATTTGGGAAGCCTAGGCAGGAGGATCGCTTGAGGCCAGGAGTTGGAGACCAATCAGCGCTAAATAGTGAGACTCTGTGTCTACCAAAAAAAGAAACATTAGCCAGGTGTGGTGGTGGTGCACACCCGTAGTTCCAGCTACTTGGGAGTCTGGGGTGGGAGAATCCCTTGAGCCTGGGAAGTCTACACTACAGTGAGCCAAGATTGTGTCACTGCACTCCAGCCTGGGCGACAGAGTGAGACCCTGTCTTAGAAAGAAAAAAGAAAAGAAAGTGTTAATCCCCCTATGGGAATCTCCTCTTCTCCTGCCCTCTCTGGAACCTCACTTGTCAGTTCTTCCTCCCACTTTCCTGTATCTTTAACCTATCCCCCACTTTTAGCTCCTTCCCATCATAATTTAAATTACTCAAACTTCTTCTGTTTTAAAAACCTTTCCCTAAACTCAGTGAGAGGTATCCTGCACACCCATTGAGCCATCTGCTCTCCCTGGTGCCTTCTCTACAGCAGCCTGAGCCATGTCTCTAATCCATGAATCTCATCATGTTACTCCCCCATTTACATCACTTCTCCTTGCCTCAGGGATTAAGTCCAAACTCCTTAACAGCCCCTGCTCTGCCCTGCCTTGCAAGGCAGCCTCACTGCTTGCCCCTCTCCATTTCATCTGCTATGGAGTCCAACTGAGCTTCATCTGCCCCTTGAACGCCCACTCCTTCTCCTCTGGGAGTCTCTGAAGTGGGTGATATCCTCTGCTTATAATATGCTTCCCCTTAAACCTCTACTCTCTTCCTAGCTAGCTTCGACTCCTCTGTCACTTGTCCGCTTTGGCATCACCTCCTCATAGAAGACTTCTTTGACTGCCGAGATTCTCAGGAGCATGGCAGGTGAGGTGCTCCTCCCATGAATGGATGGAGATTAGGGAGTGTGTGTTATTCATGCTTAATTCACCAATGCTTAGCTGAGTACCTGGCATAAAATAGTTACTGTGGTGGCCAAAGTAATAACCCCCACCGCCGCCACCAATTGCTCATGTCCTATGTTACACAGCACAATTACATAGGAAGGGGGAATTAAGAGTGCAGATAAAATTAATGTTGCTCATCAGCTGACCTTAAAACAAGATTATCCTGGAGTATCTAGGAGAGCCCATGTAATTACAAGCATTCTTTAAAACTGGAAGAGGGAGGCAGAAGGTTAAGAACCAGAGACGGTGGGCACAATAGCTCATGCCTGTAATACCAATACTTTGGGAGGCCAGGGCAGGAAAATCCCTTGAGTGCAGGAATTCAAGGTCAGCCGTGGCAACATACTGAGGCCCCATCTCTACAAAAAAATAAAAACAAAATTCACTGAGTGTCACGATGCTTACCTGTAGTCCCAGCTACTGGGAAGGCTGACATGGTAGGATTGCTTGAGCCTGGGAGTTTGAGGCTACAATGAGCCATGATTGGACCACTGAACTCCATCCTAAATGACAGGGCAAGGTCCTGTTTCTAAAGAAAAAAAGGACATTGGAATCAGGGTCCTCTCCATCCTGAGGTGCCTACAAGGCATCTCTCTCTGCAAACGAGTAAACATCACCCTCCAACTCCTTACAGAGTGGAGCAGCAGGAAAACTCCTTCACCTCATTTCTGTGCTGCTTGGGAGGCCTGGACAGCCCAATAACCAGCTTCTTGCTGATGAAGCAATCAGGAAATGGCTCGAGTTGAGCTAAGGAGAATTTGGATCCTTCTTTTGGTTCTCAATAGGCAGGGTAGGGGCCAGGCATGGCGGCTCATACCTGTAATCCTTGCACTGTGGGGGGCCAAGGTGAGAAGATTGCTTGAGGCCAGGAGCTCAAGACCAGCCTGGGCAACATAGCAAGACCTGGGTGGCATATACCTGTGGTCTCTACTACTTGGTAGGATGAGGTGGGAGGATTGATCACTTGATCCCAGGAGTTTCAGGCTGCAGTGAGCCATGATCACACCACTGCACTTCAGCCTGGGTGACAGAGCCAGACCATGTCACAAAAAGTTAGAAAGAAAAAAAAGAGAGGGAGAGAGACTATACACAGGCACCACCACGTTTGGCTAATGTTTAAATATTCTGTAGAGACAAGGTCTTGCTAGGTTGCCCAGGCTAGTCTAAAACTCCTGGCATCAGGCTGGGCATGGTGGCTCATGCTTGTATCCCAGCACTTTGGGAGGCTAAGGCAGGCAAATCACCTGAAGTCTGGAGTTCGAGACCAGCCTGGCCAACATGGTGAAACTCTGACTCTACCAAAAATAAAAAAATTAGCTGGGCAGTAGTGGCGTGTACCTGTAGTCTCAGCTACTCGGGAGGCTGAGGCAGGAGAATCACTTGAACTTGGGAGGTGGAGGTTGCAGTGGACCCCATCACTGCACTCCACCCTGGGTGACAGAGCGAGACTCTGTCAAAAACAACAACAACAGCAACAACAACAACAAAAACAAAAACAACAACAACAAAAAAGACTCCTGGCATCAAGACATCTTCCTGTCTTAGCCTCCCAATGCCCTGGGATTATACTGTTTCCTATAATTGAAGACACTTGTTCTTATACTGCTTTAAGGTATAAAGGAAAAAAAAAAAAGCAGATAATGGCAAATGTTGGTGAAGGCCGGGCATGGTGGCAGCCTGTAATTCCAGAACTTAGGGAGGCTGAGGTGGGCAGATCACTTGAGGCCAGGAGTATGAGACCAGCCTGGGCAACATGGTAAAATCCCATCACTACAAAAAAATATAAAAATTAGCCAGGCATGGTGGTGTACACCTGTAATTTTCAGCTACTCAGGAGGCTGAGATGAGAGAATCACTTGTGCCTGGGAGGTCAAGGCTGCAGTGAACTGTGATGGCATCATTGCACTGCGGCCTGAGAGACAGAGCAAGCCCCTATCTAGAAAAAAAAAAATGTCAGTGAAGATGTGGAGGAATTGGAACCCACATACATTACTGGTGGGAACATAAAATCATGTAACCATTTTGTTTGGGTATTTCTTTTCTTGTCATTTTAATTGGATTTTAAAAAAATCAAGACAGGGTTTCACTATCTTGCCCAGGCTGGTCTTGAATTCATGGGCTCAAGCCATCCTCCTAGCTGAGCCTCCTGCGTAGCTGGGATTACAGGTGTGAGCCATTGCACCCAACTGGTGTAGCCACTTTAGAAAACAGTCTGGCAGTTTCTCAAAAGGCTAAATGTACAGTCATCCTATAATGCAACAATTTCACTCATAGGCATATATCCCAGAAAAATAAAAATATATGTCCACACAAAAACTTGTACAACAATCTTCATAGCAGCATTATTCATAATGACCAATACATGGAATACATGGAAACAACCCAAATATCCACCAACTGATGAACAAATAAACAAAATGCAGTGTGTCTCTACCATGGAATACTGCCATAGAAGGAATGAAATATTGATACACACTATGACATAAAGGAACTTTGAAAACACTGTGCTAAGAGGGAAAAAAGCCACAAAAGATCACATATTGTACAATTCTATTTGTCCAGATTAGGCAAATCTATAGTGACAAAAAAATTAATCAATGGTTGCCTAAGGCTGGGGGCGAAGGTAGGTGGGGAGAGTAGGAGGTAGCGGCTAAGGGGTATGGATTTCTCTACAGGATAATGAAAGGTTCTAAAAGTGACTGTGGTGATCAATGCACAGCTCTGTGAATATTCTAAAACCTACTGAATTGCAGATTTCAATAAATAAATCAATTGAAGGGTATGTGAATCATATATATTCTCCATTTGCCTTGTGATATTTTATTACCTTGTGAAGCATGTGATCTCTGTGACCCACACCCTATTCGTACACTCCCTCCCCTTTTGAAAATCACTAATAAAAACTTTTGGTTTTGCGGCTTGGGGGGCATCGCAGAACCTGCTGACATGTGATGTCTCCCCTGGACACCCAGCTTTAAAATTTCTCTCTTTTGTACTCTTTCCCTTTATTTCTCAGACTGGCCGACACTCAGGGAAAATAGAAAAGAACCTACATGAAATATCAGGGGTGAATTTCCCCCGATATCACACGGGCTCTTCTCTCACCTGTCTACCTGCTTAACTGCATAGGAGAGGCAATGCACGGTGCTCATGAACAAGGCAAGCATTAAAGTCAGACCAGAATAACATTTGACTCAGTCTTAATATTCAGGTGAGCTTGGGCAAATTGCTCATTAACCCCAAGTCTTCATCATTTTGAGCACATAATGGGGATAACTGTGGCACCCACCTGTTTTTGTGAGGATCAATGAAATATTATGCTTGATGTTACTGTGATCATGATACTATCTGACAAGGGCAGTGATGCATGATAACATCAAAAAATTAGAAACTGTAATGAGGTCTCTTGGGCAAAATTCCATACAAGCAAATGACCGTCTCTCCAAAGCATTCCTGCCACACTTAATTCACCATTCCCTGAACAAAATGTGCCATCTTCATTGTTCAGGTCTATATAGTGCTGGTTTCCCTGCCTGGGCAGCTCATTCCATCCCAGCCCAGCCCAATCCCCATCCCTCCACCTCCCCCTTCCCTCCCCACTCTCATATAACTCTTCCTCATCTTACAGGACTTGGCTTCAATGTCACCTTAACTGGAAGCTTCTCTCCCTCTCCAGAAGAGCTTCCCATTGCACTTGATGCATGCACTATTATTTGATCATTTTTGAGTTACGGTCCAAGTCTTTTTGTACCTGAACAACATGTTGCCCAGTCAGTCTCTCTTCCTGGATTCAGAAGTCTTTCATGGTAGGTCCAGCTAGAAGTGACAAAAAGACATTCTTAAAAAAAGAGGGATGACACAGACAAACATCAGCACTCAAAAGTTTTAAATGGTATGTGAAAAACAAAATTTAAGGGCTTCTAGGAGAAACGTAGGAGGGAAGGTGTTACTCAGAAATATGATAGAAGGTTAATTTTTATTTTATTTTTAGAGAAAGGGTCTTGCTCTATCGCCTAGGCTGGACTGCAGTGGTGCAATCACAGTTAACTGCAGCCTCAACCTCCAGGGCTTGAGCAATATTCCCATGTAATTTTTATTTTGTTTAAGAAATGCAGTCTTGCTCTTAGCAAAGCTAAAGTGCAATGGTGTGATCATAGCTTACTGCAGCCTCAACCTTCTAGACTCAAGTGATCCTCCAGTCTTAGCCTCCCCAGTAGCTGGGACTACAGGTGTGCACTGCAACATGTAGCTCATTTTTTTTTTTTAATTTTTAGTAGACACAAAGTGTCGCTATGTTGACCAGGTTGGTGGTGATCTCCTACACTCAGGATGTTCTCCCACCTCAGCCTTCCAAAGTGCTGGGATTACAGGTATGAGCTGCCACACCTGGCTGAGGGGGTTAATTTTTAATTATATAAAGAGCTCAAAGCAAATATTAGAAAGAGCCTAAATGCCTCCAGCAGTTGACTGGTACTGGTAAATTGTGATACATCCATATAATAAAATATTATGCAACCATGAAAAAGATTAAGATAGATCAATAGGTATTGGCACAAATGTCCACAAAATATGAAAATGTGAAGTGATGTTCAATCACCATGTACGTATCTTGAAGGATATGGCCCATTTTCTCAATAGCAATTATTTCCTGAGATAAGATTATGGGTCTAAAGAGTGAAGGAAATTTTTCACTTATTTAAAAGTATTTACTATTTTTATAATTTAATAAAAGATTAAACAGATCATTGAATTAGTAAAAGACAAAGTAACTCTATAAATAAATGGAAAAGACACAGATACCCCAGGCATGGTGGCTCATGCTTATAATACCAGTACTTTGGGAGGGGGTGGTGGGGGGATTGCTTGAGGCCAGGAGTTCCAGACCAGCCTAAGAAACAAAGCAAGACCTCGTCTCTAGTAAAAATAAAAAAATAAAAATAATTGGCCAGGCATAGTGGCACGTGCCTATAGTCCCAACTACTGAGGTGGAAGGATCACCTGAGCCTAGGAGGTCAAGGCTGCAGTGAGTTGAGACTGTGCCACTACACTCAAGCCTAGGAGACAGAGCAAGACTTCATCTCAGAAAAAAAAAAAGGACAATAAAGAAATAAAGCTAATAAGCTAACATAAGGAAAGATAAAATATGTGACAAATAGGCTGGGCGCATGGCTCACAGCTGTAATCAAGCACTTTGGGAGGCCGAGGCGGGTAGATCACAAGGTCAGGAGTTCGAGACCAGCCTGATCAACATGGTGAAACCCCATTTCTACTAAAAATACAAAAATTAGCCAGGCACGGTGGCATGTGCCTGTAATCCCAGCTACTCAGGAGGCTGAGGCAGGAGAATCGCTTGAACCTGGGAGGCAGAGGTTGCAGTGAGCCGAGATCACACCACTGCACTCCAGCCTGGTTGACAGAGCGAGCCTGCATCTCACAAAAAAAAAAAAAAAAAAAAAAAAAAAAATGGGTGACAAAGTAATAATATGAGGTCTTTCATTTATCACACAGAAAATAACTTGTTAAATTATAATACCTGTGTGGGCGAAGGTGCAGTGAAATGGCCATTTTCTTGTAGTACTAGTGGTGTTTAAAATGTATATAAGCCTTCCAGGATAGAGCTTGGAAATTTTTTTTAAATCATACAGACAGTGACTCATTACACTGCCTCCTCCAACTCCTGGCCTCAAGCAATCCTCCCACCTCAGCCTCCCAAAGTGCTGGACTTACAGGCTGACAGCCACCATGCCTGAAAACTTTGCAATTTACATCAAGGGTAATAAGAATGCTCATGCCCTGTGACTCACAGTAATCTCACTTTTGGAAATTTCATCTTTGGATATAATTCAACCTAAACAAAAGGTCACATGCACAAACACGGTGAAAATCTGGGAGTAATTTTTTCCTCTTTTTTTTTAAAAAATATGGAATGCTTCACAAATTTGCATGTCATTCTTTCACAGAGGCCATGCCAATCTCTCTATTGTTCCAACTTAAGTATGTGTGCTACTGAGGCAAGCATGAGTAATTTAAGATAGAGTGGTTAAGTGAAATAAGGAAGAATTATGGAGAATTTAAAAATCTATGCTATTTATAGGCATCTAGTAACAGCTCAGTAAATATTAGCTGCTACTATTATTATTTTTATGGTAATTTCACTCAATTAAAAATTGTCATTAAAAACTACCATTGTCATGGAACATAATGTCTCCTACAGTATAATTGTAAAAACAGATACAATTTGTCCCTTGGTATATGGGGTGATTAGCTCCAGCTCTCCCATTTCTGTGTATACCAAAATCCATGCATATTCAAGTTTTCGAAGTCAGTCCTGTGGAATCCACATATAACACAAATGGGAAAATTAGTGAGGTGTGGTGACAAGCACCTGTAGTCCCAGCTACTTGTGAGGCTGAGGCAGGAGGATTGCTTGAGCCCAGGAGGTTGAGGCTGCAGTGAGCCATAATTGCACCACTGCACTCCAGTCTGGGCACCAGAGTGAGACAGAAGGTTGACTTTTTAATAGAATTTTTCTGTTCACTTGAAGATATGGTCAGGATTGTGGCATATGAAAATTCTTCATAAAATAACTATCTAATCCAATTAATGCTGGAATTGGGAACAGCAGAAGTGTCATCTCAGAGCTACTCACAATGAAAGGTGATGTCTGGGGCTCAGGTGTGTTGAGGTCCCCATGCCTGGACTATGGGTGATGAGTGGGATTTACTTGTCCATCCATTTTCTATATTCCAGCACTGGGAAACTAGGGTTTATCCATCTTGATAAGATGTCATTTAAATTCCACTTCACAAGAACCACAAATGGAAGAAAGGCCATGAAACCACAGGACAGTACTTGTTCTCAAGGGAATCTTCAGCTTAGGTGGCTCTGTAAAAGAGAAATTACATTGTTGAAAAATCGTCGCAGGTCAGGTGAGGTGGCTCATACCTATAATCCCAGCCCACAGGGAGACTAAGGCAGGAGGATCCCGTGAGGCCAGGAGTTCAAGACCAGCCTGAGCAACACAGTGAAACCTCATCTCTACAAAAAATTAGAAAATGAACTGGGTGCGGTAAAACATTCGTATAGTCCCAGCTACTCTGGAGGCTGAAATAGGAGGATCGCTTGAGCCCAGGAAGTGGAAGCTGCAGTGAGCTCTGATCTCACCACTGCACTCCAGCCTGGGTGACAGAGTGAGACCCTGTCTCAAGACACACACACACACACACACACACACACACACACACACCCCCCTAATCTCAGTCTGTCCAGCCTTGACTAATCAAAAGGGCCTTCTGGTTACAGAAGAGGTATGCTCTTTTGTAGGATAGGGAGAGACCAGCAAGCTTGTTTACAGACTTTTCCTCATCCTCTGCTTAGTTTTCCAAGAACCCTCACAGTGGAAATGGAGTCTCTGGGAAAATGACCTAAATCTTTGGGTTACCAGGGGAGAAATATGCCTCCTTTGTCAATTAATAAATGGAACACGTGCCTTAAAATCCAGGGAGTTCTGCTAGAATGAATCACTCCCTAAGACCCTGACCTATGCATGGAACATGAAAAACTGAAGTTTAACTGGGCGCAGTGGATCACGCCTGTAATCCCAGCACTTTGGGAGGCTGAGGTGGGCGGATCACCTGAGGTCAAAAGTTCTAGACCAGCCTGGCCAACACGGTGAAACCCCGTCTCTACTAAAAATACAAAAATTAGTTGGGCATGATGGTGGACACCTGTAATCCCAGCTACTCGGGAGGCTGAAGCAGGAAAATCGCTTGAACCCGGAAGGCGGACGTTGCAGTTACTTCTAGAAGAATTTCCATTAGCCCTTTGAAATCCTTCAACATTCATGAAGGCCAAAGAGTTTTCACTTAATTTAATCTGATGGGTATGTGACCAGAGTCTTTCTAGGGAATAGAGACTCCCAAACCGTTCAGCTGGGAAGTGAGGAGAGAATTTATTACTTAAAATCAAAGGGAAATGAAAAGAGGCCAACATAGAATGTCATTATTCTTTCTTGGTGGGGAATGGATTCCAGAGTCATTCTGTGACCTTTACATGACCTCCTTATTAGCATCTAAAAGCTTCCAGTGTAGGATGCAGCCAGCTAGGTTCTCTTCTAATGTAATAAAATTTGCTTCAGCAAATCTTATGCAGAGCCATCTCCAGACTCCAGAAATAACAGGCTATAAATTACTGGATCTCCCATTTGATATAATGAAGTATAAGCATGGTCCTGAATGACTCCTCTACATACTACTCTGGGTGGCTTGAAGTGAATTTGATACAAGAACTGGAGCGAGCGCAAAGCAGAGCTAGATCTAGGATTAATGTGCTTGGGCCCAGCTCCTCACTACTCACCTATGAGTCCAGTTCCAGAACCCAAGTAGAGGGTGGGGAAACAAGGCTCCTGACTTTTTTCCCTAATGTCTGCATCTCTTTCACATTTCTTATCTCCTTGCAAAGAAACTAAACAGGCTCAACTGAAATAACTAAATGATTAAACCCTATACAGAGAATCTCCAAAGACTGATAAAATATCATTCAAGACTGTTACACAGACAACCTTGAGGATGACTTGATGTACCAGTGATCTACAATATTTGGGATCATTCCAAATTCCCATCAAGGATCTGCCTATATCAACACAGGAGCCAAGGACCAACCATTCAAATGGGCCCTGCTGCCAAGCGTTTTTTTTGTTTGTTTGTTTGTTTTTTTTTTTTGTTTTTTTTTTTTTACAATGCCATCTCTTCATATTGTTCCATTTAACAAAACTGCAGCCCTTCATCTATCCTTAAGTCCCTTGGCCAATGGTACAGAGCCAGAGTATGCTACTCCCTAGCAGGAAATCAACAGGATGACCTACTAAACACCATTCAGAAGATGCTAAGACCCATGAATTGCAAAAGGAAAGAAAAGACAGAGAATTAGTCAGACAGGTACATGCTGTGCAAAAAATGCACTACAGCCCCCACCCAATTCTGCCTAATCCTAGCTGGGCTGACACCAACCTGATGAGACAGGCCTATAAGATCTCAAACTAAAACAGAAACTCCTGAACTGGGTTCTTTTGAACCCAGGAAGCAGCAGTAAATCATTAAAGAACAGATAGGTTCTTAAGGTGAGGGAGAGTTTCAGATAAATGGAATGCTGGTAGAACACAGGGCCCAAAGGAGCAAAAGTTAACCTAAGCCCAGGTAGAACCTTGTTTACTAGAGTATTAGGCATGGGTTGGGGCAACTATTCTAACCAGAGAAACTGGCTTCAGTGAGGGCAAGTTGGCAATCCAAGGTATAGCATGCATAGGGCTGGCAAAATTCAGGGTGACTGAAGCAAAAGCTTCAGAACCAGAAAGACCACATCTGGGGGTAGAGCACAAAACTCCCAAGAGATGAATCTTTTGTAAGAGTGAGGCAGAACTATATAGCAGTTTTAGGAGATCTGTTGGTGCCCAGCAAGAGCTCCTAACGGGCTATATGCAGGGAGGCAGGCTGTAGTCTCAGGAGAGGAGGTTCACAAAAGTCATTCAGTCCAAGACCTCAAACTGTGTTCTCTACTAAAAGGAATCAAGGTTCCCTAGAGAAATGGCTGACTCCATGTATGGTGCAGTATATTGATCCTGGAACATCTTGTTTGCCAGAAAGCAAGGAAGCCATCAAAGTCCAAAAGACATCACGTCAAAAAGACATGAAAGTCAACTTGAAGAGATAATTATTAACCTGGATGAGACAATGTAAGCATCCAAAACAATAAAGACTGCAATGGCCTGAAATACATCAAATGCAAACAATAATCTGTGAGTTCATAATGGTATTCAGAAAAAAAACTACTGGTCATTAGAGGGAAGGTTACTAGGTCACTAACTTACTACTCTGAAAAGTGACTTAAGATGAGAGGTAGGGTGGAGAATTAGCTATTTATTCAGTTTTTCCTGTACAAACACAAATTTTTAGGGAGATTGAAGCAGATGAAACAAATCTGGAAAAATGGAGGTAACTGCTTAATCTGCGGGTTGGGTGCATGGAGGTTCAACACATTTCTTTTGTGTATATTTGAACCCCTACAAAAAAAGCACAAGACAGAATGTGAGCCAAGCAGCTTAGGGTTTAGGCAAGGCTTCTGCCTACAAGAGACACTAGGATATGAGGGGTAGTTTTAGTCCTGATGGGCTGAGCCAACTGGAGGTATATAGGGAGGTGCTAAATTGCAGAGGTATCATGTTGCCCAGCACTTGATCAAATCCTAGATCCTAGGTCTGCTTGGTAGCATGCTTCCTAGGTAGTAGATCTGAGGCTACCTATAGAACTTCCTTTACAGTCATAATTCGCTCAGAAACTACAAAAGTGCTTGTTCTTGAAAATGGAGTCTGTCTTTGTCCATTTCATGCTTCTATAAAAGAATACCACAGACTGCATAATTTATAAAAAGGAAAAAAGGAAGGAAGGAGGGAAAAAGGGAAGGAGGGAAGGAAAGGAAGGAAGGGAAGGAAGGAAAGGAAGGAAGGGAAAGAGGGAAAGAGGGAAGGAGGAAGGGAGGGAGAGAGGGAGGGAGGGGAAGGGAAGAAAAGGGAGGAGAAGGGAAAGGAGGAAGAAAAGGAAAAAAATAAATTTTATTTCTTAACAGTTCTGGATGTTAGGAAGTCCAAGGTTGAGGGGCCTGCATCTGGTAAGGGTCTTCTTGCTGCATCATCCCACTACAGCAGGCAAAAGGAAAAGAGAGTGCAAGAAAGCAAGAGGGCAAAAGGGGCTGAACTCTGTTTTATAATAAGCCCACTCTATGATTACTAATCTATTACCACAATAACAACATTAACTCATTCATGAAGGCTATTGTATTAGGCCCCACATCCCAACTGTTGCATTGAGGATTGAGTTTCCAGCACATAAACTTTGGGGGACACATTTAAACCATAGCAGAGCACTTATGTTAATTCAACCAAGAGGAGCTGGGAAAATCAAAGGCATGAGAAAGACAGCAAAAGCTAGCAGAGAGAAATGCACAGGTTAAGGAAAAAAGTCACAATGAATCCTGTAGTGCAGGCTACTTTATCAAAAGCACCTAAAAAAGATCTCATTAACTCCCCCAGCTCACCTCCACCCACATCTAAAGAGCCACACACAGTACCACCAAAGGCAGCACAATGAGAACAGCATTCTCCTCAACAGACAAGCTGGGAGTATCTAGACACCTGACCTCAATAGCTCCAGAACAGCCCTAAAACATCTCCTCCCTAACCACCACTCAAGTCATCAGCTTGGAAAGTATTCAGAAAACCCAAATCCTGACACACCACTATGAAACAACTTAAAACAGCAAAGAACAACCCATTTAAACAGCAATGCCAGCTGCTGGGAAAAGAAGGAACAATGAGTAGAGGAGAACCAGATCTCTTGGGGTCCACCAAGACCCAGTCTCTCAGCTTCAGCACTTTCGAATGCAGAATCCATACCCCTCTGGGGCCTGTGGAGCTCCACAAGGCATGTTGTCCTCAAAGATAAATGAGCAGGCAAGCTGGCTAGAAAACCACTAAGGGTATTATTCTTTAAAGAATCTTTATAGGGTCAAAGAGGAATGGGTCTTAACTGGCTATGTGAACTCCCCACAGATTCTGAGGATGATGTCAGTATCCCTTTCCAGATGTGTTTAACACTTTGCAGTCACTTGTATTCCTGCCACTGAGTGCCAGTGCTTTGCTAATTTGAACTGATTCCAGCTCATGCTGACCCCAGCTCCCTGGATGTTACCATTAGCCAAGACTGTCACCCATACTGTACCCTTTCAAAGAGTCCTAAAAACAGCTCTTCGCCTACTCTTCCAAGACAAGTAAAAATGTCTGCCAAAGAAATGGGGAAAAAAGATTCAGAGAGTGAAAACAATTAACATACTAACAAGAGAGCAAAAAGCAAAGGGGGAGGAGAAACTAGGAAGATCATATATGGGCTCACACCTATTTCCAAAGCTGGGCTAATGTCCTTTTGCTTGTGTCTGAATAAGGCACCAATTTTAAGCTGCTAATGAAAAAAAAAGAAAAAGAGAAAGAAGCAGGCCCAGGCTGGGCGCAGTGGCTCATGCCTGTAATCCCAGCACTTTGGGAGGCCGAGGCGGGTGGATCACCCAAGGTCAGGAGTTCTAGACCAGCCTGGTCAACATGGTGAAACACCATCTCTACTAAAAATACAAAAAATTAGCCAGGCATGGTGGCACATGCCTGTAAATCCAGCTACTCAGGAGGCTGAGGCAGGAGAATTGCTTGAACCCAGAAGGCAGAGAATGTGGTGACCTGAGATCACACCATTGCCCTCAAGCCAGGGCAATGAGAACAAAATTTGGTAAAAACAAAACAAAACAAAACCACCATAAAATAACTCAGACTTAATTAAATACAACCCTAGTGGTGAATGACTAAAGATGAATTACTCCTAACAGAGATAACAATCCAATAAGAATCCAAGAATCTTACCTTTTAATAACAAAAAAATCCTTTCCTTCGAAAGTAATATCCTCTCAAGGCCAGGAATTCCATTAGTAGAAAGCCTTCCTAAAAAACAAAATTCCTGGCCAGGCATGGGTTCATGTCTGTAATCTCAGCACTCTGGGAGGCCGAGGCGGGAAGATCACTTGACGTCAGGAGTTCAAGACTGGTCTGGCCAACATGGTGAAACCCCATCTCCACTAAAAATACAAAAATTAGCCTGGTGTGGTGGTGGGCACCTGTAATCCCAGCGACTTGGGAGGCTAAGGCAGGAGAATTTCCTGAACCCAGGAGGCAGAGGTTGCAGTGACCAGCAAGGTTGCACCATTGCACCCCAGCCTGGGCGATAAGAGCGAAAACTCCATCTCAAAAAAAAAAAAAAAAAAAAAAAAAATTCCTTTGGGAAGGCCTTCTACATAAAAATCTTCAACATGAGACTGGAAAAAAGGGTATGGGATCATCACCGGACCTTTGGCTTTTACAGCTCGAGCTATAAGAACAAAAAGAAAAAGGGATATCATTTAAACACAATATGTAGAAAAGAATAATTATTGAATCTGTACTGGTCTTTAACTTTTACACTTTGATCTTTAATTCTGTTATTGTGATTGAGTCCAAAGAAAAATAGTATGAGTAAAATAAAAAGAACACCAAAAATGCTAATATTCTGTTTACTAAAGTCTGTAGTGAAATATCCCATTAAATCCAAGTGCAGTGACTCACACCCATAATCCCAGCACTTTGGGAGGCTGAGGCGGGTGAATCTCCTGAAGTCAGGAGTTCGAGGCCTGCCTGGCCAATATGGTGAAACCCCAACCCTACTACAAATACAAAAATTAGGCAGGCGTGGTGGCAGAGGCCTGTAATCCCAGCTACTTAGGAGGCCGAGGCAGGGAGAATTGCTTGAACTCAGGAGGTGAGCTTGCCATGAGCTGAGATCATACCACTGCGCTCTGGCGTGGGCGACAGAACAAAACTTCAACTTACAAAAAAAAAAAAAAAAAAAAAAAAACAGCTAGCAGGTGACATTTGCTACAGGGAGACTAGGGATATGATCTTGCTGCAATCCTTCCATTTTAGTAAATCTAAACAGTGTGAATCCATTCCGTTTTGTCCCCACTCCAGAGCCAAAACAAGAAAATCAATTATATTTCTATTTCTTTAAAAACATATCTAACTAAATCATCTAATTACAAGATAATATGCATGGTTCCCTACTCTAAAAGAAAACTTATGTCCTGCATATCATGGACATTTGATGAATGCTTATTCAGTTGACTGGTGTAGACTTCAATAATAACCTGTTCAATGCATTATGCCAGATGAATCTTGCATCTCAAAAGTAGAACAAATATTGTTCTTTCAGTTTTGTCTACCCATAAATGCAATATTTACTAATAAAAAGAAAATGAGTTTATTGTTCTAGAGAGTATGAGAATTTTGACAACATGAATTCTCCTGTCCTAGGACATAATTAATACTTAGAGGCATACTATTTCATGTGGAAGCTACCATTAAATCAATGTTAAGTGTTAATTACTTCACATAATCTTCTAATCTGACTTAAGACTGAAGACGTACCTCACGAAGCTGATTTATCAAGTTGTAAATCTTCACCTGTTGAATTCATAAGTTCATGTCTGAAAGGTGAGAATAAATACTTAATATTCACTAGGCAATATTCAGCAAAGTAATATCCACTAGTACATATTTAATATTTCATCATGAACTGTGGGTGTGAAGAGAAAAGACAGGCTGGGCACAGTGGCTCACACCTGTAATCCCAGCAGTTTGGGAGGCCGAGGCAGGCAGATCATGAGGTCGGCAGTTCGAGACCAGCCTGGCCAACATGGTAAAACCCCGTCTGTACTAAAAATACAATAACTAGCTGGGCATGGTGGCAGGCACCTGTAATCCCAGCTACTCGGGAGGCTGAGGCAGAATTGCCTGAACCCAGGAGGTGGAGGCTGCAGAAACCACGATCACGCCACTGCATTCCAGCCTGGGCAAAAGAGCAAGATTCTGTCTCAATCAATCAATCAATAAAAATATAAGGAGGAAGCATTTAGTGTATATTTATATGTCTGGTATTATGTGAAGCACTTTACTATCTTATCAAATCTTTGGGACAGATCTTCAGTTCTCATGACCACAAAAGAGGATACTAAAGCTCAGACAGGACAAGAGACATGGCCAGCCTGTGTCCCCAGGGCCTATGGTCTTACCACTAGGTTACAGTGTTTCCAGGTATCACATGTTGTAAGATTTTTGCTTTAAAATGAACCAAAAAAACCCAAAGGCGAAAAAGGCTTAAGCTATTAAAAAGTGGGAGAAACACTAAGAGAACCTTAAGCATGTAACTAAAAATATTATGAAAATGTTATTGAATTCATTAGCAAATTTAATGCTAGGTTTTCATTGACAAGTAGGTTATATTACTCATGATGAAGAAAAATGTTCATTTTAAGTATATTAACATAAATACCATCAATATGGTTTATCATGTTTAAATGTTCACTTAAAGCAATTCAGTTAAAATTGTGCATATCATACAATTTTATAGTTTGCTAGTAGGTTACAAGTAAATAGTCATCCAAATAAAAACATCATGTGTTTTCCACTGGTTGTTGCTCTTTTTAGGTGAGCATTTGATGTATACCAACAGAGAGAGGATAATAACAAATCACTAATTTCTTTCAACATTATATAAAGGTGGCTTCAGAATAGAATAGTATAAGGGCAATGATGAGTTTGAAATCTAACATCAATTCAGTGATGCATCAAGATAAAAGTAGAGACAATAGGGGCACCTTGGTGAGTACTGAACATTTTATTTATTTATTTATTTTGAGATGGAATTTTGCTCTTTTTGCCCAGGCTAGAGTGCAATGGTGCAACCTCGGCTAACCGCAACCTCTGCCTCCTGGGTTCAAGCGATTCTCCTGCCTTGGCCTCCCAAATAGCTGGGATTACAGACATGCGCCACCACGCCCGTCTAATTTTGTATTTTTAGTAGAGACGGGGTTTCTCCATGTTGGTCAGGCTGGTCTCGAACTCCCAACCTAGATATCTGCCTGCCTTGGCCTCCCAAAGTGCTGGGATTACAGGTGTGAGCCACCGCGCCCAGATGAATTCCAAATTTAACAAAGCAGACTAAGAGAAACAATTCATTTAAAAAAATAATATTTGGCCAGGCATGGCGGCTCACACCTGTAATCCCAGCACTTTGAGAGGCTGAGGTGAGTGGATCAGGAGGTCAGCAGTTCAAGACCAGCCTAGCCAAGATCATGAAACCCCGTCTCTACTAAAAATACAAAAATCAGCCAGGAGTGGTGGCTGGCGCCTGTAATCCCAGCTGCTCGGGAGGCTGAGGCAGAGAACTGCTTGAACCCGGGAGGCGGAGGTTGCAGTGAGCCGAGATCGTGCCACTGCACTCCAGCCTGGGCGACAGAGTGAGTCTCCGTCTCAAAAATAAATAAATAAATAATTCAATGAAATCCCTAAGATCCAGGGCTTTGCAATAAATATGTAAATAAATTTCCAATCTCCATACTGAAAGTTTAAAAGAAATGCTAACTAATAATTAAAGAAATACAACTTTTCCTCAGCTTTGCAGCAATCTAGAAACAAAGTGTGTAGACACTACAAAGCACCTTACAAGGAGAAACGTGTAAGGATGGCATGACTCGCCGGCAGCCCTGGGCTTGTCCACGGTACCCCCATGATGAACAGTAACTCCATTGTGTAAACGCCCATGAACATAAGATTACAGGACTTTTCCAGTTTAGACATACCATACTTTCTTTCAGACAATTCTTCAATTTGTTTACGTAGATCAGCGATACGATTATTCCATTTCTCTGAAAATCAAGCAAAAGTTGATTCTCAATAATACGTCCCTATGTCAGAGCAGCACTAACATATAATGACTTATTTCATATATTTTACATTCTAACAGTCCATATCATTTTACTGCTTTCAAAAAAAGATTTCCCTTTTTTGGTGGTTCTTAGAATTGGTTTAATGAGAGACTATTAGAGAAGCTGAAAAGCAGGAGGGCAGAAAAGTTCAATCAAATTAGACACAATAACAGGGAGGTCACAACGAGGAGGTCTCCAGGAGTCTTTCAGCAAACTTCCTAAAACATGTCTCAGCTGTGTGAAATAAGACTTTACAGCAGCCGGGTGCAGTGGTGCAGGCCTGTAATCCCAGCACTTTGGCAGCAGAGGCAGGCGGATCGCTTTGAGCTCAGGGCAACATAGCCAAAACCCCCTCCCTAGCCCCACCCCCACCCCGTCCCTACCAAAAATACAAAACAGCAGGGCATATAGCCTGTAGCCCCAGCTACTCAAGAGGCTGAGGCAAGAGAATCACTTGAACCCAGGAGGCAGACGTTGCAGTGAGCCAAGACCACGCCACTGCCGGCCTGGATGACAGAGCAAGACTCCACCTCAAAAAAACAAAAACAAACACAAGGTTAAGAGGGACCCCAGACCTTACAGATATAAGTTTAAGAGGGACCCCTAAGCAAAAAATGCCAACCCTTTTTCTCCCAATCATTGAAACACCAGGAGGGTGTAATAGTTTTGCAGCCTAGCTGTAGCAGGCTGATGTCCCCAAGATGCCCATATCCTAATCCCGGGAACTGGTGAACATGACCTTATATGGCAAAAGGGGCTTTGCAGATATAATGAAGTTAAGGGTCTTTGGCTGTTGGGGTTGATGTACTCACCCAGATCCTTATAAGAGCAGAGCAGGTGATGGAGAGGGTGGGAGGTGTAGTGACAGAAGCAGGAAACTCCAGTCATTCGAGACGGGCAGCACAAGCTGAGGAGTGCAGGCCACCTCCACGGCCAGGAAACAGATTCTCCCACAGAGCCTCAGAAGCCACCGACCCTGCTCCCACCTTGACTCAGTAGGACTTACTGTAGAATTCTGGCCTTCAGACCTGTAAGGGAATACATTTTGGTTGTTTTAAGTTACTAAGTGTGTGGTAATTTGTTGCAGCAGCCACAGGAAACTAGTATTGTAGTGAAGCCTCAAAACCCCCTGAAGGGGCTGGGCTCAGTGGCTCATGCCTGTAATCCCAGCACTTTGGGAGGCCGAAGTTGGTGGATCACTTGAGGTCAGGAGTTCGAGACCAGCCTGGCCAACATGGCGAAATGCCATCTATACAAAAAATAGCCGGGCATGGTGGCACATGCCTGTAATCTCAGCTACTCAGGAGGCTGAGACAGGAGAATTGTTTGAACTCAGGGGGGCGGAGGTTGCAGTGAACTGAGATTCCACTACTGCACTCCAGCCTGGGTGACAGAGCGGTGCTCCATCTCGAAAACAAAACAAAACAAAAAAACCCCACCTGAAGGTTTCCAGTTCTGCCAGCAGTCTCCCACCCAACCCCTAGAAGCAGACATTCCATTGCTGTGGGCCATGGACAGGCAGAAGGAAGCGCCTCCTCATGGCAGAGGCCTACCCAGGAGAAACCCAAGGGAAGGCACTGCCGGGCTGGCCCCTCTCTGCCAAGGCCATATTCTTTTTTTTTTTTTTTTTTTTTTGAGGCCTAGTTTCACTCTGTCTCCCAGACTGGAGTGCAGGGACACAATCTCGGCTCACTTCGACCTCCGCCTCCCCAGTTCAAGTGATTCTCCTGCCTCAGCCTCCTGAGTAGCTGGGATTACAGGAGTGTAGCATGCCTAGCTAATTTTTGTATTTCTAGTAGAGATGGGGTTTTGCCATGTTGCCCAGGCTGGACTCGAACTCCTTGCCTCAAGTAGTCCACCTGTCTCAGCCCCCCAAAGTGCTGGGATTACAGGAGTGAGCCACTGCACCCAGCATTTGCCAAGACCTTTGATGGCAGGCTTTTTCCAGGTGATCAGTCCTTGTCTGGTCTGGCTCTGCCCCACTCTCCTTCTCACCTAGTTGGAATCCCTAGCTACTTTTCAGCAGAGGAGAGTGTGTACCCCAGTCCCAGCTTGGTTCAGATCTGCATTTAACTCATGGAACCTGGCTGCTCCCCAGGTCCTGAAGAAAAAAAGGGGTCTCTCTGTGGGTATGATAAAGGATGGGCCTGTCCCCAGGACCCTGTGAGAGGGAAGCCCAATGTCCCACCAGGTTGGCAGGGCTGGGGAAGGGAGTGTTATGGTAGCCCCAAGAAAAAAAAAGGGCAGCAGAGGGAGCAGGACAGTGCTCACATGGAACTCTTGCCACTGCCTGAGTGAGGGGAGGGAGGAGTGCACGCCAGCGACGTCAGGGGGCAGAGAGGCGCAGTTCCAGGGCGGCTTTCCCCCTCACTTCCTGCCATGTTGCTCTGATCGCCTCCAGGTGAGCCTGCCCACTTTGTGCCCAGGAGCCTGTAGAAAACCACAGCTCCCCATGGTTATGGCCCCAGGAGTGGGGCAGAGCAGGGAGGAGTCCTGGACAGAGGAGAGGCAGGGGCAGGAGGGAGTGGGCCTCAAACTCCAGGAGTGGGCCCTTCTCATGGGTCCTGCTTTCTGGCTTCTCCTTCCTTACCCCTGGGCTGATCACTCGGGGAAGAACTGAGACAAAGTTTCTCACCCTCAGGCCCAAGGGGTTTAATTACTGGCCCCTTAGGGAGGTGTGAGCCCCCTGAAAGGATGCAAGGCTTTGTTTTGTTTTGTTTTTTGAGACAGAGTTTCGCTCCTGTCGCCCAGGCTGGAGTGCAGTGGCGTGATCTCACCACACTACAACCTGCGCCTCCCGGGTTCAAGTGATTCTCCTGCCTCAGCCTCCGGAGTAGCTGGGATTACAGGTGGCTGCCACCACACCTGGCTAATTTTTTGTATTTTTAGTAGAGACAGGGTTTCGTCATGTTGGGCAGGCTGGTCTTGAACTCCTGACCTCAGGTGATCCGAATGGCTCTGCCTCCCAAAGTTCTGGGATTACATGAGCCACTGTGCTTGGCCACAATGAAAGGTTTTGTGTGGAGAGCACATACATGCCTTTCTGGGAAAACAGTCCACAGCTCTTATTCTCAGCAGACTTCACGGTCAAAAAAGTTTAGAACTCTTGCTACAGAGCTGTGGAAGCAGCTAGGTGAGGGGCCTGCCAAGGGCACTCTGGGCACTACCTGGGCACTCTCGAGCCCATCATCCCCTAGGCAGGCTGCGCTGCTTGGTATTTGCAGAGCTGAGGGGGTGGGGCATGTGGGGACTGTGAAATCGCCCTGAGATGACCCACAGTCCTCAGCTGGGAAGTGAGCGGTGCATCTCCTGCAGTGTCCTCCATCCCTAGAGCCATGGGGCCAGGAGAACCGGCCCTTGCAGCAAGTGAAAAGCCTATTATTGACTCCCTCCCTAGCCATGTAGACAATGAACCAAGACACTCATATCAGGTAAATGCCTTGGTCTCTGTCACCGAGGTGACCAGTAGGCATTCCCAGATACAGTGAAGGTCCTCACACCAAGATATGCACCTGGCCACCTGAGGAAAGAGAGAGGACTATCTGAGGGGATGGGGCTGAGCTGGGTGTGGAGTGGTCCTTGTGGGTCTTGGTGAGTGGGAAGGGGAGCAGCATGAGCCAGGCCTCAAGGCAGAAGGACAACCAGGAGACAGCCTGGAAAAAGTGCTGGACCCACAACGGCTCGAGGCTGGCCAGAGGGGAGGTGGGATAGGCTGCAAAGTCCTGAGGTCTGAAGATTGGCCCTGGCAGGAAGAAACCAGGTAAGGTGGGGTGTTACCTACACCCTCGGGGCTAGATGCAGGCCAGAGCCAGCCAATTACCAGGCCCTTAGGGAGGTGTGAGCCCCTTGAAATGATGCAAGGTTTTTTGTTTTTGTTTTGGAGACGGAGTTTCGCTCTTGTCGCACAGGCTGGCACCTTTGCCCAGAGCAGGCACCAAGATTTCTGGCTCTGGGTGTGACCTCAGTCTGGGGAAAAGCCCCAGCCCCCACCAGGACCACCTACCCCCTAGACTACTTCAGGTGCTGAGCCCAAGCCAGGGACAGGAAGCTAAACTGATGCCTAGGGTAATCCCAACAAAGTCCCTGGTTCCCCGCAGCTATGGGGCTGACGGGGAATTACAGCCCAAACCCCAGATGCTGGCTCTCAAACTAACACTGAGCCCTCAGTGCCCACAGGGAGATACAATCAGTGCACTTTCCAGATGGGGAAATGGGCTCAGAGAAGTGCAACAGCCTTGCCCAATGCCCCAGACCACGGCTCCAGGCCCAGAGTGTTCTTTTGTCACTGTGTCCAGAGGGCAGCAGCTGCTGTGATGTACCCACCTGAGCCTGGCAGCTTTCTCCAACTTTGGAAGCCCAGGAGCATGGCCCCTGTCCACAGATGCACCTGGCATGAAGCGTGCCCAGAGGGACAGAGGCAGATGAGTTTCGTCTCCTCCACTGGATTGTGAGGGCCTAGAAGGAGACAAGGGTCTGCTTGAGAAGGCAGTGAATAGTGAGCAACCTGAGGCAGTGCCCCTCTGGATGGATGCGCAGTGCCTGGATGGAAACTGGCTCAGACAGAGCTCAGTTCTGCAGGTCCCTGAGGCATGGAGAGTTCACAGCTACCAAGTGTAGGAGTCTGGATTCAAAGCCAACGGCGTGACTCCAAAGTCCCTGCCCTAGCCCCTGGACCACCTTGCAGGCCCATCAGATGCCTTGGCCAGCAGCACAGCCGGCCAAGACCAGGGAAACTTCAGAGCACCCCCAGGTATTCCAGAGCCTCAGAGCACCCCCAGGTATTCCAACCTAATCCTGGTACCCCTGCCTCTCACCACCCTTCTTCCTGCTTTAACCTCAACCCCTACACAAAGCCTGGGCCACTTAATGTGGCATCAAACAGATGCCTCAATAAATCAGAGTGTAATCTTGAAAAAAAAATAAGACTTAACAGATACACAATTGCATGTTAGAATGCTAAAGACCATAAACATATAACAACTTAAAGTACATATAAATTCAATATATATCCAATCGTTGTGACTATGACACAGTAGAATATTAAAATACTATTTTCAAAATGTATACAAGCTTAATGTTCTATGTATTCAAACTATTTATTCAAAATACAAATCATCAACATAATTTGCCACTAATATTCAGTCCCTTCACAGGACACGATTCACTGGGAGTTAATAAATTAGCAGCCGGCAGGCAGTGACGCACAGCAAAAATGAAAACCAAGAGGTGAAATAGTTCTGAAATAAAGGTTTTAAAGCTAACAGAAATCACTGAATTACTAAGTCATTAGCACTAATTTTGAGCCGACTAACTAATTAATACGAGATGATACAATGTCCTATACTTTGGTAAATACAGACTATGTTTAAACAATGTCTGTAACGTGACTTTCAAAATGCTCCTGGCTTTACAAAGATGTGATTAAGACGTAGTAATACATGCTAAACCATTTCCCCCTGCAGAGCATGTGGTAACTTTCATCAGTCACACTGAGAGTCCAGAAGATAAAGGAAAAGGTCATGGATTTTGCTAAGAACTTACCAGAGTTGAACTCCCTCATTTTCCGTTCCCCAGCATTGGCGGGTTCTGGGACTGGTGGCTGTGGTGGCTCGTTGGTCTTTGTCTCTCAGAAGGTGGGGAATAATCATCATCTTGAAAAAGAAAAAATGGTCATTACTGAAGGAACCATCTTAGGTTACAGCCACCTCTGGGTCAATTCCCAACATTGAAAAGCTGAGCAGGGCTTTAAAGCTATCTTATTAATAATTATTTCTGTATTGCGAACTTCAGCATACTTTTTTCTAGTTACATTTGAAATGTTATTCTTTTGGGATGTGCTCAAGTGAATACTGCTTTTTCCTCTGTCTTGCTTTATTACTTTTTAGTTTGCTTCATTTGAATCATCATTTTAAGTCTCCCCTTCTCCTCAAATAACTTTCAAATTGCTGCCAAGAACTACGTTCTATTTTAAGGCTTTTGAGAAAAAACTTTCAATGAAGATAGCCACCTAAAGTTATACAAATATAGAAGAAACGGGATAAAATAAAGCTTAGATTGGAAAAAATATTTAAGATTATACAAAATTCAAGCATAAACAAGGGAAGCTGAGTAATTGTATGTTCAAATACTTTTAACAAGTGCAAAACATGTAGTCTTAAAGAAATAGAGCTGGCCAGGCATGGTGGTTCACGCCTGTAACTCCAACACTTTGGGAGGCCGAGGCAGGCAGATAACTTGAGGTCAGGAATTCGAGACCAGCCTGGCCAACATAGTGAAACCCCCTCTCTACTAAAAATACAAAAATTAGGCCAGGAGCGATGGCTCATGCCTGTGATCCCAGCACTTTGAGAGGCCGAGGCGGGTAGATCACCTGAGGTCAGGAATTTGAGACCAGCCTAACCAACATAGAGAAACCCCATCTCTACTAAAAATACAACATTAGCCGGGTGTGGTGGCACATGCCTGTAATCCCAGCTACTTGGGAGGCTGAGGCAGGAGAATCCCTTGAACCCGAAAGGCAAAGATTGTGGTGAGCCGAGATTGTGCCATTGCACTCCAGCCTGGGCAACAACAGCGAAACTCCATCTCAAAAACAAAAAAGAAAAAATTAGCCAGGCGTGGTGGCACATGCCTGTAATCCCAGCTACTTGGGAGGCTGAGGCAGGAGAATCGCTTGAACCCAGGAGGCTGAAGTTGCAGTGAGCCGAGACTGCACCATTGCACTCCAGCCTGGGTAACAGAGCAAGACCCTGTCTCAAAAAAAAAAAAAAAAAAAAAGAGAGAGAGAGAAAGAAAGAAAGAGGGCTACATTATTTATGAAACAGATACTGTTAACTCAGTCACCAGAAAGCCTGTGTATAAATGAGCAGTGAGATATCCAAGCACAGCACACACACACTTCTCAGGACAGCTGTCGTGAGAGTCCATGCTCGTTTCCTTCTGGATACATCAGCAACTCACTCTGCTATGATCCTGCAATACATCTCATGTTAGAATTAGAGACATCTGGGCCAGGCACAGTGGCTGACGCCTGTAATCCTAACACTTTGGGAAGCCGAGGCAGGCAGATCACCTAAGGTCAGGAGTTCGAGACCAGCCTGGCCAACATGGTGAAACGCTGTCTCTACCAAAAATACAAAAAATTAGCTGGGCATGGTGGCGCACGCCTGTAATCCCAGCTACTCGGGAACCTGAGGCAGGAGAATCGCTTGAACCCAGGAGGTGGAGGTTGCAGTGAGCCGAGATCGTGCCACTGCATTCTGCCATGGGTGACAGAGCCAGGCTCTGTCAAAAAAAAAAAAAAAAAAAAAAAAACAGAAAAAGAAAAAGAAAAAGAAAAAAGAATTAGAGACATCTGGATCAAATCAGCTGCCAGTCTCGCAAAGTGTCGGGTTAACATCCTATTAAGATTGCTGCTTACACATCATCTATAAAATACTGAAAATATCATTTTAAGAAATCTTTTTTTTACTTGGAGACAGAGTTTTGCTCTTGTTGCCCAGGCTGGAGTGCAATGGTGCGATCTCAGCTCACTGCAACCTCTGCCCCCTGGGTTCAAGCAATTCTCCTTCCTCAGCCTCCTGAGTAGCTGGGATTACAGGCATGCACCACCACGCCTGGCTAATTTTGTATTTTCAGTAGAGACAGGGTTTCTCCATATTGGTCAGGCTGGTCTCTAACTCCTGACCTCAGGTGATCCACTGACCTTGGCCTCCCAAAGTGCTGGGATTACAGGTGTGAGCCACCATGCCTAGCCAAGAAACCCTTATTTGAAAACAAGCCAGGTGCGGTGGCTCATGCCTATAATCCCAGCACTTTGGGAAGCCAAGGTGGGTGGATCACTTGACGTCAGTAGTTTGAGACCAGCCTGGGCAACATGTTGTAACCCCATCTCTACTAAAAATATATTTAAAAAATTAGCTGGGTGTGGTGGTGGGCACCTGTAATCCCAGCTTCTCAGGAGGCTGAGGCAGGAGAATCACTTGAACCTGGGAGGTGGAGGTTGCAGTGAGCGGAGATCATGCCACTGCACTCCAGCCTGGGTGACAATAGAAATACTCCATCTCAAAAACAAAACAAAACAAAACAAAACAAAAAACCACTAAAAAAAAGACTCCATTTCAAAAACAAAACTAAAATCAAAAACACAACACAAATGTAGTATACAAATGAAAATAATTACTGTGTTAAACACAGTTTCATAGAAAATAAAAGACCAATCAAATACAATAAGCTGCCTTTTTAGATGGGTATGTTATTCTTCTTTTACAGCTAAAGAAACAGGCTCAGAGAATGTTATTTGATTGGACCGTGTTGCATCTCTGGACAGTGCAGCTGAAATCAGACTGTGTGTGTAACTCCACTAGCCTACCAGGGTGCCTCTCATAAAGTTAGTAAGAAATGTAAATTTGGCCTAATATACAAAGTTGCCAGGGCAGCACTGGGTCAATTCTACATACAATACTTCTATGTTCATCAAGGGAAACCTTAAGGGAAAGTGAAAATGCTTTTAGAAGGCGACTGGACACCAGCGCCTTTGCTTGTTGCCTTTGGGCTCTTCTTCTAAGGCCAACAGTGACCTGAAATTATTGACTGACTTTTCCAATCAGGTGGACAAAATGGTACCAAGGTCGCCAACATCAGACAAATTCACTTGAGGGCCTTATCTGTGTGCTTTGAAAGACAAAACTGCTTTTGTAAAGGATACTTTACAAAAACATAATCACATTAATAACTAGTAACACTGTAAAATGCTGACGTGTTGAATGCTACTTTAGAAAAACATGTTCAAATTTAGGGAAAAAATTTGATACAAAACTACCTATCAATTATCTAGCTAGCTAGCTAGCTATCTCGAGACATGCTTTCATTCTATTGCTCAGGATGGGAAGCAGTGGGATTACCATAGCTCACTGCAGCCTTGAGCTCCTGGCCTCAAGTGATCCTCCTGCCTCAGCCTCCTAACTAGCTAGGGCCACAGGTGGACACAGTTACGCCTGGGTTTTTGTTTGTTTGTTTTGTAGAGACAGGGTTTCACTACATTGCCCAGGCTGGTGTCAAACTTTGGAGTCTCGCTGTGTCGCCCAGGCTGGGGTGCAGTGGTGCGATCTCGGCCCAATGCAACCTCCGCCTCCCCAGTTCAAGTAATTCTCCTTTACCAGCCTCCCAAGTAGCTGGGACTACAGGCATGCGCCACCACGCCCGGCTAATTTTTGTATTTTTTGTAGAGACTGGGTTTCACCATGGCCAGGCTGGTCTCCAACTCCTGACCTCAGGTGATCCACCCACCTCGGCCTCCCAAAGTGTTGGGATTACAGGCGTCAGCCACTGAGCCTGGCGGAGCACTTTCTTATGTTATTAAGTAGCCTAACCCAGGTGGGGCGCGGTCCCTCATGCCTGTAATCCCGACAACTCTGATGGCCAAGGTGAGAAGATCGCTTCAACTCAGGAGTTCGAAACTGGCCCGGGCAACATAGCGAGGCCCTCCCCCTATCTCTAGAAAAAAATACGAAAATTAGGCCAGGTGCGCACCGCGCCCGGCTAATTTTTGTATCTTTTGTAGAGACGGGGTTTCGTCATGTTGCCCAAGCTGGTCTCGAACTCCTGAGCCCAAGCCATCCATCCTCCCGCCTCGGCCTCCCAAAGTGCTGGGATTACAGTAGGGCCCAGCCAGCCTCATGTTTTATTTAGTAGTCCCTCCCTGTTGCACACTTGGATAGATTTTTAATTTTTTTAGACAGGGTTTACCTCAATCTCGCAGGCTGGAATGCTGTGGTGGGATCATAGCTCACTGGAGCCTTGAACCTTTGGGTTCAAGTAGCTGGGGGTCTGAGGTAGGACTACAGAGATGGGGTTGCGCCATGTTGCTAGGCTGCTCTTGGCCTGAAGGGTCCTCCCGCCTCGGCCACGCCAGACATAGTTTTCTATTTTTGACCAACATAAACACTGTGCTGGGTCTGAATTTTTCAGCTACCCTTCTTCAGCCGGCAACACACAGGACCTGGCGGGGAGGTCACTGTTATTAGTCCCCACTCTGATGAGAAGACTGCCCAGCTCCAGGTACTGTAGCGCCCCAGTGACGTAGGCGAACACCCGCTCCTGTGGCGTCGCGGAAGGCCCACCTCTATGGTGTCGGCGAAGACGCGCCCTTGTGACGTCACGGAAGGCGCGCTCTTGTGACTTCGCAGGAGACCGCCACTCACGCGGAGCCAATCGGAACTCGCGGCGGGGTTGCTGGGTCTTCCAGGATCGCGCATTAGCGGACGCTGGCTACGGGTGGCCGGGCGGGATGTAACCGGCTGCTGAGCTGGCAGTTCTGTGTCCCCAGGCTTCGGCCCGGCCGCCGCCGCACATAAACTGCGAGGAGGAGCTTTACGACTTCTCGGTCTTCGGGGCCGGGCGCAGCAAGGGCCAGACTCTGCGCTAGCAGGCGCTGCGCGCCAACCGGCCGGCCCCTGTCGCAGAAGGTGCAACCGATCGCACTGTCGCGCAGAAGCTCCTCAATGGCCAGCGCCAGCTGCAGCCCCGGCTGCCCACTCGCCTCACCTGAGCCTGGGTACGTGCGCCCCACAACACCTCCACCAGCCAGGGCCCGGGGACTCCCGGTAGCGTCCCCGGCTACCTGGCGCCGTTCATCCTGGGCAGGGTCGGCCCCCTCTGAGGCTGCCCGGCATGAGGGAGCTGCACCCCTGAGCTTGACGTCTGACGGCCCTTTGTAATAGCATTAAGTCTTTGAAACTTTGTAGCGGGGTAGAAGGGGCTAGGAAACGAAGAAAACATCTTTTTAAAAATATAAGCGATCGGCTGGGCGAGGTGGCCCACGCCTGTAATCCCAGCACTTTGGGAGGTCGAGGCGGGTGGATCACGAGGTCAGGAGTTCAAGACCAGCCTGGCCAGCATGGTTTCACTGAAACCCGGTCTCTACTAAAAACACAAAAATTAGTTGGGCCTGGTGGCGGGTGCCTGTAATCCCAGCTACTCGGGAGGCTGAGGCAGAGAATTGTTTGAACCCGGGATGCGGAGGTTGCAGTGAGCTGAGATCGCGCCACTGCACTCCAGCCTGGGCAACAGACCAAGACTCCGTCTAAACAAACAAATATATGTGTGTATATACATGCGATCGAGCCCGGGAGGTTGAGATTACAGTGAGCTGAGATTATATAAGCGATCAAGCACGGGAGGTTGAGGTTACAGTGAGCTGAGATTGCGCCATTGCACTCCAGCCCGTGTAACAGAGGGAGACTCTGTCTCTAAAAAATTATATGCAAGTGAGAGCTTTTCTTCCAGCCCTCATGCTCAGACTGAAGAAAGTAATTGGGCCAGGCCCGGTGGCTCACGCCCCTAATCCCAGCATTTTGGGAGGCGGAGGCGGAAGCGGGTGGATCGCTTGAGCTCAGGAGTTCCAGACTAGTTTGGGCAACATGGTGAAACCCTGTCTCTACAAAAATACAAAAAATTAGTTGGGCATGGTGGCATGCACTTGTAGTCTCCGCTACTTGCGAGGCTGAGGCGGGAGGATCGCTCAGCTGCAGCCTCGACCTCTTGGGGCAATCCATTTCAGCCGCCCAAAGTGCTGAGATTACAGGAATGAGCCATCGTGCCTGGCTTTACACTATATTTTAATACTTTTTTTGAAAATGGAAAGTTTTACAGGCAATTCACTTCCTTCAAACTAATGATAAGGAAGTGATGCTGTTCTGTTCTGTTTTGTTTTTTGTTTTTGTGTTTTTTTTTCTTTTTTGAGATGGGGTCTTTGCCCAGGTTGGAGTGAGGTGGTGCAAACAAGGCTCACTGCAGCCTTGACCTTCGGGCTCAAGGAATCCTTCCCTGTCAGCCTCCCCGGTAGCTAGGACTACAGGTGCATGCTACCACGCTTGGCTAATTCTTTTTTTGAAATGGAGTCTCACTCTGTCTCCCAGGCTGGAGTGCAGTGGTGCAATCTCGGCTCACTGCAGGCTGGTCTCAACCTCTGACTTCGGATGGTCCACCCACTTCTGCATCCCAAAGTGCTGGGATTACAAGTGTGACCCACCGCGCCTGGCGATTTTGCTCATTTTAGATACTAGAACTTTTTAATTTAAATTTTTTTTTCACTGAGATGGAGTCTTACTTTGTCTCCAGGCTGGAGTGCAGTGGCGTAATCTCGGCTCACTGCAACCTCCGCCTCCTGAGTTCAAGCGATTCTCCTGCCTCAGCCTGCCAGAGTTGCTGGGACTACAGGTGCGCACCACCGCACCCAGGAGTTCAAGGCTGCAGTGAGCCATGATCGTGCCACTGCACTCCAGCCTGGGCAACACAGCGAGACCCTGACTCCACAAATAAATAAATCAACATCATATGATCTGTACCAGGGTATAGGCAGGTGCTATGATCCCCACTTTTCATCCTCAACTCTAAGTTGAGTCATACATCAACCTCTAGTAAAAAGTGGCATGCTCTCAGTCAAAGGGGTAAGCCCAAACCACGTGGAGAGAATCTTATCTCTTTTGAGAGCTAATATAAAAAGAATTCCTCCTAGGCATAAAAATATTGTGACATCAGTTACTTAGGCTAAACATGCCTATTATGCTAAGTGAGTTATTAACAATAAATACTTTAACTCTGTGCCATGTTAATTATCATAATCTGATTTATAATTTGTTTTAACCTTAGGTTATATATACCTTGAAGCCATTTATATTTTGGTATACTTGTAATAGTTACTATACACTGGACTATGTATATTGGACTAAACATGGAGAGTCAAAAAAGAGTATGTGGTCAGAGTAGAAATCATGCCCTAGCTTCCTTCGTGTCTACCTCCTACCTTGAGTAGAAGCGGTAGAAAAAGTAATTACCTAAGATTTTTTGGATTCTGGTTTGTGGAGAAGCACCCTTATATTTAGGCTGATGGGTGGCGAAATTAGAAAGTATTTTTTGTGATTTAGAATTTTATACGGAGATGTTCATTGTGATTAATTATTCTTTGTATTAGCAGATTTTTGCTTTTTATAGCTGCATGATTTCTTGTTTATTATTCATTCATTATTGTCTATTAATAAAGAAAAACTTTATTTCACTGAAGCAGTGATACATAATCCAACTTGGATTTTTAAATAATGACTGACTTTTTTCTTTGGGAATACATTACTGTTAAAAATGTAGATTATTAGATACATTACTTTTAATGAATATAAGTGGTATAATTAGAAGGCTGAAAAGAATCCTTGGAAACGTGAGTTTAATTTGATAGCTAAGAAACTGAGGACAAGATACTTATTCTTTGTAGCGTATTTTCTAATGTCATTTCATTGTCTCACCAAGAAATACTTGCATAAAGCAAGTTCAATTATAGCATCTGTTGAATATTTAAGGTTGGGTAAAGTGGGTGAGTTTAACAGATATTTTCCCTTATTTCTTTTAGGTGAATCTGGACTGGGAAAGTTGACATTAATCAACTCATTATTCCTCACAGATTTGTATTCTCCAGAGTATCCAGGTCCTTCTCAGAGAATTAAAAAGACTGTACAGGTCTAGATATTAGTATTTTTAATTGATGATAAGCTGGAATAATATTAATACACACAAAGCACATGTTGTAACTTTTATTATGCTTCCTTAGAGGTAAGATGCAAATTTGCCCTTAGCCAGTGTAAGATGGTAAATATGACTTCATAAAATTAAAAAAACAGAAGAAGTACAGTTAATCAAAAGAATTATCTTGACTAGAACTTTCCAAATTTGTCCTAAGGATTCTCCTAGAGATGACACTGTGACATAGTAACCAATTCCCCTGGAGTTGTGCTATGTCGTATGATAGTCATTTGCCACATGTTTAAATCAATTAAAATTAATTAAATTAAAATGCAATTTCTCATTTGCTCCAGATACATTTCAAGTGCTCAACAGCCACATGTGGCAAGTGGCTGCCATTTTGTGCAGCACATATATGAAGATTTTCATCATTGTAGAAAATTGCATTGGACAGTGTAGAGAAAACATGATTCATAGAAAAGCTATTGTTATTTAAATACAGTGTTCTATATTAGTCGGTGGGATAATACCATATCATAGTTGAATGGCAATAGCAATTCTGTAAGACTCCCAAGGTATATGTGATCTAATTTACTGCTTCTCAGTCTTTGCTATGAATTCCAATCCTGGGTATCCTGTTAAATTTAGTTCTTCTAGTAGTTCTGAGATGGGCTGCCTTTCTACATTTCTAACAAGATCCCAGGTGATGCTGATGCTGCTGGATGGTAGATCACACTTTATAAAGCAAGGGGCTAGACTCTAGATATGCACTTTTTATTAAATAGTACAGCAGCCTGTAGCCACATGTGGCTATTAATCTTTGAAATGTGGGTAGTCTGAATTGTGATGTTCTGCAAATATAAAATATACCACAGATTTCTAAGACTGAGCATGGAAAAGAAAATCTCCGTAATTTTTTATATTGATTGTATACTGCAGTGATAATATTTTGGATGTATCGGGTTAAATAAAATTGACTGATTTCACCTTTTTCCTATTTTAAAAGTGGCTACTAAGAAAATTTTAAATTACTTACATGATTGACATGGTATTTTTATTTGGCAGCGCTGCTCTAAGCTGTTAATGAAAAATATTGTTGGTGAGCTCTGCTTAGGTAATATATAGGACACGAGCAGAGAGGAGGCACGTGAACAGTTCTGGCGGGAGTAGGCTTCATTGAGGCCGTGATGCTTTTAGCTGGATTTGAAGAAGTGGTAGTGATCATCCCAGTGCACAGGATAGTAGGGCAGTCTATATATTCTGAGCAGTAACTCATACATATCATACTGCAAGACCCCAAAGGAGTAATTTTGTGAAGTAAATATCTTATTTCTCCTTTTTAATGTTTCCATTTTAGGAATTTTTTTTTTTTTTTTTTTTTTTTTAGTAACCTTCATAGGGCTTGAGATTTAAAATTACCTGCAAAATTCTACTCTAAAAACTTGATCCTACATGCTTATTTATTTTGTGATAAATATTGGAAATTTTAAACCTAAGTAAGAAAATGAACTTTGAACTATCTTAATTTGGGTATCTGTTATGAATACCTTCACTTAAGTATTTATGAATTTAGATATGAAAGGTAAAACTAACCACTATCCAAATTAATATACAGTTCATTTCCAGAACCCTAGTTTCTTCCATGTGCTCACTCTCATTCAGTATTACAACCCCCAAAGATAAACACCATACTGACTGCCTTCTCCATAAATTTGCCTGTTCTTGAACGTTATATACATATACTTTTTTGTATCTGTTTTCTTTCAGTGCAGATTATGTCTGTATTATTTACTCATGTTGGGTGTAGTTGTTTTTTCATCGTCGTATAATACTCCATTGTGTGACTGTATCAGTATATATCCTTTATTATTTATTGTAGATAAGCCTTTGGGTTTTCAGTTTTTTACTAACGGGAACATTCTTGTGTATGTCTTAGTAGACTTAGGCACTCATTGCTGTTGTGTGTGCATAAAGATATAGAGGTATTTGAGTTTATTTTATTTGATTTCTAGTGAGGTTGAACATGTCTTTTGTACTCAATAACTGTTCAGATTTCATTAAAGTGTTTTGGTAATCTTAATATTTTCTGTCATTTTCTTGCTGATTTATAGGAGTTTGAAAAATCTAATAATCCCCTACATTTTAGATATTGCAGACATTTTCTCCCCAGGTGAGCATCTGTTAAAGATGTGACATGCCCTCAATTTACTAGAATTCTTACATTGGCTTAGCTTCAAAATAAATTGCCTAAACCCATTTTACCTTCCTTTAAAGTAACACTTCAAAAATATCCTCTTCTGTTTTGAATATCTTCTCGGAAACTCTCTTTATCTTGAAAACAAAGGGGTAATGGAGGTGAGAATATCTCTGGTAGGATTTTTAAGACAGGCCTGTGCACCACTGTTAAATATCTTTTCTTTACCAAAAAGAAGACCTGTAGCATTTGAGAACCAGATTGATCCTTAGTAGAATCTTGTAGAAGTCCTCTTTCCTGATTGAACCATGGAGGTGTATTCCTTTATATACTGAAAACTAGCTGAAGATAATGTAAACTCTTTTGCCCAGTTAGGAAAGAACATGCCATATTACGGACAGGGTCAGAGTCATTCAAGAAGCCTGAATATAGTTAGAAAATGAGAATGTAATCTTTTTAATAGTTGGCTGGCTCCTTACCAAGCCCGGTCGTCTTGAAGATATAGGGGAAATAGTGTAAACGGTTGTCAAGATAAATCTAAAATGGAAATTAATCAGTTTCCTAGAATAGATTGAGAAATTAGCTTTAGGAAAAAGATAAATTTCACACACACTCTACCATGGAAGGTACAGTGCTGATTCAGACAGACTGGGAATGGTCTCATTTTTAAGTGGTGATGTGAGGTACTTCACTGAGCATTGTGACAGGCACGGGCTTGGGAAGAGCCTATTAGGAAATGGGAGAGGCATGAGATTAAGGAGCACATAAGAGGAATATTAGCAGAGAAATTCTTGTTGAGGTTGAAGGTCATGAATTTTATGGTATAGGAATAGAAAGATGGGTTAATCCAGAATGGGATTTGAGTTGGAAAGGGAAAGAAATAAAGGTTTTGGGAAGGAGGTTGCTAGTAGAAATTAAGAGGGGCAAGGGATTTGAGGCTCAGTGTAAGGAGACAGGGATATGAGGAGTGGAGAGGTTCAGAATAGAAAGCCAAATTAGAGTTTTGGGATCAACTTTCTTCTTAGTAAAGTAGTTCTGGGTCTTCATGAGAAGAAAGTATTCTTTAGGCATAACTGTTCTACTATTGGTTACTTCCTCTTTCATTTTCTTGTGGAACACGATGAAATATTTAAGATGATATTTGTCTTTTGAGCCAATAAATAAGGGAAATAGATAGTTTTTGTGTTTGAGCTAAGTGGAGTATCTCAGGCCATTCCAATGTCTTCAGAGTTTTGGCTGTAATGCTACCTCTTGAGCAAGTGTAGGTAGAGGTAAGCTCTTGAAAGAAAATGTTAACCCTCTCTTCAAAATGTTATATGCTTAATTAAATAACTTCTTAATTTACCTTAATAAATGGCACGTAAACATTAAGTTAGAAAAGGTTAGTGTATATGAAGCTGTATAATCAACATTGTTTGACTTTTTTTCCTCAGATTGTAAAACTGAAAACTCGGTATACTAATACTCTTGTATACTGTATACACTCAGTATTAGAAAATGAGTACCTTGGATTTCTGGAATCTCAGATTCCAAAAGAGGTCTCAATAGATGAATTATACATAGATGATTCATAGACGATAGTTTTAGTTTTATTTATTTTTCAGGGAAAAACAGTTGAAAATGCCCTTGATTCATTCTTTTGGTATTAGATGATGCAGCTAATCTTAGAGAACCCTGAGTGATGCCATAAAAGATGTTGATGTGACCTGCTTAAGGGAAGTGCGTGGGAAAGTGACCATTTGGAATAGATTTGTTAGAAAAGTTTGAAATTCTTGGACTTGAACTAATTTGTTTTCCATGGATCCCATGAGGATACTTGTAAAAGCAGATGATAGGATACAGTTGGATCCTGTGAATGGCACTAGTTTACAGTTATGTTTTCTGGATCTCTTCCATATGTCGCTGACTTCTTTGTATTTGACCATGTATGGACATACAGAATTTCATAGGCCAGAGAAGAAAAGAAGCTTTATAAACATTCCTTATGTGTGTAAAATACAAATCTTCATTTGTCTTAGCAAGTCAATAAGTAATTAAGTTGTTGGACTGATTTTTTTTTTTAAACAGGGAAATATCTTAAAATTTAAGCTGTTAGGTTAAAATGTGTATTTGGTATACAGCATATTACTGAAGGTAGAATGGGCTTCATTTGGTAATAAAGGAACCAGAAATATTTTTAAGTAAAATTGGGAGATGATTCATGTAGATTAACTATGTTGTTGTATCACTTTCTAGAATACAGTACTATGTTGTTTAAAAGAGTAAGTACGTAAAGGAGTGGTATAATTACTTTGGATATTTCTGCTTCAGCCACAGTTACCATGAATAAATGATCTGTCTTTATAAAGGAGAGGGAGGTGAATTCAAGATATTGAGATGTTAGATTTGACTGGGTTGTCCTTTGACTAGAAGATCACCAGATAAAGAAAATGTAAACTACCTAAACCAGATAAGATGATATTGTTAAAAATTTTTTTTGGCCCAGCACTTTGGGAGGCTGAAATGGGAAGATTGCTTGAACCCAGGAGTTTGAAGCTGCAGTAAGCTATGATCTACCATGCACTCCAGCCTGGGCAACAGAGTGAGACCCTGACTAAAAAAAAAATTTTTTTTCCTTTGGTTCTCATGATTTCACACTGATGAATCTGATTGTTTTCTCTGAGTCATTTTGCCTCTCTCATGTTATTAGGGTAACCTGATAATAGACATGTTATCTTAGTTATGTGGTATGTAACAGTGATCTTCTAAATGATGTGCATCCATCACTGATGCTGAGGATGATCAGAAACTATTACAACTCTTATTTATTGATGTTTACTTTTAATCTACAGATAAATGATAATACATATTAATACTTAATATTCAGATTGCCAATAATATATATTTGGTGGGTAAATATCTTTTGGATCTGCAAAATTTTCACTGATAGTTTGTATCAGGATCAAAGCAGTTTCAAGAACATTAATCTAAAAGATAAGACTTTGGCATCTCATTTCTCTAAAAGATAAGTCATGCATGTCCACATCTCAGGCAATTTTTTTCAGTTTTATAAGTTTTATTCTTGATAATAAAATTCTTTTAACAGAAAACTCTTGATTGCTATAGACCTCTGCTGTGTATTCAGTAGTCACTAGCCACATGTGGCTATTTAAGTTAATTCAAATTAAATAAAATTAAATATCAGTTCCTTATTTGCACTAGTCAGATTTTAAGGAGTAAGTAGCCACATGGGCAAGTGGCTACCATATTGGACAGTGTGGATACACAACAATTCCATCATCTCAGAAAGTGTTATTGGATAGTGTGGCTACAGACTTTTCTTGCTCAGCAATCTTAGTCTCCGCATGTTAGTCTCTTCATGCATTAGGTAGCATCTATAAAACATGCCAAAAGGAAATAGGCTATCTGTAAAAGTGTCCCAAACTTTTTGTCTTGTAAATTAGCTTATCAGCATACTTGGAGCCTCTTGCCTTAATAAGGACTTGATATAAATATGTATCAGGAGAAAGCCTATCTTATGAAGGAATTATTCCCTTTTTATTTGAATCCGTGTTTGCTTTATCTTGGGCTCCTGAAAACTGATACTTTGCATTTAATAGCAGCATATGCCCAGGATGAATGATAATACATCTTCTGATACAGAGCTTGAGGTTACAGAATATCTTAAATTGTTCCAGGAACTGTTGTTATCATTTAAGTCCAATAATCAGTAAGGTTTCACCCTACCAGAATACACTTTTTTTTATTAACTGTCTGGACTTTTGCTGATTACATTGTCCAGAATGTGGAGTATCGCATTTGAGAAGAGGATTGGATCCTAGCCATAACATAAATATAAGGGTAATTACATCCATGCTGAGAAAGATTTAGGAATGATAGTAAGTTCACTTGAGTGAGTGGTTTGGGCCAAACTTGATAGAGAATAGTCCAGGAAGACATTTACTATAAACAGTAGATTAAATGTTCTTGCCTGATTAATTACATTTGAACTCTGTGAATGACTGAATCACTCAATCTGCTTATTTGTATTATTAGATGCACATTTAAGTTATGTATTACATGTCTTTAGTGGTGATCACTATTTTATCAGTTCCTCTGTCTTTCTTTATACCAAGTATGACTCATAAACCCAGTATTAATTTTCCAAGAGATTGGCATACTATTTGTATATACGCTTTTCTTTCAAATAATCTGGATTCCCAATGCCCACAATCATTGATCCTAAAGAAAATGTGGGAGTAGGTAGATAAACTCAAACATCCCTACCATCACCCCTGGTAGGAAATCACTGGTGTAATGTATGATACTAACATCTGCACCAATTACTCTTATAGGTGGAACAATCCAAAGTTTTAATCAAAGAAGGTGGTATTCAGTTGCTGCTTACAATAGTTGATACCCCAGGATTTGGAGATGCAGTGGATAATAGTAATTGGTAAGAAGGATTTGTCCTCACAACTTTCCAGTGTATTTGGGGTACTGGGGTGGTTAAACTTTCTCTTCTTAACATTTTAAAACTCTTCTTAGCAAAGGTCACCAAACTTCAAGTAACATGACAGGTTTGTATACCAGCTTTGCCACTTATTTGACAAAGTTTAACTTCAAAGTTAAACAAAGAAGTTTAACTTCTTTGAACCCATTTACTTTTCTATAAAATGGAGATAATACCTATCATAAAAATTGTTTTTAAGACATGTTCCAAAATAACGTAGCTAGATAGAAGAATTCTCATTATTGTAAGAAATTTAAAACTGTTTGCTTTAATTTTATCCATTTGTATAAATTCTATCTCAATCCTAATTTAAACCTGATATTTAGACCTTCAGTTTTTCCATAAGTCCTAAGTGAAGAAAACAACTATGAAATTTTAGTCTGAAGTAATTATCTTAGTATTTTATAAATAACTTTTATTTTTGTTTGAATTCACATTGTTTTTGAGGTATTTTTCTGTCAACTCTTAAAACTCCTAAGTTCATCATGAAGTTTTTATATTATTTAAAGTAATCTCTCATTTGAAATTTGAAACTGAATATAATTGTTTTCATATTATGAAGTGTGTTATTAATACACTTACTAGTGCCAGTAATATGCTAATAATTTAGCTGTGTTTCAACAATAAATATTTTCTTTCATTTGGAAAGTTTTGAAATAATAAAGATTTATTCAACATAATTTATATTTTTGAATCTTTATATAGAATAACTTGACATGTCTTCCATTGGTAAATTCATTTTGCCTATTTGAAAATATTGATTATTGTTCTTTAACAGTCATCAGTTAATTCATATATAGAATTGCAACTTAATTGTTTTGTTTATTTGCATTCTATAGCTGGCAGCCTGTTATCAATTACATTGATAGTAAATTTGAGGACTACCTAAATGCAGAATCGCAAGTGAACAGATGTCAGATGCCTGGTAACAGGGTGCACTGTTGTTTATACTTCATTGCTCCTTCAGGACATGGGTCAGTAACCTGATACTTCTGATTCCTTTTTGTTGTTGTTGCTTACTGTTACCTTTATGTGCATATTTGAGTAATCTTTAAGTTTGTGAAGTACATACAACTATACCCATTATTAAGTACCAAATTTCATGTAGAAATGTCTTAGTTGAAAAGCCTTTTTAAGTCCTGTGTAAGCTAACAGTGATTTTACTCCTTAGTTCTTCATTCATGAGGATTTTCCCTGCTTCATGGAAATAAACAGTGTTGCCACCATGGTTTGAGGTCTCAGTGTGGCAAATTTAGCTTTCATGTTGAACTACCAAATAAAGAGAAGCAGCCAAACCAGTTAGACATATTCAAAATAAATCCAAAGATGCTATTTATTATAAGTCTCATAAGAGATGGTTATCAAAAGCACTTGCATGCCAATGTTTTCTTGTGCCATTTCTTTCTGCAAGAAATCTGTTTGGCTTCTGTTTCACCTTAGCTGTCATAGACATGTCGTTTAAGTATCATATTGTCAGTACTAACCTTTTGTTTATTAGGACATAAGATCTAAGAATCTAGACATTAATCTGATGTGATTGTTCTGTTTGTTATAGTTAGCCTGTACTCCCTTTTTTTGTTCTTCGTACTTCCCCTTTCATTTTGAGTACATATATGTGTCATTTGTAACTGCAGATTTTTCCAATTATTCTTCCTCAGTCTTTTCCTTTGGGTAAGTAACTCAGCATACATAATTCAGCCACCTGGTGATTGTAACTCCACCATCTCTCCACCAAAAGAACTGTAGTAGCATCAGGCTAAATAGCATTAAGTTATCTAACACTCACATTACAGTAGAGTAAACCAATTCCTTCAGGTATACCTTTCTCTTCCATTTTTGGCTTCTCGCTCTCTTTTTTTTGTTTGTTTTTATAGATGGGTCAATGCCCATTATCACTGTAGATGGATAAGGGAGCCTTAATTATATACTTATATTTTTGCACTGTCAGATTGGAGTGGGGTAAAAATGTTTCTTCTTTTATGTCTAATACTCTTGTTTTTTTTTGTTTTTTTGCTGTGCCCTAGACCGTTACATAACTGAAGACTCCCACCTTCAGGCAGGATTGGGTAGTACATGTTTGTAACTACCTGGCATTGCCTTTTGTTGAGGTAATTTCAGTTTTTATTATTATTATTAGTAGTAGTAGTATACTTCTACGGTATATGTTCACAATGTGCAGGTTTGTTACATATGTATACATGTGCCATGTTTGTTTGCTGCACCCATTAACTGGTCATTTACATTAGGTATTTCTCCTAATAGTATCCCTCCCCCATCCCCCACCCCACGACAGGCCCTAGTGTATGATATTCCCCGCCCTGTGTCCAAGTGTTCTCATTGTTCAATTCCCACCTATGAGTGAGAAACACCTATGCGGTGTTTGGGTTTCTGTCCTTGCGATAGTTTGCTCAGAATGATGGTTTCCAGCTTCATCCATGTCCCTGCAAAGGACATGAACTCATCCTTTTTTATGGCTGCATAGTATTCCATGGTGTATATGTACCACATTTTCTTAGTCCAGTCTATCATTTTATGGTGTTCTCAGTTTACATATTTAAATCACTAAACTGACTCTTTGACTTAAAAGGCTCAAAAAAAGTCATCTCAAAAATACAACACACTGTATAACCTTTTATAAGTATTTGTGTAGCTTCTTGAATTTATATTTTTAAATCATTCTCATTTAACTTGTCAGGGCCTTTTCCTGAAAGCCAGCAGAGTGAAATCTTAACCTGCAGTTAAGTCAATAAAATTTGTTAGCTTATAACCAATTTTATTATTTTAGATTTTCCGAACTCTCTCCAACTAGGGTAATTCTCATGAAATCACATTCCTGCCATCCCTTTGGGGAAAATTTTATTTCTTAAAATTGCATGGGAAATGAGAGCTTTTTTAAAAGAAAAAGATTTTTATATTCAAATGATATGTAGTGGCTTTGTGCCATTTCTTATTTGTCACAAGGGGTAAGATGTTTAAAATTGCTATATCTTATATATAAAAATGTACCTTTGAATAATTTCTTAGTTTAACTATTTTTAGAAATGAAGCAAAGTTTTGCCCATTGGTACATGATATTGTGGATTAAGTGAAAGAATATGAGGCTGGGCATGGTGGCTCATGCCTGTAATCCCAGCACTTTGAGAGGCTGAGGCAGGCGGATCACCTGAGGTCGAGAGTTCGAGACCAGCCTGACCAACATGGAGCAACCCCATGTCTACTAAAAATACTAAATTAGCTGGCCGTGGTGGCACATGCCTGTAATCCCAGCTACTAGGGAGGCTGAGTCAGGACAGTTGCTTGAACCTGGGAGGTGGAGGTTGCGATGAGCCGAGATCACACCATTGCACTCCAGCCTGGGCAACAAGAGTGAAACTCCATCTCAAAAAAAAAAAGAATATGACACAGAATTTTATGTATAGAGTTCCAGGTACCCTGCTCACTACAGACTGAAATTCTATGCAGTCTAGTAAATGAATCAGAGCCTTTCCATCTTGTCTAGGTAGTCCCTAGGTTCCCTTTTTAGAGGGTTTTGTTTTTAGAGTGATTATAAATTCGTCCAACAGTGCACTTTCAGTGCCTCCTACCTCCCTCTACCAAGTATGAACTGCATGCACGGCTGATTTATGATTTTGGCTATTATCGCTTCATGTGTGTTCTTCACTATTTTGTAACTGTTATTAAAGTAAAATACTGACTTGGAACATGAATTTTAAAATGGTGTTTTATCCTTCTAGTATTGATTCCCACTTTTAGAAAAATTGGTGTCATCCAGTGAGTTTTATACAGAAGGATTTTTTCCCTTAGAAATACATACATACAAAAAAAATTTGTCACTTTCCCTGTAGTTGTTTATTATGCTGTAGAATTTGAGGCTAAATAGTCTTTTCTCTCTACTGTGGGTTTATCTTCTAGAAATGATAAAGGATTTTCTATTTCTTAAAAACAAGATTTAAAGACTAAATTTGTTGATGAAAAGACTAGCCAATATAAATCTAAATGGACAGAGGGAAAAAATTCAACCGGAATGTAATACACATGTGAACTAAATGTTTTCTGTTGCTGACGTCTTGTAGGCTTCTGAAATTTAATGAGACTTTTACAAGGTTTACCTTTTTTCCTAAAGTTTAATTTCTAAACTGACTTAAATGTTTTTTGACCCTTTGGTTATATTTAAGAAGTTGACTTCTCTAATTTCCTTGTCACGTTTATTTTTAAATATCTTTCTCTTTAAAAGTTGGGATACTATAATAAATATTCAGCAAGTATTTTGCATTTAAAGATAAAATCTTCTTATTTGGATTTTAATACTTTATATTAAATGCCTTTAAGATTTATTAAAATTTTAGGTTAACTGAACTCTGCTTTTTTGTCACTGGATTAATAAGCAGGCTTGTATCTGACATAATAGCTTAATAAGGCAGTGACAATTTAAATTTGTCATGAGTATAAATTGAAAAATCATAACAATTTAGAAATCGGAGATTGAATATTTCATGGCATTTATATTTAGTGTTTTATATAATGATTAATGAAAAGAAGCAAAACTTAAATTTTTTTTCAAAGATGGATAGGTTCAGGCCAGATGCAGTGGCTTACTCCTGTAATCCCAGCACTTTGGGGACCAAGGCAGGAGGACCATTGCTTGAGGCCACAGACTAGGCAACATAGTGAGATCCTGTCTCTACAAAAATTTAAAAATTAGTTGGGGCTGGGCGCAGTGGCTTACGCCTGTAATCCTAACACTTTGGGAGGCTGAGGCAGGTGGATCACCTGAAGTCAGGAGTTCAAGACCAGCCTGGCCAACATGGTGAAACCTCGTCCCTACTAAAAATACAAAAATTAGCCGGGCATGGTGGTGGATGCCTGTGATCCCAGCTACTCGGGAGGCTGAGACAGGAGAATCACTTGAACCCGGGAGGCGGAGGTTGCAGTGAGCCGAGATTGCGCCACTGAACTCCAGACTGGGCAATAAGAGCGAAACTCAAAAAAAAAAAAAAATTAGTTGGGCATGGGGGTGCACTCCTGTAGTCCTAGCTACCCAGGAGTCGAAGTGGAAGAATTGGAGGCTATGGAGAGCTATGACTACACCACTGTACTCCAGCCTGGGTGACAGAGCAAGACCCTGTCAAAAAAATAAATAAATAGAAATGGATAGGTTCTTTTAGTTAACACTAGTGAGGCAAGAACACAGTTTACAGATAATCTAAACAGTGTTATTCCATCCACACACTCTTTTTCATTGTGCTCCCTATTCTCTGAATGCCAGTGTCAAATTTCAAGGGATTTAAGATAAGGAGAATTAGAATAGGAGGCAACTATCTTAATTCTCCATATTTGCATTCTCCCCCTCACTGTCTCTGTCTTTCTGCCTGTCAGCCTTACCGCCACAGTGAAGTATATGCGGTAATCTTTGTTAGTAAAAAGGACTGGACTATCTTATTAGTTTTAGGGCCCTAATCCCCCCAATTTTAATATATATGTTTCTCTTTCTTCATTTTAAAATGTGAGTCAATTCAATTATTAGTATTAGTCAATAAAATTAATAACAGAATGAGACTTTTGTTTCATTTTTCTCATGTTTTTATAAAAGTTAATGAATACCTCCGGGCACGGTGGCTCACGCCTGTAATCCCAACACTTTGGGAGGCTGAGGCAGGTGGATCAGGAGGTCAGGAGTTCGAGACCAGCCTGACCAACATAGTGAAACCCAGTCTACTAAAAATACAAAAAAATCAGCTGGGCATGGTGGCGGGTGCCTGTGATCCCAGCTACTCAGGAGGCTGAGGCAGGAGACTTACTTGAACCTGGGAGGCGGAGGTTGCAGTGAGTCGAGATCATGCCATTGCACTCCAGCCCGGGCAAGAGTGTGAGACTCCGTCTCAAAAAAAAAAAAAAAAAAAAACAGTCAAGGAATACCACTTTAGAATGATAGTCCTTTGCAAAATATTTCTAGTATCTTCATTTATTCTTGTGAAACATTAAATTTTAGTCCACAGTATATTCTAGATTTGAGGACTTTGATTCTCATTTAGAATTACTAAAGGAAAATTACAGCAGCTTACTTTTTTTGTCAACAAATATTTGGGCACCTTCTCGAGTGTTAGATACCATGCTAAGTGCTGAGGATACAGATGAATGAGATAAAGCCCTCACTGTAAAGGGTATTTCAATGAGAAGATGGGAGAAACAAATACAGATGCTCCTTGACTTGGGACAGGGTTACATAAACCCATCATAAGTTGAAGATACGTTTGATATACCTTGCCTACTAAACATTATAGCGTAGCCTACAGTTGGGCAAAATCATCTAACATAAAGCCTATTTGTAATAATGTTTTGAATATCTCATGTAATTTATTGAATACTGTACTGAAAGTAAAAAACAGAATGGTTGTATGGTTTCTATTCAATGCGTATTGCTTGCACACTATCAAAAAGTTGAAAAATTGTTAAGTGGAACCATAGTTGGTGAGGAACCATCTGTATGCAGGCAGGCAGTTACTGTACAGCACATTAAGTGTTGTGACCACATAGAAATATGCCTAGTCTTAGGTTAGAAAAGGATTCCCAGTGGAAATTGGATCGTAAGCCAGTGTCCTAAAGGATGAATAGGAATTAGCCAGGCCAAGGAGAAGGAGGATGAGAATGGAGGGTGTTCCAGCCAAGGTAATAGCCTGTGGCCAGATGCCAAAGTATGGTGCTTTTAAGGAATTGTAAGAAGTAAAAGTAAAAGAAGTAAAAGGCTGGCACATTGGAAGTAGGAGGCAAAGGAAAGGCCAGGAATGCTAAGAGATGAGGTCAGCTGGAGAATCTAGGTCTTCACAAGCCTCGTAGGCCATACTAGTTAAGGCATCTGGTCTTGATAAGATTTTTGGTCAGGGCATAACTCAGTAAGATTTGGATTTAGAAAGACCACTCTGACTTTAGTATGGATGGTTTGTATTATAGTTATTCATTCCAAAGGTCTTGGTGGCCTAGACTAAAGTAATGGAATTGGAGATATGCATACATACATATATACATCTATACACATACTATATATATGGGAAGAGGATTAGAGGAGGGGAGGAATGCTAGGTTTCACACTTGAGTAACTGGGTAGACTGTAGTGCCATTCACTGAGATAGGAAGCACAGAAGAGGGAAAATGGGGTTCAGACGAGCTTTTGATTTTAAGGAGCCCATGGAACACCTGGGTAGCGTATCCACTGGGTAAACACAAATGTGGAACTTAACAGTAAGATATGGGCTGCGTATGAAGATTTGAGAGTCAGTCGACCAACTGAAGATAATTGAAATCTAACTGGGGATGTGAAGAATCTTGTTCTCTCAAACTGATTAATTCAGTCATATAAAATACGTCTATTTCAGACTTAAACCATTGGATATTGAGTTTACAAAGCATTTGCATGAAAAAGTGAATATCATCCCACTTATTGCCAAAGCAGACACACTCATGCCAGAGGAATGCCAACAGTTTAAAAAACAGGTGAGCAGGATGTGTTAACTCAGGTTTCTTATACCATTCTCATAATTTGCAGGTTTTACTATTTTTAGTATAATGTGTTGCAATCCATTCCTCTTACTGCTTTACTGTATTGTCATTTATACTGTATTAAAAATAACTCTTGAATCTTCTGCCTTAGTTTTCCCCTCAAAGCTCTTACCCATTGTCATAGTATCCTTATCCTTTGTCAGTTTTTAAATATGGCTGTTTTAAGTTTTGTTTTTTTTTTGAGGCAGAGTCTCGCTGTGTTGCCCAGGTTGGAGTGCAGTGGCATGATCTCGGTTCACTGCAAGCTCTGCCTTCTGGGTTCACGCCATTCTCCTGCCTCAGCCTCCCGAGTAGCCTGGAACTACAGGCACCCACTACCATGCCTGACTAATTTTTTGTATTTTTAGTAGAGACAGGGTTTCACTGTGTTAGCCAGGATGGTCTCGATCTCCTGACCTCGTGATCCACCTGCCTCGGCCTCCCAAAGTGCTGGGATTACAGGTGTGAGCCACCACACCCAGCCTTAAGTGTTCTTTAATAACACCTCCACACAGATAATTTTGACCCATACTCTTTAGAATTATTTTCTTAGAATGAATTCCCAGGAAGAGGATTATTCTTTCAAAGGCTATGATTGTTTTTATGGGTCTTTATCTTCCCCACTCCCCATTTTGTCATGGTGCTTTCCCAATAAAACAAATTCATTTTATAAAGCGTACATCTGTTTCACTGTGACTTTGCCAGCATTGTTTGTTATTTTTATTTTGAAAACCTTTTTGGAATAAAGTGGTACCTAATCATTTCTTTATCTTTTCCTTTTATTTTCCAGAAAGGCTGAACATTTAAAAACAAAGTTTTTTTTTAACTTTTTGTAAACACCTGTTTAAATCCTTTGTCTTTTTGACCGGTAGTACTTGGTATTGCCCGTATTTATTGATATGGGTTCTTTTTATTCTGGGTATTTAGTTGTCTCTCATTTTCACAATATTTTTTATGTTTTCTCTTTTGCTGCTTATATCCTAATTTTGTTTTCAGTGCACTTTATGGGATATTTATAGTTTAAGTTATTGTTCAAACCCGTGACCCTAAGATTAAGAGTCTCATGCTGTATGACTGAGCTAGCTGGAAGACCACTAAACTGTTTTTCTAGACTCATGTCTAGTTGTCTCAATAATATTGAGTTATACAGTCACACATATTTCTAATTTAATTGTGTTTGGTTCATTATATATTACATTTTATGAAATGTAGGGTCAATTCTGGAAACTTTCTCTATTCCAGTAGTCTTTATTTTCAGCCAGTATTATATTGTTTAAACCACAACAACTTTGTATAATATTTAAAAATAGATGGTAATTATCTCTATTGTCCATATAGTCCTGTTGTAACAAAATATTTTGTTTTTCACCTTTTTCAATATGCATTTCAGAATACCTTGAAACCTGTTATAAAAAGCCTGTTAAAATTTGCTTTGAAGTTACGCTAAATTCATATAAATTTTCAGAATGTTTTAGTACATTGTTTTTACTGTATCTAGTATTTTTCTGTTTTACACTTATCCATTCCCATTTTTATTTTGTAATGTGCTATTTCTAAGTTTCAAGTACTATAATACATTTCTCTTCTTTTATTATATATTTCTATTTGGATTTTTACTGATAACTTTAAGGTAAAAAAAGATGAATATGAAGTGACGTCTTCTTTCAAATTGGTCACATTCTGGTGGTTGTACTCAGGTCATTTTAATATACAACCTCTGACTAAAACCACTGCTTTTAAACCTAGCTACAATTATTCGTTTTTCTCTTCATTATGTATATGTTGCCTCATTTATTCTGTTTTTTTTTTAATATATATGTAGGTACATACCCTAATTATAAAAGATATGTGGTCCTATTTTTCTTCAGTGACAGTTTTACTTCTGTTTACTTCTATCTAGTATAGTAACCATGTAACACAATTTGTTCAGGGTCCTTTTATAGCTGCTGGGAAGCTTTGCCATGAAAATTGCACCAAAATATAAGTATAGGCAGGGAAGCTAGTTTTAGGTATATCAGCCATTGGTTTGTTATGGGCTCAAAGAAGGATAGGTAGTTGAAAATTATTTGGATGTCTGTATTCTGTTTAGAATTTGGAGTGGTTTTGGACATGATAATTTAATTTGAACTAGGTCATTCCTGATGTTATTAATAAGTTGTCTTCTTTAGTTTTCTGCATTCTTATTAATTCTTGATTTCTAGGGTGTGTTTTCTCCCTGTGTCCTCCCCTAATCTTATACCTGCTGCTCCTCAGTTTGTGTGTATGCACATGTACATGCAAGGATTTTTCTGATGAATGTGCAGGGGGCAGTGTTGTACTTAGTTTCACTTTACTTTTGCCAGATTCTACTAAAAATTTTAGGTGAGTTTAGCCCTGTTTATTCAACTAAATAAGATACTTGGAGATTTATATCTAAAGGAAGAATCTCAGTCATTGTAAATAAATGACCTAAAGTCATTATTCTGGAAATCAACCAGAGAAATTCCTTTCTGGAGTTTTACATCTTTTTTGGAACTCTTTTGATATGATAGCTGTATGACTTCAACACTTCTGAAGTAATTGGATTTGGTGTTTATATATCAACTTTACAGTTTAAAAAAAAAAGACCAGCATAGTACTTTGATTTTAGATTACAACTTTGCATCATTAAAAAAACAGTAAAGGATGTGGAAACAAGGAGCCATATAGGAATCTAAGAAGCATGTAATAAACATAAGACTAATGTACTAATTATGTATGGTGCTCTTTTGCTGACTACTTCCATTTTAGATAAAGAAATCCAAGAACATAAAGTTAAAATATATGAATTTCCAGAAACAGATGATGAAGAAGAAAAAAAACTTGTTAAAAAGATAAAGGTAGGTTCATCCCTGTACATACACTAAAGTAATCTGAGGCCTTAAAAACATACTACAGCGTCCACAGGAAAGATCAAAAGTATCGGTGTTTTAAGTAGTTGGCTTACAAAATGCCTAGGGAGATTTAATGTTGAATTCAACTTTATAGTTAACTTTGAAGATTAGCTAGTATATATAACAAGCAATTGTGTAAACTACTGAGGTGAATAACACAATCCTTATTTCAAATTGTTTTTAATTAACTGGCTTTCATATTATGTAATTTTTTCCCTCTTAAGAAACAAGTGATGAGAAAGGAGAGAATTCCTTCTGTTATGTTTTAATTGCCAGACAAAAACTGTATTTCTTTTATCTTTATAAAAGCCAACCAAAATTACAGCTAGATAGGAGGAATAAGTTCTAGTGTTCTGTAGCATTGTAGGGTGGCTGTAGTTAACAATAATTTAGTCTATATTTTCAAATAGCTAGAAGAGAGGATTATGAATGTTCCCAATACAGAAAAATAAGTGTGAGTTGATAAATGTGCTAATTACCCTAATTTGATCATTACATATTTGTATACAGGTATCAGAATACCATACTCTACCCCACAAATATGTACAATTATGTTTCAATTAAAAATAATAAAAACCAACCAAAAATTCACATCAACACAATTTTCTGTATTTTAATTTATCGTGGTTTTCTAAGTACTTTGTCCCTAAAAATGGTATACTGAATAATGGCATTATGTAGGCAAATACCTTGGAATAATGAAATGCTTATACCTCGCCAGTGAAGAATTTCTGCAGTTATATAAAATAGCTGGTTAGATATTTCCAGGAGCCACAGAACTGTGAAGGGCTACACATGGATGAATACAAATCCAGTCACCTGGATTTGAAGTTCCAAAGTTAGAGCTTAGCAAATATACTATTCCCTGTTTAGGTACTGTTACAGTTGGTTTGTGATCAAGTAGTCAGGCTAGTCATTAGCCTCCTTTTATTTTCCCAGATGCTAATATATTTTTTACCTTTTTCCCCCCAAGCATGGGACAACTTTCTGTAGTGATTTTTAGTAAATAATTTGACCAGTATATGCTTGAATATTCTTAACTTTAAAGAGAACATTTAATTTTATTTATTATTTACCTTGGTGGTAATATCATGTGATGTCAATTTACTAAATATTGGTTAAATGGCCTATAAAAACTAATGCAGAAACTATCAAAAGTAATTTTTTTTGGCTAATCTGTTGAGTCATGTAACTTTTTTTATTCTTGAAATTTGTGAATACTATAGAGATGTATTTGAACAAGAATACTTTGTTTTATAGGACCATTTACCTCTTGCTGTGGTGGGTAGTAATACTATCATTGAAGTTAATGGCAAAAGGGTCATAGGAAGGCAGTATCCTTGGAGTGTTGCTGAAGGTAAGGTTTTCTTCAGTGAATGAGTTTCTATAAGATCTCAAAACTGATTAAAAATTTGTATTTATAGTAAGGAGTATAATATGCACACTGTATTGATATAATCTAGATTTCAAGGATAGTACTGATTTCAGGTTCTTGTAGTCTCATTTTCCTCTTAAATACATTCATATTTTTCAAACCTGTATCCTACTAAGTCATGCAAGTATGTGTTAAGTCCTAAAGTTGTAGTATAGGTTGAACATTCAATTTTTTTTTTTTTTTTTGAGATGGAGTCTCGCTCTGTCACCCAGGCTGGAATGCAGTGGCATGATCTTGGCTCACTGCAACCTCCGCCTCCCGAGTTCAAGAGATTCTTCTGCCTCAGCCTCCCAAGTAGCTGGGACTAAAGGTGCGTGCCACCACGCCTGGCTAATTTTTGTATTTTTAGTAGAGACAGGGTTTCACCATATTGCCCAGGCTGGTCTTGAACTCCTGACCTTGTGATCCACCCGCCTCAGCCTCCCAAGGTACTGGGATTACAGGCGTGAGCCACTGTGCCCGGCCTAGGTTGAACATTCTTAAAGAGAAAATTCAAAATATGAATTGCTCCAAAATCTAAAACGTTTTGAGCACTGACATGCCACTCAAAGGAAATGCTCAGTGGAGCATTTTGAATTTTGGATTTTTGGATTAAGGATGCTCAGCCAGTAAGTATAACACAGATATTCCAGAATTCCAAAAAAATTCAAAACACTTCTGGTCCCAAGCATTTCAAATAAGGGATACTCAACTTGCCCCACCCTGGCTGACATCCCTGCCTCATTATTAAGTCTATTTCTGTTTTCTTATTTGAAAACATAACTAAAATTGAGGGGTTCTTTACCTGGGGCCCTAAGTTTGCTCCCAGGGAATCTAATGAACCTCCTGGAATTAAACATTTTGGAGAGAAGGCTAGTCACTTTTATCAGAATGTCAGATGGGTCATGGACCCTCAAGAATTATTTTAAAAATGAATAAGCCCAGTTAAAACATTCACAGTCTCCTTTCCTCAGTGCAAAAGTTGCCTTTTTTGACATCGCATATTTAGAGTAAAAAAATTTCATTAGTAAGAGATACTCTTTACTAGTTTTGTAAGGATTTTTTTGTTTTTTAACCTGCTATCTTAAATTATTAAGGGTTAAGTAAGGAGTTTTAAATACCAATAAAATCTTATTTATAACACCAAACCTCAGAAGTCCTTCCTCTTGGCAATAGGTTTATTGTATTGGTTTAATCTGATATTTAATCTTCTGTATTATAGTAAGCTGAAACCAAAATTGAGACATGATTGTTTTATGTTTGTTGCTATTATTTTTGAATTTTTTTTTTTTTTTTTTAAAGACAAGGTCTTGCTATGTTGCCCAACTGGCCTCAAACTCCTGAGCTCAAAGTGATCCTCCCACATGCTCCTCCCACATCACATCACTATAGGCACACACCACTGCCCCTGGTTTATTTTGAACAGTTCTTTAATTTTTAGGATATTGTTTCAAGTTACTGTCCTTATTGACAATTTTCCCACCAGTGACCCCTGTACCTTGTTCCCAGCTCTCTCTGTCATGCCCAGGCAACTTTCAGTTGCTGAGTTGAGGCTTTAGAACTTACATACCCCTTAAAAATAGGCACCAGAGAAATTGATTTGCATCTCTCTTTTGTAGTTTACCTCTCTACTCCCAAGTAATATTCCTGTTTGTGATACATTCTTTAAAAATAAAAGTAAAGAATCTTAAAGTTCTTGGCTCCCTTTTTCATTTTGGTTACCTTAAGATTTTTTTCTAAAGTGATTCCCCCTTCACTTACACCACTGAATTTTTTAAATGTATTATATAATAAATATATTTTTTACCAATAATGAGAAAATGTGTGATTTCCCCTTTCAAAATTTCAAAGTTGTTTCCGGAGAGCTCATTTTAGTTAGGTTGACATCTGTTTCTGAGGATTAAACTACAGTAAGGTAATAATATAGTACACTTCTCTGTCATGCCCTTACATTGAGTACTATGTTAGTGTTAAATCTCAAAAAAATTGATCTGAGCTGTTTTGCATTTCCCCTCCCTTGTTTTTACCCCCCAAGTTCCTGTGAAATATTTTTTGAAAAGACTAGGCTTAGTGAAAATATAATATTTGCGGTCTATTTTTTTCTTACAGTTGAAAATGGTGAACATTGTGATTTTACAGTTTTAAGAAATATGTTGATAAGGTAAGTACAAGCAATGATGGAAATAGCATAAGATTTTCTTTCCCTAAATAAGAATTGGATAGATTTACTTTTTGCCTTCTATAAATGTAGCTAATTTAAATTTATATCTTCAGTCTAGTAATGAAGTTAGCACTACAGGTAGACGATTCTTTCTCCAAGGTTTTGAAGTCATCAGCAAAAGTTACAAAATAATTTGTGTGTCTAGGGATACATAGGAAAATTAGTCTCTTTACTTTATCGTTATACTTTGTGTTGAGGTTTAATACTGAAATAACTATGGAAGGTGAAATAGAAGAGGCTCTTCTTGTTTCTTAATGTGAAAAACTTGTGAAAACTGTATAAGGGAAGGCTAGTTTTTGAGTCAAAAGCTAGAATTTGAATGTTAAAAGGTACACAACCTGGTAGCTGGTGAGTAGGGCATATTTTATGTACTGGAACATAGAGAACAAAACCAATCTTCCTATCAGGTGAGACAAAAAAATCCCTACACTGTGTCTTGCACACCTGCTGAAAGAGAAGGAAAGCCTATGGGAGCAGGACATTGAGACCATCCTGATTAGAGGACCAGGACTAGTAAAGAGGAGCTCTTACTAATGAATTAGAAAAGCAGCAGCAGAGAGGAAATCATGAAGAAAAAGTGTAATAGGACTAGAGATGTTAGTAGGTAAGGAACAGAAAGGGCATCAAAATGATCCTCAGTGTTTTCATCTTGAGACACATTCCTTCCTCTCTCTACTTCACTCCCTATTTCCCGCTTCTCTCTCTTGCTTCTCTACGCCTTTACCACATACTCTCTTTAACCTCCAGTTTTAGATGTCTGTCTTAAGTTGATATCTATTCATTTTCGTACCTCTTACCCACTTTCCCGAAACGCAAGAATCTCTTTAGCTATGTAAAGAAAGGTAGTAACATAAATATGGATAATAATTGGAAATCATGGAATAACAAGAAGGTCATTCTCACAAGTGAGAAGTGAGGGGGAAAATTTAAGAGAGTCAAACTGCTACTTCAAGAAATACAATAGAGATGAGAGTGAATTTTGAAATGAAAGAAATTGACATGTAATTGACTTTTATTTTCAAAGGAGCAGGTGTTTTTGGTAGGAACTACATGACAGGGTTGATTGAGCAGTTGGGGTTGCCAGGCCTCAATTAGGGGAGAAGAGCAAATGCACGAGAAGGTCATCCTCTGGGTTTTGAGAATACAACACTTCAGGCTGTGTTATGAACTATTCCCTTCCTCTTCCATTCTTAAAGTGTGACTTCAAAAGGATACCTATTAATAATATAATCTGCTATGACAGTATATAAGTAGAGAATGTTTAATAAATACTAATTACCATTGCATTCCTCTTATTTTTAAATCTTCTATGGTACTTGTCCAGTGCTTGACATGGTGGCATTCTATAACTTTTTCTTGTGTATTTTAAAAGTATACAATCAATAATTTCCTACATACCTAAAACACTGTAGAGGGGAAAGCTAGTTACTAAGCCAGAGGCTACTTTGTTGAGATGGAGTCTCACTCTGTTGCCCAGGCTGGAGTGCAGTGGCACGATCTTGGCTAACTGCAATCTCCACTTCCCCGCTTCAAGCAATTCTCCTGCCTCAGCCTCCCGAATAGCTGGGATTACAGGCATGTGCCACCACACCCGGCTAATTTTTGTATTTTTAGTAGAGATGGGGTTTCAGCATGTTGGCCAGGCTGGTCTCAAACTCCTGACCTCAAGTGAGCCACCAGCCTTGGCCTCCTACAGTGCTGGGATTACAGGTATGAGCCACCACGCCCACCCAGCCCAGAGGCTACTTTGAATATTTGAAAGTTCACAGCCTGGCAGCTAGTGAGGGTCCTCCCTAGTATAAGCATTACAGAGCAAATTGACCATGCCTGCAGGAAGATTTAATACAGCAGAGCAGCAAGCCTTTTATGCCTAAAAATTCTAAAGTTATACGTATTAGAAAGATGTATATTTAATTTAGCTCATGTCTTTAAGACAAAGGCGTCTAGTGGATATTTAGTAAATACCTGAAGGAAGGAAATACAATACCAGTATTGCAGATGTCTGTAAATCCCAAGTAATTGAAATCTTCAGGTCAAAGGAATAGTGATTGCTTCTAAGAAAGAGTCAAGTTCAAAGAAGTGTTTGCTAATTAAGAGAACTGAATTACTCCAGGCAAACCAAAGAAGGCAATGGAAAGGAGGAAAACTATACAAATATTTTCAGGGTGTGGAGATGGGTGTTTCAGAAATCAAATATGGAAAGAAAACAAAAGGAGAACAGAAAGAGTTATGGTATCAGCAATGGGAAATGGAAGAGACAAATTCCTGAAACTGTGGGGAAACTGTATTGCTAATTACCAAATTATTTTGAGAATGGAGGAGTGGGATGAATCATAAAAGGTTAAAGCATATTTAATTAAATGGAAATAAAGACTTATATAACCTGAAAAAATCAGAATTATGTAGTCATATAGAAGTGAAAGTGATTTTAGTGAAAGGAAAATCATCCATTATCTAAAACATTAGATGACACTAACAAAAATAGCTTAACAATTAGTAAATTCACCTTACCTTTATTTTACACATTCATGCAAACATTTCATGTAAGTATTCTTCCTTAGAACCTTTAATGATTTTTCAGGGATGTAGTGATGATATGTAATATATAATAATTAAAATTAGGCCGGGCACAGTGGCTCACACCTGTACTCCCAGCACTTTGGGAGGCCAAGGTGGGAGAATTGCTTGAGCTCAGGAGTTTAAGACTGGCCTGAGCAACATGGCGAAACTGCGTCTCTACTAAAATATAAAAAATAGTTGGGCGTGGTATTGCATTCCTGTAGTCCCAGCTACTCAGGAGGCTGAGGCAGGAGGATGGTTTGAGCCTGAAAGGCAGAGGTTGTAGTGAGCTGAGATTGTACCACCACACTCCATCCAGCCTGGGCGACAGAGCAAGACTCTGTATCAAAAAAAAGAAAGAAAAAAATTACATAAACTTTTTTTATATTGGCATAGGTGTTTATTCTTATTATTCTCCACTTAGAGAAACTGGTAACAATAATTTATTCCAAAAAGTGTTTATCATATCTCAGCTTCAATCTTGAGTTACCAATTTTGTTAAAATTCCTATTTTCTGCTATCTGCATTGGGACACAAAAGGTAATGGTGTGTTCCTTGTAAAGGGGAACTTATAGTTGAAGAGGTATGATGTCACCTGTGACATATACTTGTACCAAAAATGAATGACAACCAAGAAGAAAATGTTCATGGTTGGAATGCTTTGATGTCAAGGCTGGGACAAAGGTTTCTAAAGCAGTTGAACTCTTTGATGAGAGATTGACAAATTAGCCTGAACTGTTCAGTGTCAATCACCAGATACGCCAGGAGTAGGGAGCTGTCTGACTTGCCCTAAGTGGAGTGGTAGAGCTTTAGAAGTAACTGTTGTGGCTATAAGAGAACATGAATTTATCAAGGGACAAAGTCTGGGAGATGAGATTTTTGGAAAACTCAGACTTAGGACTAAGGGGAGTGAACTATCAGAGAATTGCATGGAAATGTCAGTACGATATGAATCAGAGTAATTGAATATCACATTTTATTCACAAAGGGGGAGATTCAAGAAGCTGGATTGTGAAGTAACAGTAAAGGTTTTCTGGATGTAAGGAATGATAAAAACAGTACAACAATACGCTTTTTTTTTTGAGACGGAGTCTCACTCTTATACCCAGGATGGAGTGCAGTGCACGATCTTGGCTCACTGCAACCTCCACCTCCTGGGTTCAAGCTATTCTCCTGCCTCAGCCTCCCAAGTAGCTGAGATTACAGGTGTCCGCCACCACACCCAGCTGATTTTTGTATTTTTAGTAGAGATGGGGTTCCACCATGTTGGCCAGCCTGGTCTCAAACTCCTTGAGCTCAGGCAATCCACCTACCTCGGCCTCCCAAAGTTCTGTGATTACAGGCATGAGCCACCACACCCAGCCAACAATACACCTTTGTGTTTGTCTCCCAGAAGGGAGTTTTAGTAAAGTGGTGAAGATGAATGATGGCAGATATAGGAAGTTTGAGATAGAACAGATGATGGGAAGAGGGAGAACTGACAATACAGAGTATTGCCACACCGTGTATATCCAAGAACACTACATTGGTAAAGGATATCCATGGAGCAGCTAAGGGTATCTTCGGTGTCTTGAATAATTAAATAATGATGACATCATCCCGTATTTATTGTAGATTTATCTCATATGTATTGATTTTATATATGATAGAAATGCTGTAAGCAAAAATTTGTTTAACCAAAATACCACATTCACCTAGACAGTTTGAAGAAACAGAAATTTACTCTAAAATTCCCTAGTTTGAAAGCAACTTGATATGTCATCTGAAATGTATTATTATGTCTTAATAAAAACTCATATATTACCTTAGTAATATTGCTAAAAGGCAATTACTTTTAGATTTTATGAGCTTCAGTAGTAGCTAATCTACACTCTCTTGTCTAGTATTTAAATAGATAATATAAAAATGAATACTCTTTCATAGAAAGGTCATCCTTCAGTTACTGCTTTGGGAGATTTGTGGGTTTTTTTTTTTTCTTTTTTGAGGATTCATTTTCTTTATTTAAAAAAATGTTTTTGGCCGGTCGCGGTGGCTCACGCCTGTAATCCCAGCACTTCGGGATGCCGAGGTGGGTGGATCACAAGGTCAAGAGATTGAGACCATTCTGGTCAACATGGTGAAACCCTGTCTCTACTAAAAATAAATAAATTAGCCAGGCGTGGTGACACGCACCTGTAGTCCCACCTACTCAGGAGGCCGAGGCAGGAAATCGCTTGAACCCAGGTGGCGGAGGTTGTAGTGAGCCAAGATTGCACCACTGCACTCCAGCCTGGCGAAAGAGGGACAGAGGGAGACTCCGTCTCAAAAAAAAAAAGAACAAAGAAAAAAAATGTTTTCCCCTATGTTATTTTAGGAATCAAGCAACATGGGACGTGTTGAGGAGACAGCACAATCGGGCAGGAAGGAGGGTTGAAGAGCAGACAGGCTCGCTGGGAGAGCAGAGGACAGGGACGGGGAGAGAGGGTGGGATGGAGAGGGCATCTGAGGGGAGATGGTCAGAGGTCGACTGCTGTCTCAGGCCCTTTTTCAAAGTCATCCCAGCTCTTTGAAAGGGGCTTATTTGCCATTTAAGAGCTGTTGATGTTTCTTTAAAAATGAATCTCAGGGTGTGTGGCTGGGCAGCAGGCACCAGCACCAAGAGGAGTACAAACAAGGTCCCTGGGCTGAGGATCCCACTGTGGGCAAAGCCTGTAGTGCAGAGAAGTGGCGGAAAACTTAGGGCTCCAAGAGGCAGACCTACAGGGAGCTGGCCATTTGCACTCACCCTTCCTATCCTAGGCAAAAGAGGGAGCGAGCTGAGGAAAAGTTAGAACTAGGCTTCTTTAAAGTAACAGATTAAGCACTATTTAATTTCTGCTCTAGACCTCAAAGGAGTTAAACCAGGCGACTTCCACCAGATTTTCTTGATTCTGTGTTTATTCCATGAGAAGCTGTGGGCTCGATCCTGTACAAGTTCTAGAACTTCGTGGAACCTGCAGAACCTATATGGGCAGTTGAAGTGAGTGGAGAAACCAGGAATCTCAAAATATCTCAATATAAAGACACCACTCCTTCCCCTCTCTTCACTGCTCCTGCAAAAGCAGGTCCTCCACGCCACTGCTGCCTACCCAGACCGCTGCACTCTCACTAATGAGGCTATTTCTTTCTTGACTTCGCTGTGCTCTTGGCCCAGTGACAACAATCAGAAATAATCCGGCGCAATCAAGCCCATGCTACCCTGGACAGAGAGTAATATTTCCATCCAAGGCCTCCCTAGTGGTTTTCCCTCTCTGAGCAGCGGGGACATGGAGCAGCTGTCAAAACACCAAGGGAGGCCCAGGAAAGATGCTCATCTCCGGGGAGGAGCGGAGGGGACAGCCAGCATGTCTTCAGCCAGGAAGGGGCATGACAGCACAGGGCAGCCTGTGGGGGGCATGGCGGGGTGAGAAATCTTCCTGTGGCTGTGGAAATCTTGATAAGGTGGCGAATGTGTTGTATAGTGGCATCCTGAAGGCTGCCTGCCCTCCCAGGCACCCAGGGCAGGCAGGCAAGCTGCACGCTGTCATCGCCTAAGTCAGAGGCATGGGGCACACTTAATTACAGGGGAAGCAGAATCTGACTGCACTTTCTGTGCCAGCTGCTGAGTTCGTTTGCATCGTCATTTTTTTTTCCTTTTTCATACCTCAATGGAATAAATCTGAAAGATGTTTAGAGCTAGATTTTCACCAGCAGGTCTTCAGAAATGAATACAGGGATGAGGAATTTCATCCATTTATCCTTGCATTGGCTGAGCAAATATTTATTGAGTGCCTGTTGTATCCAGGTACTGTGCTTGGTGCTAGGGGGGTTCTCAGATTTGTTTTCTAAGGTGAAACAATCGGAATTTGGAGCCACCGATATTTTCCATGCTCATCACAAGGGAGAGGGGAGCTATAATATTTGGACATCACAATGAGATAAACTGGAAGTAATCAGCCCAGAAGACACTGCCTGGTTTCTGGAAGGTGAAGATTGAGATGCAGGCTCATAGGTGGGAAGCTCTGCCTTTGATCTGGGCATTGTGATATTTCCATTAATGAGGCATAAGGTGGAAAGGTGGTGCCTGTCATCTGGGCTTGACAATCTTCTCAATGCCCTAGAAGAAAGTCTTCCCTCCTATGGCCATTTCTCTTTTTCTTTTTTTCTTTTTCTTTTAAATTATACTTTAGGTTCTAGGGTACATGTGCACAACGTGCAGGTTTGATCCATATGTATACATGTGCCATGTTGGTTTGCTGTACCCATCAACTCATCATTTACATTAGATATTTCTCCTAATGCTATCCTTCCCCCAGCCCTCCACCCCTGACAGGCCCCAGTGTGTGATGTTCCCCACCCTGTGTCCAAGTGATCTTATTGTTCAGTTCCCACCTATGAGTAAGAACATGTGATATTTGGTTTTCTGTCCTTGTGATAGTTTGCTGAGAATGATGGTTTCTAGCTTCATCCATGTCCCTGCAAAGGACATGAATTCATCCTTTTTTATGGCTGCATAGTATTCCATGGTGTATATGTGCCACATTTTCTTAATCCAGTCTATCGCTGTTGGACATTTGGGTTGGTTCCAAGTCTTTGCTATTGTGAGTAGTGCTGCAATAAACATACGTGTGCATGTGTCTTTACAACAGCATGATTTATAATCCTTTGGGTATATACCCAGTAATGGGATTGATGGGTCAAATGGTATTTCTAGTTCTAGATTCTTGCGGAATCGCCACACTGTCTCAATGGTTGAACCAGTTTACAGTCCCACCAACAGTGTAAAAGTGTTCCTATTACTCCACATCCTCTCCAGCATCTGTTGTTTCCTGACTTTTTAATGTTCACCATTCTAACTGACGTGAGATGGTATCTCATTGTGGTTTTGATTTGCATTTCCCTGATGACCAGTGATGATGAGCATTTTTTCATGTGTCTGTTGGCTGCACAGATGTCTTCTTTTGAGAAGTGTCTGTTCATGTCCTTTGCCCATTTTTTGATGGAGTTGTTTGTTTTTTTCTTGTAAATTTGTTTGAGTTCTTTGTAGATTCTGGATATTAGCCCTTTGTCAGATGGGTAGATTGCAAAAAATTTCTCCCATTCTGTAGGTTGCCTGTTCACTCTGATGGTAGTTTCTTTTGCTGTGCAGAAGCTCTTTAGTTTAATTAGATCCCATTTGTCAATTTTGGCTTTTGTTGCCATTGCTTTTGTTGTTTTAGTCATGAAGTCCTTGCTATGGGTCTCAAAATCTCTATGGAATCTAAATTTGGTGTCAAGTTAGCTTATTTTTTATTCTACTTTGGGTGTAAATGAAAGCAGATGAATGCCACCTTCCTTAACAATAGTCTTTTGTTCATTTTAAATCTGAAATTTTTGTTTTGGTAAAATTTTGAATTTATATTAAAGCTTTTTTAGCTTTATGCCCCCTAGCTATTAATAGAAGCAAACTCTTGCCGTTTATTTATGACAGAACACACGCAGGACTTGAAAGATGTTACTAATAATGTCCACTACGAGAACTATGGAATCAGAAAACTGGCAGCTGTGACTTATCATGGAGTTGATAACAAGAAGAATAAAGGGCAGCTCACTAAGTAAGTATATATTTTTTTCTCCAAAAAAAGGTATTCTTTCTGTAGTCAGTAATCATATTGTTTCATTTTCATTAAATTTCTCCTGGCTACTCAGTAGAAAATTTGGATAACATTCTCTATGCATAACAGCATAAATTTATATTGTTATGCTTTGTTAATAGTAGAAGCTTTTTTGAATGAACCATTTTGATAAGAGTTTTCACTTACAGATTGTGTGGAAACAAAGGACAGGCTTTAAGAAAAGGAATATTTAGGGCCGGGCGCGGTGGCTCACGCCTGTAATCCCAGCACTTTGGGAGGCCGAGGTGGGCGGATCACGAGGTCAGGAGATCGAGACCATCCCGGCTAAAACGGTGAAACCCCGTCTCTACTAAAAAAAAAAATACAAAAAATTAGCCGGGCGTAGTGGCGGGCGCCTGTGGTCCCAGCTACTTGGGAGGCTGAGGCAGGAGAATGGCGTGAACCCGGGAGGCGGAGCTTGCAGTGAGCCGAGATCCCGCCACTGCACTCCAGCCTGGGCGACAGAGCGAGACTCCGTCTCAAAAAAAAAAAAAAAAAAAGAAAAGGAATATTTAGATGAATTTATTCTTGGTTACCTTCTCTATTCCTATTCCAGGGAGTAAATTAGCTGGAGTTTCAGTTTCTTCTTTTGGTTGTTAGACTGGTGTAAGTGACTACGAAGTGTGTAGCTTTGCCCTATTGAGCTTATATCTCAAGCTGTGGTGGTTTCATGTTGGAGTCAAAAAAAGAGATGTGTGAGGAAGCTGGTAACCATGTCTGTGCCCTACTTTTAAAAAATTTGTCATTATTGAAGATCACAATTACATCATATGTCACTTAGCAATGGGGATACATTCTGGGAAATGTGTCATTGGGCTATTTCATCATTCTGTAAACATGATTGAGTGTACCTACATAAACCTAGATGGTAGAGCCTTCTGCACACCTAGGTTATGTGGTCTAGCTATTGCTTGTAAGCTGTAAACCTATACAGCATGTTACTGTACTGAATGTTATAGACAGTTGTAACATAATGTTAAGTATTTGTGTATCTAAACATAGAAAAGGTGCAGTAAAAATACAGTGTAAAAGATTACAAATGGTTTATCTGTATAGGGCACTTGGTGTGAATGGAGCTTGCAGGACTGGAAGTTGCTCTGGATGAGTCAGTGAGTGAGCGGTGAGTGAATGTGAAGGCCTGGGACATTACTGTACACTACTGTGGACTTTATGAACACTGTACACTTAGGCTATACTAAATTTACTTTCTAAATTTGTCTTTAGTAATCTTATTTTGCTGTAACTTTTATAATAACTTAAATTTTAAAAAACTTTTTATTCTTTTGTAGTAACACTTAGCTTAAAACACAAACACATGAACAGATGTACAAAAATATTATCTTTATAATCTTTATACCATAAGCTTTTTTCTATTTTAAAAGTTCTTTCTTTTTTCACTTAAAACTTTTTTTTTGTTAAAAACGAAGACATAAACTTACACATTAGCCTAGGCCTATTCAGGGTCAAGATCATCAAAATGCTACTGGGCAGTAGGAATTTTTCAGTTCCTATGGGCCACCATCATATATGCAGTCCCTTGTTGACTGAAATATCATTATGCAGTGCATAGCTGTATTACGAAACCATTTTAAATAATGTGCATTTGTAGCTCGGTGTTATCTACCATTAGACAATAATCCTGACGGATCAACTGTATAAATACATAATACAAGTTCTCAAAGTAGCTATGGTGTTTTCCGTAGTGGTTAACATGCTTTATCATGGAATAGAAAAATGTCCCTTCTTAAATATTTAAAATACAAGATTCTGTTTGAGGTAAGCCTCAATACATGAACAAAAGGAAGGCTTTTTATCTCTTTTTTAGCCAAATGTTTATTGAACAACTTTGGCACAAAAATTTAAGGATCCATCATAGTGAATATTGTTCATAAAATCCTAATTCACTTTAAACTCATTCTCATTAATGATGAACGTTTTAACTCATTAAAAGAAACACATACACAAAGCTACTGATGATTTTGTATATTAAAAGAAAATATACAAAATATACAAAAAATATATGTACTTATACAATATATTTTTTAAAACATTTGTTATGTTGTCGATATAAGGAACTGTTTAATTGTTCCCATGTCTCAAATGTAAGGCTTTTTAAAGTAGTGCTGTTGGATGCAGGTAAGATAATTCAGAGAAAAATAGTAAACTTTACAGTATCATTAGGTTTTTTTCCGCATACACAAAATTCTGTGTGGATACGTGAGTTAAACTATATCCCAGGTGAAAACATAAATAGTAGAATTCTACTGGAAATATATCTCTTAAAGAGAGGAATCATACCATACTTTGTCTATGCGAATAAGAAAAGAAATGTTTGCATTGCTAAAAAGCAAATTGCCCCAGGAGCTAGCATAATATTTTATTTTATGTTAATAATAAGTAGAACAATAAACATTTGAGAAGATCAAGCCAACTAGGGAATGGCTGTAATTGGAATAGATATTTGATATGATTTGATAAATTAGATTGTTACTACTTCATTGAATAACACATACTGAATCTGAAAGAAATCGCTTAGAAGTTTATCTATTGGTTGTATCTTACATTGTCTTGAAAATGTTAGCAATTTCAAAAAATATTTTTGTTAAATTTTTCTTTAAAAGTCATTAACAACTTATGGTGCTTTAGCTGATGTAAGGTGCTTTTCCTCATAGCTCAGTACATATCCATGAATAACTGAAAAGAAAGACTAATGTTTAAATAAGTGAAGTAAGCAGGTATGAGTTAGGCTTCTTTTAATCTTCTTTTTATATTGCTCTCATGCGACTCTCCATAGCAATGTATTCTTTAACAGTGGTAGTGGGGAGGGGTTGAGAGTTGCAAGAATTTTGGAATGGAACATGAACCTATTGAAAATTTATAGTTAAATTGATCTTTGGCAATGTATGCTTCACAAAGTGCTAATCACACTTTGGTTTTAGAATATAAGCTAAACTTTTTAAAGATGTTAGACATTGAATAGTAAAATACATTCATGCGCCACATAACGATGTTTTGGTCAATGACTGACTGTATATACGACAAGATCCCATAATATTATAATGTCTATACCATAGAGCCTAAGTGTGTAGTAGGTTATACTATCTACAGTCGTGTAAGTACACTCTGTGTTGTTCACACAATGACAAATGAATTTCTCTGAATGTATCCCCATTGTTAAGCAGTGCGTGACTGTAGATCAATTTATCTTATATTTAAATTTTCTGAGGTAGTTTTGGGCAAACTGTAGAGGCTATTGAAACATGAAATAAAAATAAAAATTAAAAATATATGTGTAGATGTCTGAAAATGTGCCTTTCTGTTAATAGCCCTGGAACAATTCTATTTTAGAGGGACTTAAAACAAGAATTAGATGTGTTGTTTAAATCTGAAGAATAGCTGAACTTGTCCAGTCAGCTGTAATTTGTCTCAAGGTTAGATCTGGAGAAGTGGATGCTGTTCTTAGCAGCTATCCAGTAATTACCTGTTTCTGACAAAGAACGTATGGAGCCATCAAAGTACTTCTTAATTCCTTAGAGAATGTATCTTGCATCCCTTATGGAGGGTAGTGGGTGGCTGAAAGCCACAGAAAGGGTAGCCTTTCAAATCAAAGGAAATTCAGCAAGGGTCTGTAAAGGAAAGGGGAGAAGAGTTGGTCATATCAGATTGCTGATCTCTTAAAGGAAGTGATTCCCAATAAGAGGAGGGCCATCTTGTTAAACTTCCTTCTTGAACTTTTATCTGCCTCCTTTTTTCTTGATCTTCATTGTACCTTTTACTTAAAATCACATTTGATTGGTGACTCTTTTTCAGAACTGATGTGTATCATTGGTACCAATTGTGACAATAGATACCTTGCTCCAAGTTGGGGCACACCCTAGTCTCTCTTTCCCTTAACGTTAATTTATTTTTCTGTTCTCCATAGCCTTTTCCATCAGTCATCTTGGGAAAACTTTATAAGTAAATGACTAAAAATACAGGTTCCAAAGGCAGATCCTCAGAATTCTTCATACAAGAGTCTCATTGATCTAAATAGAAATAAAGACAATTTTCTGAAAATTTCAAGTTGTTTCAAAAAATTAAACTTATTTATTTATATCTTTTACTCTTTATTCAAGTGTCCTTTCATAAAATTATAATGATAGTAGTTGGAGTTTTGTTTATGTTTGGTTTTAATACTCTTACTTGGCAAAACAAGATGTTGGCAACCATTATTACTTAAAATTTTTGGAAATTTTTATTGATCTTTCAAATAATTTAAGTGAAATTCCTTTGGAAAATTTTGCACATAGTGACCTACTAACCACTGGAGCGAAAAAGTATGTAAATCTACTTGCTTAATGTATTCTTTAGGAAAGACAACCACACATAATTTAAATGAAACATGATTGTTTTTTATTATACTCCAAGGGTGGGTCACGTGTAATGCAGCAAAGTAGAACTTGACTAGGTCATCCTTATGTGGTGGCTGTAATTCTCTTATTAGTCACATGAAGGGGTGTGGCTTGCAGGAATTTTAACCTTATAAAGACATCCCTAGAAGGAGCTAAATCTTTGGGGATTTAGTTTCATATTCGGGTTATGTTGTAACCATTTACTTTTGCTTGTTTTACTAGGCTTTTTTCATTTCTTTGGGTTTTTAATTTCGCTGATAGGTTTATAAGCTTTACTACTACATGTGTGTGGGTAAGAGTTTCCTATTTAAAAGCAGGCAGGCAATGATATAACTTAAATGGTTTTTCCAGCTGTTTAATAAAAGGTTTTACTTGGAAAAAAATAGTAAATATGAAGACAAAAAGTGATCTCCCTATATTTTCTGCCTTGTAAGCATAATTTTTTGTTTCGATTTTCTAAAAATTAATAAAGATGTCTAGAAGTGAGGCATTAATTTAAAAATTAAAAATGTGAAATATTTTTACTGGTGAGAGACTTCAAAAAATTCATTTTAAATATGCATGAACATTTTTTCACAGTATTTGAGTATGTTTGGTCAGATTATTTTTACAAGCCTAAAAACTTACAGTATCTTAACTGTTAAATATTGCACATTTCTTTTAGAAAGTACACACATTTAGCAGGTTTAGAACTTTGAACAGACTTTCAGAAGATAATGGCACAGCATATTTATTTTCATAGTGATTTAGTGTAATGATTACGAACATAATTTGGGAAATAAATTAGCTTTAGCGAATTTTACTGTACATTTTTTATTTACGGCACATACCTTCATAATTTAATTGTGAAAGCTACGCATTTGCCTTTAATTGAAGCTTTTAGCATGCTTTACTTTTAATGTGCTAAATCGCTAATTTTTGTTCCTTTAGATATGATACAGTTGAAGGCATGTAAGGCGGGGAATTGTTTTTCCAAAGACATAGTAGTTTTACTATACAGGGATTTTTAATACTTAAATTTTGAATTTAAAAGAAGTTTTTTTTTCCCTTCGAGATGGAGCCCTGCTCTGTCACCCAGGCTGGAGTGCAGTGGCACGATCTTGGCTCACTGCAACTTTTGCCTCCTGGGTTCAAGCAATTCTGCTGCCTCAGCCTCCCAAGTAGCTGGGATTACAGGTGTGCACCAGCACATCTGGCTAATTTTTGTATTTTTAGTAGAGATGAGGTTTCACCATGTTGTCCAGGCTGGTTTTGAACTCCGGACCTTGTGATCTGGCGGCCTTGGCCTCCCAAAGTGCTGGGATTACAGGTGTGAGCCACTGTGCCTGGCCTAAAAGAAGATTTTGAAACATCATTGCATGTTTTCTCTGCAGTCTCTTATTTTCCCCTTGTAGTTATTTAAATAATAATTTAGGTAGCAAAATTACCTGCTCCTTCCCAAGGATAAAGTAAAATAAACATTTTATAGATGAGTTATATAAGTAGGACTAGATATTTAATTATATCTGATTTCTAATTTAATGTATTTACAATCACAATTATGTTGTTGAATAATCTTAAGTTGCTTAAATATACATATTCGGTTACTTAAGATGAGCAATTAATCGTTTTTAGATTATTTCTTTTCTAGAGCCTAAAAAAGATTTGTGGGGTGTTAGGGGACAGCGGGAATTACAGACTCTTTGAAAATGTAACAAAAGCTTTGGACCCTTTCACTGGAAGAATGCTGGCAAACACATTTGGTATGCTGTTTCAGGGCAGTCGCTGACACTGTGTGTGCTCAGGAGATCAGAGGCAACTATATTAAAAAACACCTGCCATTAATATGAGGAATATATTATTAAGAAGGATCTCATCAACTTTTAACCAAAAAAAAAAAAAAAAGATATTTACACTTGAAAATGTATTTCAGCTGACTCCACTTTTTTTTTTTTTTTTTTTTGGAGATGGAATCTCGCTCTGTTGCCCGGGCTGTAGTGCAGTGGCATGATCTCCGCTCACTGCAAGCTCCGCATCCCGGGTGCCACCACGCCCAGCTAATTTTTTGTATTTTTAGCAGAGACGAGGTTTCACTGTGTTAGCCAGGATGGTCTCGGTCTCCTGACCTCGTGATCCAACCGCCTTGGCCTCCCAAAGTGCTGGGATTACAGGCATGAGCCACGGTGCCCGGCCTCAGCTGACTCGCTTTTAAAATGCAGGTTCTTGTTCTAAGTTAATATGTCTGGTTACTTTCATTTTCAGAACTTTTGATCCATTGCTTAATTGGAAAAGTATATGGCAGGTTTACATGTAGAAGTAAGTTTTCTTTCAGTGAAGAAATATCCTTGAGTTAAATAACATTTTATTCTAATTTACGCAATTGCGAAAACAGATCATCTTAATTAAGAAAAACTGGTAGCCAGTATGCTGTCTTTTTTGTTTTGTTTTTAACATTTTCACTCTAGCTCTCTTGCCTGCTTCCTTTATAGAAAAGATTGCTATGATGGTCAGAAATATTTAGCCAAATAAGGAGAAAAGACACCATAATAAGAGTGTGTCAAATCAGGGTTAAAATGACCAGCCTTAAAGTTATGGGTGAAATCCAAGGTCTGGTTTTTGTTTTTAAGCCATGAGTTAATTCTTTTCTTAAAATTAGTGTATTACAATAAAATTTACCCATTTAAAATATAAACCTTAATGGTCAAAGCCTGTTTTTATGGAGACAAAACAAGCATGCTTTATTAACAAATTCAAAGAAGGATCTACCTCATTTAATTTGTCCCAGGGTATTGAATAATTTTCAGAGACTCTCAAAGCAAAGAGCCCACTTCTCTTTCTGCTCCTGGGCTGAAAGCATTAGGTACTTTGGTATTCTCTTGTGTCTCTGTGAGTAAGTATATTGGCCTTAACATAAATCCCACCTGTAAATATATCTCAGTGTGAAAAATTTTGAACCCAATTGTCCAAAGAGATTTGAGTCCATGGACTTTAACATCAACAGAGTGAACATTTTTTTTTATTTAACTATGCTTATGTGTATATTCTGGCATTTAAAAAAATATTTGCTTCTGATTATCTCTAAAGTATGTGTGTGTGTTTTAAATCATTGAATTTAAGACTGAAATATTTAAGTGGAATTATTATTATTTTTTTTTTTTGAGATGGAGTCTCTCTCTGTCACCCAGGCTGGAGTGCAGTGGCGTGATCTCGGCTCACTGCAAGTTCCACTTCCCAGGTTCATGCCATTCTCCTGCCTCAGCCTCCCGAATAGATGGGTCTACAGGCGCCCGCCACCATGCCCAGCTAATTTTTTGTATTTTTTTTTTTCAGTAGAGACGGTATTTCACCATGTTAGCCAGGATGGTCTTGATCTCCTGACCTCGTGATCCACCCGCCTCGGCCTCCCAAAGTGCTGGGATTACAGGCATGAGCCACCACGCCCGGCCAAGTGGAATGAATTTTCAAGAGCATTGAAGTTACCATAAGGGGCCTAGAAATACTCTGTATACCTATATAGTGCTCTAGGTATTGACTAGTAGTGATTTCCAGCATATCAGTTCAGTTACCAAAATAAATAATAATATTGTTCATTTTTGTGGTGTTAGTAGCTGTCTTAGAAGAGATTGTAACACTTGAAATTTTGGTAAAACTAAAAATACTCTACATACATTAACTTCATTACTCATTTTCTGTTTTTCATGTTAAAATGTTGTTTAAAGAACAAAATTAAATGATTTTCTTCTGATATTTTATTCTGTGAATGTATTTTGGGAATTTTTTTCCCCATTTTCCTTCTACACTTTATTTGGTATGTCATCATCCTTAGATTTGATATGTAGTAGGTTTAGAGAATATCTTTGCTTTTTACATTTTTTTCATAAGTTTTATATATGAAATATCATGGAAAGAAGTTCTAGGTTATAAATATATTAATAATGGCATATATACATTTATAGCATCTCTGTTTTCATCAAACTGTTTCATAGTTCTATTATAATTTTTATTCACAGACATTTAATGATTACCCTTAATATTCATGACAGGAGCCCTCTGGCACAAATGGAAGAAGAAAGAAGGGAGCAAGTAGCTAAAATTAAGAAGATGGAGATGGAGATGGAGCAGGTGTTTGAGATGAAGGTCAAAGAAAAAGTTCAAAAACTGAAGGACTCTGAAGCTGAGGTAATCAGTCCAATATTCCATCTCTTAGCAGACATTGTGTTCCTTTTTAAATAGTATCTTCAGTAAAATTTATAGATAATATAACCTTCTTATACATATTTTTTAAAAATTAATACCCTAGCATAACAAAATGGAGAAATTTCTACAAGCAAGCACTGTTTACAATAAAATAATATAGACTTCAATACATAAGTGCTTGGACATAGTGTATTAGGTATGACAGCATAATAGAGTACTTACAATGAATTATTAAAGTTATAATGAACAAGTGTGAGTTGGGAAAAATAAAATTATAAGCCATTCCATACAGGTGGCATAAGAACACTAAAAATGAGAGTTTGGGGTGGATGTATGCACAAAAACTAGTGTTAGGATAATAATAATTGACCAGACTTATTTGTGTATGAATGAAAAAGAGGGAAATAACCTTTACTGAACTAAAGACATGCCTGGATAAATTACACACAGTTAAAGGAGAGAAAATTAGGGAATGTGATATTTTTGCTAACAGGTTGGGCCTTATTTATAATGTAGTGTCAAGGAAACTCCTAGCGTCGCAACATTGGGCAGGGTAATGACAAAACATCCCAGCAGACATATCTACTATCTTGAAACCCTTCTAGATGTCGAGTTATACATTTAGTTTCTATTAGTCAAAAAGACCTTGGAGACATTTCCTTCATTAGGTGGCAAGAAAGAAAAGATGGAGAAAAGGATAAACTTAATATAAGAATCCACAGAGCAGTAGTTTGATAGATATCTGAGAATAGTAGGAAAAAAATTGGGTAATCCCAAAATAAATCAGTGATTTCAGTATGAAGTTTTCTCAACATAAATCTGCTATAATTAAAAATTACAGGCCTTCAGGAAGTGTCGAGTCTGGGACGCCCAGCGCGGGCCCGAGCAGGGGGAAGGGAAGCGCAGCTCGGTCCGCGTGGGTGGAGGGGACGTGAAGCCGCCCTGAGATGATGGTTGAGGAAGGGCTCTACGGCTCCCAAGCTAGGCCAAATGCCTCCGGCGGCCGCGCCCGGGCGCCCCTTCCCCTGTGGGGCAACCCTAGCTTGGGACGCGTGAACCACCTCCGTAGCTGCCCCACCAGCACCCCCAGCCGTGCGCCCCTGCACCATGCAGCTGCCCTGCGCATGGAGCCGCGAGGGACAGCAGGCCCAGCCCTCAGCACCACCTGCCTGCCAGGAGGTTCGGGAAACTGGCGCCGCAGCGGAGAGGGCATCTGTCCAACGCCTCCCCCGGGGCTCAGCTGCGGGCCCCCAGGCATAGGCACCCATGACCCTTCTGTGTTGTTTGTCTTTGTATAGTCTGCAGATGTGGATCCTGACTCCTGAGAGAAGTAGCTCACCGTGACGAAGCTGCGTTTGCTTTTATCGATTTGCAAATCAAAGAAGGGGGACATATTGGGAGAAGGCCCCCCAAAATCTGGCCATAAACTGGCCACAAAACTGGCCATAAAATCTCTGCAGCACTGTGACATGCTCATGATGGCCATAACGCCCACGCTGGAAGGTTTTGGGTTTACCGGAATGAAGGCAAGGAACACCTGGCCTGCCCAGGGCAGAAAACCACTTAAAGGCATTCTTAAACCACAAACAGTAGCATGAGCGATCTGTGCCTTAAGGGCATGTTCCTGCTGCAGATAACTAGCCAGACCCACCCCTTTATTTCAGGCCATCCCTTCATTTCCCATAAGGGATACTTTTAGTTAATTGAATATCTATAGAAACAATGCTAATGACTGGTTTGCTGTTAATAAATAAGTGGGTAAATCTCTGTTCGGGGCTCTCAGCTCTGAAGGCTGTGAGACCCCTGATTTCCCACTTTACACCTCTATATTTCTGTGTGTGTGTCTTTAATTCCTCTAGCACCACTGGGTTAGGGTCTCCCCAACTGAGCTGGTCTCGGCACTTCTCTTTGCCTTAAAAACAGGTACAGCGGACCTTCCTGGCATCAGAAAAAGGCCTCCAGAAAAAGAGACACAGGTACTAGCAATTCCAAATTATCCAGAGCCCTTCTAAGTTGTAAGATCTGAAAGAAATGTCTGCCATCTATATTCTCAGCCACACTTAGTTTCTTAATCTGCAAGATGGAATTAATAATAGTACTTACTTTATGATGCTGTTGCAGAAATTCACTGAGTTGCTACACGCCAAACACTGAGAACCCAGCTGGGCATATAATAAGCATTCTATTGCATGGCATTATTGCCATCATTTTTACTTCTATTACTGCTACTGCTTGTAACTGCTTGTAACTGTTTGTGCTTTTTTGATATGAAAGTCCACCATCAGGGAGCACTGTAGTGGAAAAGGTATTAGGCCAGGCATAGCCTTTAGTTCTCTGGCCTTGGGTCCTTCATCTGTGATATTCAGTTAACAATACCTAGCCAGTAGGGGTGTTAAAGATTAAATAAATGTGAGAATGTGCCTGTTGCTTAATCTTCCTCAAAGGGTTATGGACTCTCAGAGCCAGAAGAAGGTCATCTCTCCTTTGCTCCTCGTATGCTGGGATCTGCCACATCAATGGCAACCGCTGGGCCTCCAGAATTTGCTCCAGGGTGTTTGGAAGTCCTGACACCCTCCTGATCTTCTCTGTAACATGCACACTTTGGCCTGTGTCAGTTTGCTGGAACCACATCAGGCCGGCCCTCTTCCTGGGACAAAATTCTTTCTTTTTCTTTCTTTCTTTTTCTTTCTCTTTCTTTCTTTTTCTTTCTCTTTCTTTCTCTTTTCCCTTCCTTCCTTCCTTCCTTCCTTCCTTCCTTCCTTCCTTCCCTTTTCTTTTCTTTTCTTTCTACTGTGACATGATCTTGGCTCACTGCAATCTCTCTCTCCTGGGTTCAAGTGATTCTACTGCCTCAGCCTCCAAAGTAGCTGGGATTACAGGTTTGCACCACCATGCCCGGCTAATTTTTTGTATTTTTAGTAGAGACAGTGTTTCACCATGTTGGCCAGGCTGGTCTCCATCACCTGATCTCAGGTGATCCACCCACCTCAGCCTCCCAAAGTGCTGGGACTACAGGCATGAGCCACCACGCCTGGCCGAGAGACAGTTAAGTTATACTTTAAATGATAATAGGCCTCCCCCAAAACTCAGCTGCTTTTGTAAAGCTAATGGGAGGCCATCAGGCTGGGGGCAAGGAGGAGAGCCCGGATCCTGCTAAGGTGCAGACATAAACGAGTATCAGCCATTATTCTGGAGGTTATAAGATATGCACCTTCCCCAATTACCCCTGCAATCACACCATTATTGTAGATTGGCCCTTAGAGTATCTTTTCAGGTTTTTTGGCATGTCTGACACTCATGGCTCTACTTGGACCCACCAACCCTGCTCCTATGGCTCCACCCAGAAGCCATTCAGCCTAGAGGACAGCTCTGACCCCCCCTGTGATTTCATACAATCAGCAGCAAGTAACTGTTACCTCACCATCCCCACCCCTTCTGCCAGACTGCCTTTGAAAAACCTCTAACCTGTGAGCACGAGATGATTCCAGAACAAACTCTGTCTCCCATGTGGCATGACCAGCCTTGGGTCTCTTAAACTTTTTCTCCACTATAATGCCATGGTCTTTATGCAGCAGGCAGGAAGAATTCAGGTGGTTATAATTCCGTATGTGCTTTTTGAACATTTTTCTACTGGGCTATTGCTCTCTTCATAATGATTTTTTTAACTTCTCTCTATAAGGAACTGATTTCATCTGAAATTGAAGAGACAATCAGAGAAAAACTATAGACCACTCATGATGGTTGTTATATGTGCTTGGCTGGGCCATGGGTCCCAGTGTTTGGTGAAACACAGCAGCAGATGTCCCTGTGAGTAGATGTTGCTTTGAAGGTATCTTTTAGATGTGATGAACATTTGTCATCAGTAGACTTTGAGTAAGGCAGATAGCCCGTCACAATGTGGATGGGCCTTATCCAATTAGTTGAAGGCCTTTGAAAAAAGACTGAGATCCCAAACGAAGAAGGAATTCTGCCTCCAGACAGCCTTCCAACTCAAGTAGCAACATAACCTCCTCCCTGCGGCTCTAGCCTGCTGGCCTTTCCTATAGACTTCAGACTTGCCAGCCCCACAATCATGTAAGCCAATTCCTTAAAATAAATTCTCTGTCCTGTTTTTGCCCCCTCTCTCTTTCTGACAGCACACACATGCCCTCTTGGTTCTGTTTCTTTGAAGAACCCCAGGAAAACACACAAAGGAAAAACAACTCGATAGACAGAAGATTCTTCAATGACAACAATGGAAGCCATCTTCACCATTCAACTAAACTTGAATGGGATATTATCAAACTTAAAAAAAAATTATCAACTGATCGTGTAATCAGTTTCATCTTTTAAGACAGGAAATGAAATAAAGTATTTACAGATGAATGTAAAATGAACTTATCATTGCATCCTGAGCTACAGTAACTTCTGAGAGACCAAAAAAGCAATACTGTCTCAGCAAGATATTCTAAGATACAAGAAAGGCTAGTAAAATGGAGAGTCTATATTACATTTTAAATATTATCTAAAATGTAATTGTGAGATTCAAAAAGGCACAAGATGAAAACACTGGATAGGAATAGCATATAATGGGCTGGGCTCGGGGGCCCACTTGTAATCCCAGCACTTTGGGAGGCCGAGGCAGGTGGATCACCTGAGCTCAGGAGTTCCAGACCAGCCTGGCCAACATGGTGAAACCCCGTCTCTACTGAACATACAAAAATCAGCCTGGCGTGGTGGCATGCACCTGTAATCCCAGCTACTTGGGAGGCTGAGGCAGGAGAATGGCTTGAACCCAGGACGCGGAGGTTGTAGTGAGCTGAGATTGCGCCACTGCACTCCAGCGTGGGCAACAGAGCCAGACTCTGTCTAAAAGAAAGAAGAAGAAGAAGAATAGTATGTAATGGGGGGATAACAGTTCATGTGTGGTTTAGTCTAAATGGGGTCACGTAGTATTTAATACTTTGAATAATAAAACTTCCCCCAGAAGTTATGTGAAACAGGCAGGAATGTCTTCAAAACATCCACATAACCATTTATTTTTCAACTGAAATGGCCACAGAGTTTAGTCAAGCAATTTTTTCCCTTTATTTTTGTTAAATAAGATTCCAGAAAGTATAGTGCAAACACTCAGTAGAAAAGTTGCAATTAAGAAATGTACATTCACATTTAACATTTCAGTCCATTCACTTTTTTTAAAATAAAAATAGGACAAATTATTCAATTACTTGTCTCAATTTAACAATCTTGAAAAAGACTGGAAGGTACCCTACAGTGTTCAGTTGACATAAAAATAGACCCGTATTGATCATACAAATCTATCATGAGAAGTTACCCAGTGAGAGTGAGTTATTGTAATTCTGAATGTACTCATCGTGTTTCTCACTTCTACAGAAGCATCCTCAGTGAGTTGTATTGTGCGAGAAAATGACACCCTTGCCCACATCACTCTCCATTCCATAGAGGGACACAACCCTATCTAGCCAAACCCAGAAGAACGCAGGCGCTTACACAACTTTTCTCGGACAGTCGAGAAAATCCAAAAGTGGGCTTTGGGCTTACCTTAAATAGGAATGGAATGTACCACTACGAGATGGTCATCATAATAAGGACATTGTTGTTTGAGCGGGGGGTGTGCAATCAGTATAAATGAGGATGGCGGAGGAAGAGGAGTGGTGACTGAAGGGAGGTGGTGCATAATAAGTGCACGAGCTACACAAAGCTCGAGCTACACAAAGCTCAGGCTCCACGGGCCTCGCCTTGGCTCCCAGGGATGCTCTGCAGCCAGCGGGCGGATGACCTGAGGTCGGGCCTGGGCCTGTCCCTTTGTGCATGCGGCGTGATTTCAAATTCAAACTAAGTTCCACACCATTAGGAGTTTTCACGGCATGCAGTTCCAGAGTGCAAATGGCTTGCATATGTGCAGTTTTTACAGGTGGAAGGCAAGACCATACATCTCTCCCACACTGGGCGTGCCTCCTAGTGGACAGTTGTATGCAAGAGGCGGTGATGGGCTCCCTCAGGATCCCCCAATGTGGGAATGGTCCCCTGAGACTTGTGCTTCGTGTGCCTGGGGCCCAGAGTTGGGTGGGGGGTTGCTGGTGGGAGGTGAGAAACAAGTTCTGGCTGCCGTCGGGCCAGCTTCCCACTGCCCTCACCTGGGAGGTGGATGCCCACAGGCAGGATGCTCTGGGCTACTGTTGCACAGTCCTGCACGAGATATTTATTCAGCCCACAAGATTTAATAGATCTCTTGGGAGTTCATCTAGGCTATTATGTCTGTTTAAACATTAATTCTCAATAAGTGCCTGAAAGCTCTTTTGAAAGCAACCTATTTGAAGGTCTGAACCGCCCGGTACCAGCAGGAACCAATGCCCAGGAGAGGGTCAGAGCACATGTGCTCTGGTGGTTGTCAAATCTCTCACCATCCATCATAAGCCCTCTGAACTCCTGCTGAAATCGGCCCTTTGAACATCCTCTAACCCCTGGGAAGGCACCCGGACCCACCTTTACCTCACCAGCAGCATATGACAATAACATTAAATGGCTCTACAGCAGAGGAAGATGAAAGTAAAAGTAGCAAATACAACCAATGGCCTTCCCATAGCTCACAGAACTCCTGAGCAGAAGCTGAGCAGGGAAGAAATGGTGTGTAGTTTCAGGGTGTCTGGAGGTGCCACCATTTCTCCCCATTTGATGTCAGAGAGGCTTTACAAAAAAATAAGGCAACAGCTCTTAAGGAGATTCTGTATATTTGAAATTAGACGCAATGACAGGTTTCGCTCAAATATAGTTTTAGAATATAGTCTGATATGACAAAGTAGGGATTTTTAAAGCCTAACATTTTATTTCCTTGCTGGGGATCAGTTAGTAAAGAAGGAGGAATTCCTCTTACCCAAGAGGAATTGCATTGCTTTAATTTAGCAATGTGAGGTAAGGCCTGCCAGTGCCAGGGAGGACTTAGGCACCTGCTCTGAGGGCGGGCAGTTGGAGCGAGTCTCACCCATTGCGGGGACAGCCTTGGCTGCATTCAGAACCCACCTGCTGAGGTGGCCCCTCCACCACTTGGGCACTAGCATGTGGATGAGCTAGAGTTCTCCATCAAAACCAACACAAATCTTGCAGATGTTGCTGTTAGCAAAGAGGCACTAAACATAATGGAAAACACAAGGGCTTGGAACTGGATAGAGCAGGAATGGAACCCTGGTCCTGCCTCTCAGGGCTGTGTGACTTTACTCAAGTCCCCAACCTCTCTGGGCCTCAGATTCTTCACTGTCAACATAAGGAGTATAATAATACCTCCCTCCATGGGCTGTTTGAAGTAGAGAGTGAGGTGAAGCACACAGAAGGTGCATAGTTACTGTAAAGCCCGACTTAGATACTAGTGATGAGTGTTTCCTTTATTTGTGGTCACGGCAAAAGACCCATGGAGACTGTGGTAACCAGGTGGGAGAGCGACAAGTGCCCTTCCCCTGTGGTTATCGGTGTATTAATAGAACATATTGAATCTGGTGACGGGTAGAAGGAAACTCACTAATTTCACAAAGAATGAAGGAGTTGTGCCTAAAATGAGTGACCCCTGTCAGGTACAAAAACACAGCATTAGGCCAGGTGGCTACCACTGTGGTCGATTTTCTGATTTCTTTCTTTCTTTTTTTTTTTTTTTTGAGAGAGTCTTGCTCTGTCGCCCAGGCTGGAGTGCAATGGTGCAATCTCAGCTCACTGCAACCTCCGCCTCCCGGGTTCAAGCAATTCTCCCACCTTAGCCTCCCGTGTAGCTGGGACTACAGGCTCCCGCCAACACGCCCAGCTAATTTTTTTTTTGTATTTTTAGTAGAGACGGGGTTTCACCATGTTGACCAGGCTGGTCTTGAGCTCCTGACCTCAATGGATCCACCCGCCTCCGCCTCCCAAAGTGCTGGGCTTACAGGCATGAGCCACTGCGCCCGGCCTGATTTCCTGATTTCAAAGATGTTTTTCCCAGTCCATTGTGAAGCACAACCCAAGAAGGTCACCTGTCTGTTGTTGCTCTTCCACTGCACAGCTGAGAGAGAATGAAGCTGACAGACACTCAGCTGGGAAGGCCTGGCCTCCAAATCGGCTCCTGGTAACTGGAGGGGAGCTGGAGGGCCGAATTCCTGCAGCGGTCACCGCCCTGAGGCTCTCTCTACAGCCTCTGCACACCGAGAACCCAAAAAGAAAAAATAAGTAACCAAACCAAAGAAAATGGAACCTAGTTAGTGCCTCAATGCCCCTGGACTTCAGTGCTGATGTAGTAGATGATAAAGTTGACTTGATGTCTGAGATGCTGCTGCCCCTGCCCAGACCTTCTCCTCTAATAACAAGGATTTTCTGAGGGAAATCACATCAGGGCATTCGGGGATGGTTCCCCAAATGCCCTGCGTGGCAGTTATCTGACTGTATTCAAATTTAATTTTGTTCCTCATATGAATCCCATGAACAAATGATTTTCATTTGGCTTATGCTATGCAACACACAGATGTGCATGACACACACGACAGAAACACGTGTTCACACATGTAATGCAGGCACACACATGGATTTGAATTAAGCACAGCCTCTAGTGGAGTATCTATTTTTTAAGGTAGTGAAACAGACTTCATATGGAACAGAATAGATTAAATTTTCAGGGAAATTTAAAAATACAAATATATGCATTATTTCACAATGGCATGTTGTTTAGGGAAGTCTAGCCCCAAAATGTGTGGCAACTGAAATGGAATCTGGTGTTTATGGAATGGACCACGCAGGTGACAGATATCCTCACATCCTAGTACAGGATCTGCTTTCACTAAGTGTATGAACAAACAGAAGGATAAGGCAGGAAGCCCCTAGAATACTTTCCAGTGCGTGTCCCAGGGCTCCTCTAGGTGAGCGGAGGGCTCCAAGCTCCCCACCGTGTCTGTCTGGGGCTGTGCTCATGGGCACTTGGCCCTGCGCAGGAGGAATGTCTATGTGCAGGAAGCAGCTGCCCTGGCTGGGGCTCTGCCCCCTGCTGCTGGCCCCCAGCCCACCCTGTCTGCCTCCAGAGACCCCTCTGCCTTCACAGCCCTGGGAGCCCTGCATCCAGCAGCCCATGCCCGTGTCCTCTCCCAAGGCCGGGGCCTGTCCTTCAGCTCCCTGCTGTCAGTTCACACAGAATCACAGACACTGCAGCTTACAGACAAACCCCGTGTGGCATTCATTCCCCAACGGCAGGGCCTGACCACACTCAGATCACCCAAATCCATCTGTGAAAAACCACAACTATGAGAAGAGCCTTCCTTCTGCTGAGCCCACTGAGCCTTCCTCAAAGTCTACCCTGGGCTCCATCCTGGCCTGCCCTCCATGCAGGGGGAGCAGTCCTCAGGCCCTGCCCCTGCTCCTGATGCCCCCACCCAGGGGGGCTCCTTGGCTCCAGCCCCTCCCCCCAGGCTCAGTCCAGCTGGGATGCTGGTCTCAGCCCACCCAGCTCTGCTTGACTTGGTGGGTGCAGTGAGGGCCGGGACTGAGAAAGGTTGAAGCAACTCCATTTCCCCTACTGCCCATTTTTGCCAACTACGGACACCTGCCTGCAGCATCTCCTGCCTGGTGCCAAAGAGCATGGAATGATTTGTGCACTGATGGTTATTTGGGGTATGTGAGTTCCTCGAATAAGACCCCTCTCTTGGACACCCCCAAGCTCAATTTGAAGGCCTAAGCCACCCAGTTCGACCTTCTCACACCCAGGCAAGCCTAGCATGGGGCCCCCAGGCCTGAACAGGTGTCCTGTTCAGAGGGCTCTTCTACCAGGATGGTACCAGCATTGTGGAAGGTGAATGGGGACAGCCTTCAGAGTGCCACCATTTCCTTAAAATGGCCTATCACAGGTAAGCCTTGATATGTTATCCTTTAGACTCTGCACCAAACCAACAAACTGCAGCATACCACCGTTGGTCAGTGTGAGGCCAGTACTGAGGCTCATCAATTGGAACGGATCTTGGATGGAGTGGGTGCCTTTGCCTCCTTCCTTCCTCATCCAAGCAAGGGTGTGGTGACAATGACCTGATCGGGGTTTAACGCCGGCTCTGTCTGCTCACCAGACCTGGGGTGCTGAGCTCTGACCAGCCTGGGCAGCCCAACCCACAGGAACTGCGGTTTCATAGCTGGGTCTTCAGGAAGGGGTGGAGGCTTTGGGAGTGGCAGCTCCCCGCCTCCCACCACCCCAAGCCAGAGAATGGGGCAAACTTGTATGCATGGCTTATCTCTAAATTACTAATCTGCTTCGGACCAGACTCATCTCTACAGTATAGAGTTAGAGTTATTGCTTCTATGACAGGTGTTCCAGAAGCCCTGGTGGCTTTAAAGTCTGAGAAACACGGGCTGGCAACTTGGGTTGCTGGGTCTGTAGGGGCGTCCTCCTGCAGGATACAGACACCCCGCAGGCATGGACCACCCGGGCCGGCATGGTCCCTTGCAAGCAACTGGAAGCATTCCGGGGCTGTGTTCTACTCTACGGCATCAGGCATGAAAGGCATGCAAGGGTCGCGAGGGGAGCACACAGGGTCATTTCCAAAGGGCCACAGCATGGCCAAGCAAGGGCTGAGGTGGGTGTGGGGCTTGTCTTCATTTTTGGTACGAGTAAACAGGCAGCACCTGTCACTGGTGCACTATTTACAAAGCCTCTTCAATAAATAATTTAGAGAGAATCCTACCCGAATGGCTCTAACATTTGTACATGAATATTGTACATGATTAAAAATAAATAAGGCAATATAATACAGTTTTCCCACAAATAAAAAGGAAGTTGTTTTTCACCAAACCCCAAGGGACATTATGGCTAAACACAGTTCCTGAACTCCCAGGAAGTGGCTGGGGTTTGGAGTTGCTGATGATGGAGATGTTTGCCCCTGAAGTGGAGACCTTGCCAAGTCTGCCATGGGGTCCTTTCCAGAACAGTCGTGAGCCCAGAGAAGGCAGCATGGTCCCCGCGACGGCTTCCTCTCACTGCCCTACAAGTGGCCACACCTTGGGCAGCTTCCAGGATGTACATGTGTGACCTCCCGGCTCTGTGGACCCCAGGCACAGCATGGCGTGGCTGGCTCTCTTCTCAGTCTCACAGGCCAAACCAAGGTGTCGCTGGACTGGGCTCCACTCACGCCTGGAGGCTCTGGGGCGAATCTGCTTCAGGCTCACTTGGGTTGTTGCCAAACTCAGCTCCTTCTGGTTGTGTGAGCGACACCCGGCTTCCTTGCTGACTGGCGCTGGGGTTGTGGAGTGGCCTCTGGTGTTGGCTCCTGGCCCCTTGTCTTTAAGCCAGCAATGACGGCACCATCTCTGTGACACTTCGAATCTTTCCAGGCTCTCCTGCCTCCCTCAGCCATTCCAAGGGGTCACTGAGCCCACCCAGATAAACCAAGTTCCCCTCCCATCCTTAGATCCCTAACCCTAATTCCACCTGCAAAGTCCCCTTTGCTGTGTGACAGCACCTGGCCACAGGGCTTAGAACTGGGGCATGGACACCTTTGGGGTTCACTCCTCTGTCTACCCACCACCTGGATGGCCGAAGCTGGGCAGCGGCACTGGGGGCAACAGGGTTGGCTGTGCCAGGGGCTCTGCACCCTTCTCAACAGCTCGTGGGTCAAGGACAGCACCACGGTGAGCTGGGGGAGCCAGGGCAGCCACACTCACCACCACCGCACTACTCCCTCACAGGCTCCCTGTGGCTCCTGTCTGAAGTGACTGCTTTAAATCCGGCTGGGATAGACAGATGAGGATGAGAAAATCCTAGTGGAAAGGGGACCATAAGGACAAACCATTTGTCCTGAAGAGAGGAAAGCACAGGAGCAGGGACAAGGCAGGGCCTGGAGGAGAGGTTGACAGCAGGGCCCCAGCCAGGATCTCAGCCCACAGCCAGCTCAGATGGACCCTGGGTCCTCAGGATGAGCTCAGGAGCCCTCGATGGCAGCCTGGAGATTCCACATAAACATTAGGTCCTGTGGATGTCCCAGTAGCAGCGAGAGGCCCTGCAAGCACCTCCTTCTGCCCTAGGACCTCACGGGAGCCCAGCCCCCACCGGCACAAGGTGATGCCAGAACACCAGGAACATGAGCGGACAGCGACATGAGGACCACCCAAGGAAGATGAAAGGTGCCCGAGCTCTGCCCTCAAAGTCTCCAGTGGGTCCATGGGGTCAGCCTACCTGTGGGGTCATGTGGCCTGGCCTGGGAGCTCCCTGTCATAACCAGGGGAAGGTGCTGGAAAGGCATTGGTCAAAATCACTCTGCAAGAAGGTGTCTGGAGACCATCCTGCCTCTTGCACCATCACAGAAGCCAGAGCCTAATCCACACCCTAAGGACAGGCAGACAGGGGCCCCCACATGCAGCCTCTACCCGCCTTCCCTGCCCGAAGCCATCCACCCTGCCCACCTCTGTCCGGACTCCTGTCTCAGCTGGAAGCGCCAGGCATCACTGCACTGGCCGCCCTGCAAAGCCCTCAGGGTCTGGCCTCCCCCAGCTATGGCCCAGGCCCCTGCTGCCCCCACATGGCCACACAGCTGAGGCAGGATCAGCCCCTCCCTGTGCAGGGGGCTGCCTCTGACGGCAGCAGCCAAGGACATCACCCACCTGTGCGGACAGGGATCAGCCTGGAGCAGGTCCCACACACAGGTCTACACTCCAGGGAAGGAAGTCTGGGCTTCTCTCTGCTCCTATTCTGAAAAGTCGGGGCCCTCAGGAAAGGGTTACAGCTGTTGAGGAGCAGTGAGGAGGCGGACCCCCAACCCTGCTGGCTTTGAGCATAGGCAGGGCTCAGGCCTCATCTGCAGTCCACAGAAACCTCTCTGACCACATCTCAGAGCAGTGGGTCTTTAGACATTCCCCTACTATGGTGCCTACCCAGAAGCTTCCCTCCCATTTCTAGCTGCCTTCCTCCCTGTGACCGAGATCCAAGGTTTCCACATGCCAGACCTCTGTCCACTATTTCTGGATAGTGCCTTCCCAGTGGCCCTCCTGGACCCCGTCCCCATCATCCTTATTTTCATCTTCATTGTGACTATTTAGACATGCACATAGGAGGTTGTCAGACGTCAGACGTCAACACTATCACCTGCAGTCAATTTCCCTGCAAATTACAACAGGGACACCTGCACTCACGACCATCAGCCAATTCTGAAACTTCGTCCTGGAGGGTTGGTTCTGCCGGAGAAACAGCATCTTCCATCAAGGAAACTTGCTCATGGGTGTGACAGCCGCTCATATTCAACAGAAGTGGAGCCTCACACTGTTGTTGCTAAATGTAAAGGATCCACGATGCCACAGGGAAAAGAAGAAATGACACCCTTCGTTTTCTCTGAACAAACACAGTGCCGGTGCAGGATGGGGAATGTCCAGGTGTTTTAGGAGCTGGAAGCCATTGGCGGAGGGGTGGAGAATGCACAGGTGCAGCAAGAAGCCGATGCTGGCCATGGTTGTGGAGAGGGGGTCACAGGGCCCCCCTGAGAACTCCAGAAGACCTGCCTCTGGCTCTTAGCAAAAAACCACGCTTGAAAGCCAGCAGCCACCACTATCCATGCAGTGAGAGGCAGCTTCTCAATTCTCCCCAGACGGTCCAGTTCAAGAGTGGACAGCTCTGTATTGTGCCTGTGGTGTGAACAACCCCAGGCCTTGTGACCTTCCCAGAGAGGCCTGACTTCCCACTCTGGCTCTTGAAGCCGCTGCCCAGGGCTGGAGCCGCCTGTATGTCAGGTCCCACCTGGGCGGGGCGGACAGGGCTGTCTCAGAGGGCACACTCTCGCAGAGCTCCTCAGTTGCTCTGCCAGCCACACCTCAGTGGCTCTTGCTGTAACCCTGGGATGCTCTGAAGGTCCTTACATTGATGCCGACCTGGCCAAACCTGAACAGGCTTGCTGGAAAGAAACAGTGCTCCCTACGCCACGGAGGGAAGGATGGAGTGGACACCTCTCCAGGGAGGCCTGGAAGTGTGCACAGTCGGGTGTCCTCCCCTCACCGAGTCACTGCTGTGCTGTGCCTGCTCGGTGGTTGGCCCTCGGGCCACAGGCCATGCCTGGACAATGCTCCTCCTCCACCCTGGCAAGTGGCTCCCTGCTCTGCTGGTCTGGCTGGTCCTGGCTGGAGCCACCGTGGCCTGTGTCACCCCCGGAGCATTCCCACCCCATGTGCACCCCAGAGGCCCACGTGGGCTCCACTAAGCCTCCTTCCCAGCTGCTGCAGAGGGCAGGTACTGGCCTGGGGAGTGTGGAGGGAGCCCAGCCCTGACTGAGACGCCAGGCATGGGGCACACGGGGGGACGTCTGCCCTGAAGGCCAGCTCTCCCAAATGGACACATTTTCCGATCCAAGCCCAGGGACCTGATTTGGGAGCCGTTTCCATCAGTCCTGCCTTCTAGAAAGTATGTCAACATCTCGCCTTTGCCCTTGACACTGACTTTGCCTCGGCACACAAAGTGGTAGGGGCACCTTCTCAGCAGCCGGTGGACTTCCTCAGTCACCTGTTGATGGAGAGAAGTGAGTGTTACTTCAGGGCAATGAGGGGGACTCCTCTGGGAAGAGACCAAAACACTCCATCCTGCATCTGTTGCTGTCCACCCTGACTGCCCAACCCTGGCACTGGGATGTGGCTTTCCCAGCTCAGCCTGGCAGCCAGGGCCCCTACTCTTGCTGAAATCACTTGGGTCACTATGTTAAAAAAGACACAGCCCTGCAAAGACAACCCAGCGGACTCGGAGGAGTCTAAGGGGCCAGCCCCAGGGGAGTCTCACTGCCTGTTCCCTGGACAATAGGAGGAGGCAATGTTCACTGAGCCAGAAAGGGTGGCCCAGGAAGCACCCAGACAGGCAGGCAGTGGGGCAGGGCTTGCTTGTAGGGACCTAGCACCAGGGTCTGGATGTGAGCTTCCATGGTGGCTCCATGCACTCCATGCCAGAGGCTGTGTGGGACCCAGCTCCAGATGCTAGAACAGAGAAGAGTAGGGTAGACTCTCTGGGTTCAGGACTCTTGGCACCTCAACAGCCAGGGACATTTACAAGTAGGGCATACAGAATGTAGGGGGCAGAAGGTACCCCCCTCAGCTGGAAGGGGCAGCAAAGAGTAGAGTCTAGGGCAAAGCCTGACTTCCAACTCACTGCTGGGGGCAGCAGCATGGTGTCGGTGGGGGTGCAAACCAGCCAGTTCACAGGACCCCGGCATAGCTGCCTCTGCAACCCTGAGTCAGGGGAGGGAGGGACCAGCATACGGAGGGCAGCAGGCAAACTGTCCAGAGAAAACAGAGACATTTCTTGACAGGTTCGCAACCAGTATTCTAGCTCAAAGAATTTCTGCTTCACAAAGTTAGGAAAAAGATAAAGGATGAGAAAATAGTTTCTACTAAATGCAATGAGTCCTGTGAACAGAGGACATGACTGGTATCTCTGCGTTATGTTGGAGGTGTGATCTTGGAACTTCCTCTCTTCCTCCCTATCTCCCTGGCTGCTCCTCACTCTCCCACACACACAGTCCATTCAAACCCTGGCATCGTTTGTTAAAAGAACCAAATCCATGCCAATCCCACCTTCTAATACCCAGAGTTGGGGAGGCTGGCCCCCGTCAGTGTGGCAGGGGTGGTAGGAAGCCCAAGCAGGGGAGGGAGGACAGAGGCCCTGTGAGTGCAAGGGTGATATCCTGGGCAGCCAGGAGACACCTGGCTGGGGATTGGACAGAGGCCACCAGTGAACAGTCTGTGTGTTAGGCAGGGGCAAAATAGGACAGTGGCAGGCCCAGATCTGATTTTAGAAACTTAAAAATGCAATGTTGGTTTGGGGCAGGGGCCAGGCTGGGGTGGGCAGGATGGGGCTCCCATGAAGTTCTCCCCTGGCAAGTCCAGTTTTGGGGGAATCCTGCAGAAGGGTGCAGGATACAGTCATTGTAAAAAAAAGTACACTGTAAAAAAAAAAAGGTGTAAGTATATATATATTTATATATTTAATATTAATTTAATATATTTAACATTTAATTTTATTATTTAAATAAAATTATAAAATATTTAAAATTTAAAATAATTTAAAATAAAAATTTTAAATATAAAAATTTATAAAATTATAAAATTATAAAATATATTATATATTTAATATAATATATAAAATATATATTTAATATATTATATAAAATATATATTTAGTATAATATATAAAATATATATTTAATATAATATATAAAATATATATTTAATATAATATGTATTTATATATTTAATATAATATGTATTTATATATTTAATATAATATATAATATATTTATATATTTAATATAATATATAAATATATTTATATATTTAATATATATTAATAAAATTAATATTAATATTTAAATATTGTATATTTTAAAAGTACATTGTAAAAAAGTATAAGTATATATATTTACACTTCATGCTGTATATATACACATATATGTATATACACACACGTATATATACACACATATATGTATATACACACATATATGTATATATACATATATGTGTGTGTATATATGTGTATATGTGTATACATACGTGTGTGTGTGTATATATATATATATATATATATATATATATATATATACAGCACGAAGTTCTGGAGGTGGATGGTGGTGATGGCTGCACAACCATGTAAATATATTTAATGCCACTCAACCGTACACCTAGAAAAAAGATGACAAATTCAATGTATACCTTACTGTGATAAAAGAAATTTTAAAAAAGAGAATGCAGAAGTGCAGCACTGCTCCATGGAAGCCCCATCTATGTTTTGAGCAGGAGAGGAGAGCTCCATGAATATTTTGGCCTACCTGTCCCTTAAACTGCCCCCGTGAATAGCTGCTGTCACGTGCCTGGGGACCAAGCCTTCCCTCCATGGCCTCTGGAGGCCTGCAGTTCCCAGCGAGGGTGGCTGCAGGGCTGTGTGGCCCCTCACAATCTCCATCTTAGTTTTAAGGGCTTCATCCTGGTGGTCATCAAGACCGAGTCAAGTTTCAAATTTGTTCCAAGGGAAATCCCAGAAGCCGAACCACATTCCTCCACACTGAGGAAAAGCAGAGGCTGCTGCCTTCTAAACCTTTCCATGGCTTTTAGAGGGTGTCAGCCACCATGTGTCAGGCCACCTCAGCTGCCCACAAGTTCCTCAGATGAGGTGGACATGCACAGCACCCTCCCTTCAAACACACAAGAAAGCCCTTCCTTCCTATGGCAGCTGGTGGAGTCCGGAGTCCTGGGATGTGCAGAGTGAATGAGAGCCACCAGGCTGCTGGGACCAGCAGCAGGACCCAGTGACTCAGTGCTCCCACCACTGCACTTGGTCACTCAGGAGCCAGCCCCCAAGGCTAAATGACAAACCAAACAGCAAAATCAAGATGCCCGGGCCAGGATGCCCTCCAGAGCAGACAGACCGAAATATGCAGCTCTTTCTGCCCTGCCACTTACGGGCTGTAGACTGGGGATTCAATTCTGGCCCCCTGTGCCTCAGTTTCCTCACCTGAAGAATGGGCACCCATGCCTTAGGGGTTTCTTGGTGAACTGACCTGGATTCTGCCCTGGACCCCTGTGCTATCCATCCGACTGGCCACGTTGACTGTGTTTCCCCAGATGTCGTACTGGGGCCTGCGAGCGCCAATCACTCCAGCCACCACAGGGCCAACATTGATGCCTAGAAAACAGCCAGCGCATGACCTGTCATCAGCGGGAAAAGTGTAACTCACCCCACCAGGGCCACCAAATGCACCTGATGCTGCTCCTGGTGGAGAAAAGGCTGCTCCTTTCAGGGCTTTGTTTCCTGGGGTCACCTAGCACCAGGCTCCTTCCTGAAGCATCACACACAGCACCAGAGAGGCAGCTGCCCTGCTGCACGGGCTCCCCTGGGCAGGGTCTCCTCACGACACTGTCCACTGCACTGGGGAACAGCACTGGCTGTTCAAAACGAGTCCTGATCCTAAATAAAAGTCCCCTTTCCTGGAATAGCAGCCTCTGTGCTGAGCCCTACCAGGGGAGCCACTCAGAAGTGTGGCCTTTCAATATCTGTGATTACAGGGTATGTCTCCAAGTGCATCCTCTCTTCCAGAAAAATAGCAGCTCCGGACCTTTTCTCAGAATGTGACCTTATGGCTATTTTAGAGTATGGGCCCCATAACTAAGCAAGATGGTGCAGAATGCTCTGAAGGGAGGAGAGGGAGTATCTTCTCTTTTTGTAGCTCAGTGTCCAACTGGCCTCCGGACAGCTGCAGACCAGCTGGACAGCATCGTGACAACCCAGGCACACCCGAACTTGAGTCACCCCTTGTGCAACTTTCTGCAAAGCACTCACCCTCTCTGAGCCTGGACTTCCTTCCCTGTAAGTAGGGCACATACCAGGCTGTGACGCCTGGCCCGTCCTCGGCAGGACAGAGGGGGACCAAGCATGCTGTCAGCTCTCCTGTTACAGCCTGCTGGCAGCCACCTCCTGCAACTGGGGCTTTCTGGCCTCGACCGAAGCCACTTCCTATCTTCCCCTTCCATACTTGTGGACTAATTTTTCTGAGCTTGTCCTAGAAAATTCCTCTGACATCCTGGGCAGTGGGGAGCTGGCATGGCATAGGAGGAGCCTGAGAGCAGGCGGCACAGTGGTGTGAGCTGGGGAAGGTGGGCATGGTAAACTCAGAGAAGAACCCCAAAGGACCACTTCCCAGATGGCTGGAGCTGGTGGGAGTTAGGGAGCACCCTCTGCTAACCCCAGACTCCCCACCCACATAAAGAACACTAGGCTAGCACCGGCCTGATGGGCAGAAGGGCCCCGAGAGATCCTTGTCCAGCCCCACTGCATGACCAGACACTGAGACACAGGGCTGGGCTTGCCAGCTGGTCTTGTCATTGGAAAGTGAGGAGCAGAATTTCCCCGACCCACCATCAGATTGATTTTCAGGCACATCAGTAGCTCTGCCGACCAGAGCCCAGGGCCCAGCTGGCTCACTCTGCCCCTGCCCTCTGCCCAGACACCATGCCTAAAGCCGAGCTTGCTTTTCAGGACATCAGAACTCCACATGCTCTAAATGGATCACCTACCACCCTTCACACTCACAAGCAGCTCCAAGTTTTGTTTTTAAGGCTACTGGATGTTTGAATTCGAAAACAACCATGAACCTCTAGTTTAACTGTATCCTGGACTAGTAGAATTTATTTCTGGTAAACTGTCTACATCTCAAGAAAAAGTGAATTTATGATTAAAAAAAAAAACAACAAATCATAGTTTTATAAAAGCTAGAAAGGAACTGGGGCATCCAATGGTTTTTCCTCCTCACGACACAGGTGAGGGAAGGAGCCTGGAGAAGACACAGGGCGGCTGGAGTCCGCACAGTGGGGCTCCCGTCAAGGCCTCCTTCTGGACAGCCCATGTGGCCTCAACTATGTAGCCGTGGCTGGCGAACAGGGAAAAGGGCATTTTACTTCAGCTAAGTGTGGACTTGGAGGAGCATCTGAACGTCTCCAGGACAATCAAGATTTCTAATGTGTTTCCTGAGCTAGACAATGAATCTTCAAAGTCTAAGTCACTTTCTGAAGCATCTTCACCTTCCACCAGCAGCTTCCAGGGGCAACTCGGTACACAGGTCCCCATGCCCTCCTGGGTGGCACCACCCTCCTTCCTGTAAGACCAGGGTACCTCATCAGCTGATCCCACCCCTAGGTGGGTGTAGGAAGGTGTTCCACATGGATGGACAGGATAGGTTTAGAGCCACATACCAACTCGGAGGACAAAGTCGTTGTAAGACTGGTAGTTGATTTCATCCAGAACGTCAAACATCTCAATGGCAAAGTCCGCCAGCGTGCTCAGGTGGGAGGAGATGGACTTCTTAGCCTAGGTGTAAACAGATGGGGTCATTACATCTGGGGAGTGCAAGGCAAGAGGGGGCCAGGGACCAACCTGCAGTGCCCAACAGCTGCACTTTCAGAGGAAGGCACTCTGAGTGCCTGGCTATAGGCACATTTATCATTCCATTCTACAGGTAGGAGACTAAGAGAGAGGCAGGGTATTGGCCAAGCCCCAGGGGCTCCTGAGGGGCAGAGACAGGGCCCACCCAAGGCTGCCTGCAGGAATAGGGCAGGGCAGCCCTTTTGAGTGGGAGACCAGGTGCTCAAACTCCTGCTTGGACAGCGTTGCTAATGGCCATTGCAAATGAGCAAAACAAGGACAGAGATGCATGCCAGGGAGTAGGCAATTTCCCTCCTTGAGATTGAGGCTACATCGTCATGTATGTGTGTGACAAGGTCCTTTCTCTTGTGAAACAGTAACAGTTGTAAAGTCTCTAATTTTTATTTTTAAAGGGAATTTTATTAGTTCTCACAATCAGGAAACTAATGCTTTTTAAAAATTAACAGACTTTATTTTTAGGGCAATTTTAGGTTTATAGGTAAGTTGAGCAGATTATACAGAATTGTCATATATCCCTTCTCCCCACAGTTTCGCCTATTGTTAACATCTTACCTAAGTGTGACACATTTGTTACAACTGATGAACCAATATTGATATTATTAACCAAAGTACATAATTTAATTAGGGTTCACTCTTGGTATTGTCCATTCTATGCATTCTAAATGCATGACATTTATCCACTATGACAGTATTACATACAACAGTTTCACTGCCCTGAAAATCCTCCCTGCTGTCTGTTCATTCCACCTTTCCCCCAACCCCCAGCAACCACTAATCCTTTTACAGTCTCTACCGTTTTGCCTTTTCCAGAATTTCATACAGCTGGAATCATACAGTATGTAACCTTTTCAGACTGGTTTATGTAGCCAATTGTATTTAAGGCTTCTCCATGTCTTTTCATAACTTAATAGCTCATTTCTTCTCACTTAATAATATTCTACCTTATGGATATACCAAATTTCTTTATCCATTCACCTACTGAAGGATACCTAGTTTGCTTCCAGTTTTTATTATGAATAAAGCTGCTATGAATACTCATGGACATAAGTTCTCATTTCATTTGGATATATACCAAAAGTGCAATTGCTGGATCATATGGTAACATTATGTCTAACTTTGTGAGAAACCACCAAACTCTCTCCCACAGTGGGTGTCCTAGATTGCATTCCCACCAGCAATGAAGGAGAGTTTCTGTTGCTCCACATCCTCACCGGCATTTGTCTTGTCAGTGTTTTGGATTGCAGCCCTTCTAACAGGTATCTAGTGATATTTTATTGTTGTTTTCATTTGCAAAGCCCTAAAAACATACAATGCTGAGCATCCTTTCATATGCCTATCTGTCATCTGCATCTCTTTTGGTGAGGTGCCTGTTCGAATTGTTTGCCCACTTTTTAACTGGGGTTTTTTTTTCTCCCTTGTTGAATTGTAATGGCTCTTTGTGTACTATAGATACAAGTCCTTTATCAGATAGGTGGCTTGCAAAGATTTTCTACTAATCTGTGACTTGACTTTTCATTCTCTAAACAATATTTTTCACAGAGTAGGAGTTTTTAATTTTCATGAAGTCCAACTTACCAATTTTTTCTTTCATGAATCATGCTTTTGGTATTGTATTTAAAAAGTCATTGCCAAACTGAAGGTCATCTAGATTTTTCTTCTATGTTATCTTCTAAAAGTTTTGTAGTTTTGCATTTTACATTTAGGCTTATTATCAATTTTGAGTTAATTTTTGTGAGGGGTGTAAAGTCTGCATCTATATTCTTTTTTTTTTTTTTTTTTTTTGCATGTGATGTCCAGTTGTTTCAGCACTGTTTGTTGAAGAGACTATCCTTTCTCCATGGTATTGCTACTGCTCCTTTGCCAAAAACCAGTTGACTATATGTCTATGGGTCTATTTCTGGGCTCCCTAGTCTGTTGCACTGATCTATTTGCCTATTCTTTTGCCAATACCACGCTGTCTTGATTACTACAGCTTTGTAAGTCTTGAAGTTGGGTAGTGTCAGTCCTCCAGCTTTGTCCTTCTGCTTCAATATTGTGTTGACTATTCTGTGTCTTTTTACTTTCCATAAAAACTTAGGATCATTTTGTCAACGACACAGAATATGGTGGTGGAGTTCCGATTGGACTTGTGTTAAATCTATAAATCAAATTGGGAAGAACTGCCATCTTAACAATACTGACTCCTCCGATGCAGGAACACTGACTCCCCAATTACTTAGATCTTTCATTTCTTCCATCAGAATTTTATAGTTTTGCTCATATAGATCTTGTACATAGTTTGTTAGAGTTATACCTAGTATTTCATTTTTTGGCTACTACTATAAATGGCATTTTGTTTGTAATTGCAAATTCCAATTGTTCATTGCTGGCATACAGAAAAATGATGAGCTTTTATATATTCAATTTATATCCTGGAACCTTACTATAATTGCTTCTTAGTTCCAGGGGCTTTTTTCTGTTATTGCTGTTGTTAATTCTTCTGCATTTTCTACGTATAGTCATGTCATCTGCAAGCAGATTCCTTCTCAGTCTGTATGCCTTCTGTTTTCTTTCTTGTCTTACTGCCTTCCAGTAAAATGTTGAATAGAAATGGTGAGAGAGGATATTCTCGCCATGCTTCTCATCTTAGAGAGCATTTAGTTTCCCTCCATTAGGTATATCAAGCTATGGGTATTTTGCAAAATTTTTTAAATCAAACTGAGGTGTTGTCTTCTATTGCCAGTTCACTGAGAGTTTTTTTAAAAAACCAGGAATGGGTGTTAGACTTAAATAATTTTTCTGCATCAATTGATACGATTATATAATTTTTCTTCTTTATCCTGTTGATTTGATGAAATTTCATGAATTAATTTTGGAATACTAAAACAGCCTTGTATATCTGGAAAAAATCCAATGCAGTTTTAGTATATAATTCTTTCCATTCATTATTGAATTCAATGTGCTAATATTTGTTGGGGGTTTATACATCTATATTAATGAGAAATATTGGTCTGTAATTTTCTTTTTCTATTACGTCTTTGTCTGGGTCTGGTATTCAGGTAATGCTGGCCTACAGAATGAGTTAGAAAGTGTTCCTTCTGCTTCTGTCTTCTGGAAGAGATTGTAGAGAACTGGTGTAATTTCTTCCTTAAATATTTGGTAGAATTCACCAGTGTATGTATCTCAATCTGGTGCTTTCTCTTTCAGAAGATTATTAATTATTGATTCAACTTCTTTAATAAATCTAGACCTATTCAGAATAATTATTTGTATTTATTCATAGTTCTACTGTGGAAAAGGAGAGTGCAAGGCTGATGGGAGGAGAAGAGAGGGGCAAGCAGGGAGGAAGGTGGGGGCTGGTGGGGGAGGGACTGGGCTGCTGAGGAGGTGGGCCAGTGCGGGAGGTAATGGAGCAGGGGCAGGGTGAGGGTTCTAGGGGGAGGTGTCTAGCAGGGCAGGGCTGGGGCTGGAGGAAGCTCCGGTGCCTTCTGTGCTGACTTTCCCTAGGAGATTGTGTCTGGAGAGAGCCAGCCACGGACAAAAACAGCACTCAAGCTGCTCCTGTAATCCAACACAGAGGGCAAACAAACCCCAGTGTGGAAGCTACCCAGGGTCCCAGAGCAGTTTAGGGCAGAGCTTGGACCCAGTCCCCAAGCAGGCAGCGCCAGGCTGCACTCACCTTGGTCCCCGAGGTGGGCGCTAGCCCCACAGCGGCCATGTAGGTGCTCCCGATGGTCTTGATCTTCTCTATGTCCTTGTAAAAGTCTTTTTCCATGAGCTTTGTTTAAAACATAAAACTGTTAAACATGACATAACATTTGAGAAAAGTCGCTGCAGCCGTCAGCCCCCAGGAGCAACAGCAGAGCCGATGGACACATTCAGGAAAGCAACATGTCTTCTTTGCTTTGGGCAGACAAGTTCTAGGACTACACTGGCAAGAAGAGGTGAGGCAGGACAGTACAGGACACATTCCTGTCCCCAACAGGTGAGCTCGCAGCCACCAGGAGAATCAGGTCCAATGACAAGGCGTGGTGGGGCTGCCACAGTGCCTGGCTGGCTGTCGGGGTGGGGGGGGCCTGGAGGCACCCACCTGTCTGCCCATCTGTAGACAAGGGTGCGTGCCTGCCTGCCCATCTGTAGACAAGGGCCTGGAGGTGCCCACCTGCCTGCCCATCTGTAGACAAGGGTGCCCGCCTGCCTGTCCATCTGTAGACAAGGGCCTGGAGGCACCCACCTGCCTGCCCATCTGTAGATGAGGCTGCCCAGCCCTGGCCACTGTAGATGTCCCAGCCCTGACATTTACAACATGGACAACAAACACCCAGCCCCACCCAGTGGCCCTGGTCCCCCAACCTAGAGTCAAGACCCCCTTCTCTCCTGTCATGGTTGGTCTGGATCCCAAAGGAGACAGAATGCCTGTGCTTCCCGGGATTTGCTTTCTCTCATTCCAGCTACGAAGAATGTGACATATTGTGAGACACGCTCTGCCCACGCAACAGGATGCACCACCACAACCAGGCGGGGTCAGGATGGCGACGCACAGCCTCACCTCGTCAAAGTCGGCGATGATCTCGTTGAGAAGCCGCAGACACTCCACCCCCATGTTGTTGCCGTCCAGCTCGATGTAGAAGTCATTGAAGTTGGGGATGGAGGCAAACATGACGCCCACCTGGGAGTAGGACTGGTAGTAGAGGTCCTGGAAGTTCAAAGGATGGGTCAGGAAGGGTCAGCCAGGTGAGCGCCAAGTGGGGTGGCCAGAGCAGTGTAGGGCTAGTGCTGGCCAGGAGCAGGCTGGGTGCTCACCATGTTCCGAGGGTTGGACATGAGGAAGTGCTGGGCGACGTGGGCCGGCAGGAGGTTGAAGAGGATGCGCCTGTTGTCCAGCTTCACCTTCTCCATGTCCTCTCGCTCCTCCTCTGCCTGGGGTATCATGAGCCTCCATTAGTCCCATCCACTCACGCTGCCTTCACTTGTTCCCACCGCACACTTCCTTCTAATCATCCAAACTGGACTCCAGGTGTGCTGATGGTCTACATCCACGCTCCTGTCCCTCCTCCCCACTAGATGCAAGACTAGATCCATGTTACTGGGTAGGGAAGATCTGCAGATGTCTGCCTAAGTCACCACCTCATCTGCTAGAATGTCCAAAGGACAAACTATGGCTTCACCTCATTTCCAGGGTCCGCCCTGCCCTCCGCCACCCCTTAGGGACCAGATGCTACAGCAACTCTTTCTCAGGCATGTGCCCATCCACAGGCTCCACCAGCCCCCAGGCAGCTCCTGATGTGCCCCGCAGGGCACCTGTCCTAGAATGCCTCACACCCAGGTGGGGCAGACACCTTCCTAAGGCTCCTGTTTCCTCTGGAATCTCTCTGGTCTTCACTAGAGCCACATCCCTCTGGGCATTGAGGCAAGTAGAACCCTGCAGGGACCTAGGGCAGGGGCAGATCCAGGGCCAATGAGCTCATCTGAGTGCCGACTTCCAGCCCCCTGGGGCAAAGAGTAAAGACCCAAAGGGTCCCACCATGGGGAGAGGACACGGCAGAGCAGATGGCAGGAGCAGGTGAGTCCCAGCCTGCTTACTGCTAGCTGTAGGACCCTGCAGAGACTGATTAAGCTGACAGCAAAGGCCTCATTCACAGACCACTGTGAGGGCTCAAGAAGTGCTCTTGGCAGGACCCAGCACAGCCCTAGGAGGCAGAAGCCACCAGGGTCCCTGTGTTTCCTCACACAGAACCCAACTCCTGAAAGGAGTGAAGCTTGGGGAATACTCTAAGTATGTGTCAGCATTTATGGAGGCATCAAACTCTTGAATGTAGTAAAAACTGTGCAATGATTGCCCTTGCGGAGCGGCCCATGGCCTGGCCACCACAAGCCATGGTTTGGAAGCCAGCTCCCCTGGTTCAGGTCCCCCTAGGTGGCTGGTGACCCGGCCAGCAGATGCAGCCTCACTGTGCCGTGGTTTCCTTATTGTAAAATGGGTGTAACACACCCACTGTTAGAGGGAACACTTGTAGGGTTGTACTTAACAAGGGCTGAGGGGACAGCATGCCCCTTAGTTAAGCCTAAAGAGCACAGCTGCTTTCTGGCAGTACTGATATTATCAGAGCTGAGCTGGCCACGAATATGCCGCTAGACTGCACACAGTGATTCCACCAGTTAAAACAGAGAAGTGGAGATTTCTAAGGATAGAGATGACGAGGCCCCGAGCCTTGAGGGCCAGGTACGAGGATGGGGGTGTGTGTGAAGCCAGGCAGGGCATGCAGGGCAGGCCTGGTGCAAGTGTGTTCTGGGAAGACAATGCCAGCGAATCAGTGCGATCCATGGAGATAGACGGCGCCAGGTGTTTCTTCCTGTCCCTTAAGGAGCGTAGACCAGAAGCAGATGAGGACAAAAGAAACCCAGGGACCATAACCTTCTCGGTCAGACCAGAGCTGGGGTCTGGCTGCCCAGATGGGCTGGAGCCACACTCTGCCCACGCAGCGGCTGTCTGGGCACAGTGCTGACTTACTCTGGGTCATGCTCAAAGGTCAGAAACCTTCAATTTCCAGCCTCAGATGGTCTCCGGGGCTGCTTTCAACTCAAGTTCTCATCAATAATGGCATTCTGGACAAACACCTCTCTATAGGACCCACATTATTAATTATGTGTTAACACATCAGGCTCCAATATACACAAAAGAAAGGTTTGTAAAGGGTGACATAAACAGAAAGTGAAGAATATTTTCTAAAATAATAGCTTTGTTTTATTTATTAGTGGCACAAAAATTACTGCTCTCTCCAAAATACCATTGTTAATGTTAATAGTATTTTAGTGAAAACAACGTAATTGAATATGCTTTGATTAAAAACCATAATCTAGGTTTATGGCATTGTGATTTAAAAATTTGTGTCTACATTCTGCTTATTTCCACATTTGGATTAATGGGCTATCAGAGCTGCTGTCCTTCCCAAATCATCATATATCTCTTAATCCATCCACAAATGCAAAGGTCTTTGTTGAGATTTGACTGAGAAACGTCTGTCTTTCCCTGTGCCACTTATTTTCACGAACCAAGCAGAAGTTGTATTGTTATATATTTTAACAAATGTGATGAAAATCCACTGAAATTCTCAGTCTATAAGATTTTCCCACCAGGAAACTCTATTCTTAAGAAAGAATTAGTGGGCACCACACATTATTCCTGTCAACAAAATCACGTGTCCATCCAACCTCCATGTTCAGAATGTTCTCTTTATGGCACAGTTTCTTTCAAAAGGTATTTCCCTTCTCAATTGTCCTTCTGTTTCAGAAATCACTGACCAGGATGCATCTAGTGATAGTTACGTGATGCCTCAGAGAGGTCAGAGCCTGGAGGGCTTGTCATTTGGAAAAGAGAACAAAATAACAAACAGCATAACTTGGCAACTCCCTGTGTGCCGACATGTGCTATGAGTGACCCCCACAGTCACCCTGACAGAGTCTTCTAAATAACAAGACCAGTAACCACAGAACCTGGAATCAACAACGTGTTTACTACAAGGGAACAGCCAAGGGAGGGTGGTCCTGTCCTCATTCTGTCTCAGAAGTGATGTCCCCACCTCCCTCCTGCAAGTGACACAGGGCATCTGGCCAGTGTCAGGTCAGCACTGCCAGTTCATTCTTCAACATCAGGAAAAAACATTTCTTAATTCTCAGATACAATCACTATAAATAGACTTTGTGATGCCCTCTCCCCAAACCTCACTGAACCATCCAGTGTCCTGAGGTGCACACACCCCTCTTTGCGGGCATCCCAGGGTCCACAAACACCTCCTTTTGGGAAAGTGCAGAGGGAAAGGAACTTCTCCAAGCACAGCAGCAGCTAAGACAATAGTCTTCAGCCCCAAGGTTAGAGGAACTTAGTCTCTAACTTTGGGGCTGAATTGCTTCATGTTCAGCTTCTTTGACACTTGGTTTTCCCTTAAGCAAGAGGCACTCTGTGACCCATGCCACCGACGGGACGAAGAAAGATCAGAGCAAGCAAGTAAGAAGTGATGCACGTCTCTGCATGGTGTTGCTGCTCCAAGGACGGATGAATCCTGAGATTCAGGGTGACCCTGGCTGGGCAGGCTGGGCAGGGTGCACATGTCCAGAGTAGCCCCATAACTGTTGTCAAGAGGGCAGAAACACCAGAGGGGCAAAGCCACATGCCCTGACCCAGTGAGTCTCCCCGGAATGGATGCCAGTGGCTTCTCTCCTCCCTGCAGGGCTCTGGGGTAGAAGTCCCTAATGCTCACCACTGACTTTCAGGGACAAAGAGGATTGTGCAGTCCCAGCCCTTGATAACCAGAGAGACCAAGGGGGGCTTCTGGCTGGACCCTCAGTGGCCAGCCTGGACTTCACAGCCCCCCTTCTGTGCTGCAGGACTGAGGAAGCTCCGGTGTCCACTGGCCTGGATCTTGGAGGACAAGGATGACATGATCCTCTTGCTGTACTGCATCAGACATGTAGTGAGAAGAGAACTCGTCCTATCTGAGGAACACTACTGGCACCCTCAGAAGGCCTGCGACTGCTGCGCAACCTAGCCCGACCTCAGAGTACCAGGAGTAGGCAGCAACTCTACAGGGCTGAACTCTGGAGTATTTCCCACTTTCCACTCTCCTTCCCTCCCATGTAGTTAGGTCCCTGATGTGCCCCTACCAACTACCAGCCTCCCACCCTCCCGTCCCCCAGCAGAGGTGCACAACCACCACACGTTCTCCACCTTGTCCGCAGCTCTCACCCTGGCTGCTCGGGAGGCTGCTTTGATATGTCCCTCAAATATCAGTATTCCAAGAAGCATTTTTAGAGGTAATCTTACCCCTAAAGTAATTAATGAATCCAGTCTACCTAATCTCCTTGAGCAGTTATCTGCGTTTCCTTGAACACCTCACAGAGATGGGGGACTCACTACTATACATGTCAGCTTCACCCAACCTCAAACCCTCAAGCCGCTGGACAACATACGTTGAATGAAAATCTCCCTCCCTGGATCTTTTGTCCAGAGGCCTTGGTTCTGCCCTCAGTGTGCTCCAGAGGCCAGCTGTACCAGGATGGAAGGACTGAAATGCCCTCACCCTACATCCTACTTTCAGTTCCTTTGGTCACTCCTCTTACTGGTGACTGGTTTGAAGGTCCCTCTCTGCCTGGATGTCCAGGCTGAGCCCAGCAAGCTGGCTAAGGCTTCTCCCAGGCAGGGCACTGGCTGGAGGCAGGGCTTTAGCCAAATGCAGGGCTCCCAGCCACCTCCCCAGGCCTCACACCATGAGTTGGTACTCAGCTGGCTGTATGCTCAAAAGACTGTATTTTAAACACAGAATGACAGTTCAGTTTTATTTTGTCCAGTTTTTTTCTATCAATTCAGCGGCTGCAGTGAGCACAGAACCTGAGCCTACCAGGGGTCACTCTGGTGCCAGCTCCTACTCTGTGTTCTTCTCAAACCATAGGACCATGGTCATGCATGAAAATGACCAGCTTGATAGGAGGGTGAGGCATGGGGAGAGGTCGCAGCTCCCCACTGGGGACTCTAGCTTTGCACGGCCACTTCAGGGACCACATAACATGAACACATGCCTGCTTCTCACTAATTACTTTTCCAGCCAAAGCACAAGACTTTACAAGCACTGTTTACAGCATGGGGCAGGCTGAGTGTGGTGCAGGTGTTCTTAATCTGAACACCAGGGCCCCCGGCTCAGCATCTTTGTTCACCGGGCACCCAACTCAGCACTTCAGACCCATCAAGTCCTGCCAATGCAACAGGTGGCCATCCCCTAAACCCAGGCCTCTCTCTCATGCAGGCCCCTGCTGCCTGCTACTCCAATCAGCTCCACTTCCCTTTTAGCATAGAACAGATGAAAAGCCCTTTTTAGATCAAAAATGCATTTCGGTTAAGGCTTCATGAGGAGAAATGTGATTTACATTATTCTACTACATTAAAGAGAAATCTTAATTTTAAATTTGAACAATTCAATGAATTAAAAATGTTATCCCTGACCTTTATTAGAAAATGAGAGAATAAGCCTTCAAATGCTGCAGTTACAATGTGTGGATGCAGGCATGCACATGTACATGTTCCACACTGCCCTAGGAAGTCCATAAGTGGTGTATGTGTGTGTGTGTGTGTGTGTGTGTAAGAGAGTATGTGTGTTTGTGTGTGCATGCACACATGCATGTGTGGTTTTCTATAAAATACTTAGCATCTTGTTGTATTTCTCTTTCCAAGAAATAAAAAGGCAGACCACAGCCCTCATGATGTGTTTGTCCCATCCATGGCCCTGTGGTATAAATGAGGCTGTGGTGATGTCATAGCTGGGGGAATTGGAGTTCATGAGCTGGAGGGCAAATCAGCTCAAATAAACCAGGACTATCCAACATCCAACCCCCACAGAAATGCTGGGACCGGCGGTGGTGAATGCAGAGGCTGGCTCTGTTTCTGACAATGAAGTCTTTACTCCTAAGGAGCTTCTGAGCTGAAAGTTTTGCTGTGCTGAAATGCTTGGTAGTTCTTCATTTCTTAGGATGAGTCAACATAGTAGTTGGAGGCAGGGCTGTGTCCAGTGTTTCAGACAGGAAGCAAGATGGGGATGCCATTTTAAAAGGTAAAGAGGGCTGGGCGCAGTGGCTTACGCCTGTAATCCCAGCACTTTAGGAAGCTGAGGCGGGCAGATCATCTAAGGTCAGGAATTCAAGACCAGCCTGACCAACATGGAGAAACCCCATCTCTACTAAAAATACAAAATTAGCCGGGCGTGGTGGCGCATGCCTGTAACCCCAGCTACTCAGGAGGCTGAGGCAGGAGAATCACTTGAACCCGGGAGGGAGAGGTTGTGGTGAGCCAAGATCGTGCCATTGCACTCCAACCTGGGCAACAAGAGCAAAATTCCACCTCAAAAAAAAAAAAAAAAAAAAAGGTAAAGAGAGCTCGTGCTAACAGTGAAGCTATGAGGCTGCAGTGGGCACAGCTGGTCCTGCCCCTGGGAGATCTGCTCTCAGTGATTCACGAGGTCCACCGTCACTGTACACGGAGAGAAACCGAGGCTGGGAAGACAGCATCCAGACTCCATAAGCAGAAGACACCCTGTCTAATGAAGTGAAGGCCCTGTGAGAGTCCTCTTTCCTAGCTTTGAATATCCACTTATACCAATATAAAATGTGGGGGTAGGATCTGCTGGAAATTGATCAAGCTCAGTTTCAGTGACTGAAGTTTCCAGGGTAAAATGTCAGACATTGAAATCAGGGAATTACCAAAATTACCCTTTTCAGAAAAGTCAGCATTTCTTGCCACAGTGAAAGGCCTGGTCCAATACCACCTCCTCCAGGAAGTCCTCTTCAGCCCCTTAATTAGAATAAATTACTCCTTTCTGAGGAGCAAACAACACCTGCCCAGGGCCTTCATGGCATTCTGTCTTCCACACTCCTCGAGTCTCCTCTCCTCTCCTCCCTTGATTAGCAGCAGCAGCCTGTGCACATTTCTGCCCACTCCGTGGGCAGAAAGCAACTTCTGGGGTCTTTGGACCTTTTACTCTACTTGCAAGATGCAGGAGAGTCTAGGGAGAAGCATAGGCCTCAGAGCTGGGGAGGCCACTGTGAATTTACCCACTCAGAATGTGAGGGAGGCCATCCTACGGGGGAGCACTCTGAAGCTGAACGGTCCTGGGGAGGGCTGAGAGCCTGACCCTGAGCACGTGTTGCCAGCACAAGCTCCCTTGTTTCCACAACAACTAGCCAGGCAAGAGTGGCCCCAGTCACTCCACATGGACACTAACTGTGCTAAACATGGTCTTTGTGATTATAAATGTAACAGACTGTTGCAGAAAATCTGGATTTTTCTTTTCCTTTTTTTTTTTTTTTTTTTTTTGAGATGGAGTATAGCTCTGTCGCCCAGGCTGGAGTGCAGTGGGGTGATCTCAGCTCACTGCAAGCTCCGCCTCCCAGGTTCACGCCATTCTCCTGCCTCAGCTTCCCGAGGAGCTGGGACCACAGGTGCCTGCCACCATGCCAGGCTAATTTTTTGTATTTTTTAGTAGAGACGGGATTTCACAATGCTAGCCAGGATGGTCTTGATCTCCTGACCTCATGATCCGCCCGCCTCGGCCTCCCAAAGTGCTGGGATTACAGGCATGAGCCACGGCGCCCGGCCGAAAATCTGGATTTTTCATTGCACACACACAGAAAAAAATGCAAAGCAGCCACACTCCATGACAGAAAGATGTCCTAGGGGATGTCCGGTGGGTCTGCTGTTTCAGACGGCCTCTGGTGCCTTAAAGCAGAAGGCTCCATTTCCTCATCAGAAAGTCTGGAGTTACCAACGTTTCTCTATCTTTTCGAACCAGGGAGGAATTGAGGTGCTATTTTCCACACTCTTGAGAAGAACACAGAGGTGCCTGCATTAGCAGTACTGAGTTCTGCAGGCTGGTCATAGATTAGCAAAACTGTGCTGTGCTCAAGTTAGGGCCTGCAGGTGAACTTCACGTGCTCAAGCCCAACATGGCATTGAGACACACCACAGACATCTTCTTTCTTGTTGCACAGTGACTGCCACACTGCTACCACACTGCTCTCCACGAACAGTCCACACTGTGGGCAGAAAGCAACTTCTGGGGTCTTTGGAGCTTTTGCTCTATGTTGAAGTTATGCTGCGTCCTTCTAACCCAGATCTAACCTTTCAGAGAAACCCTCCAGCCACACATGCATATGAAATCTTGACTGCTGTGGAGGGAGAAGCACAGGCCTCAGAGCTGAGGACTTCTAATTCTTGGCTGTGTTCACAGGATTCTGCCTAGAGACAGTTCTCACCAGAATGCCATTCCACTCTGGATGGTACTTAACTTGGCAGGAGAAGGATTCTGAGACATGTCATGCATGGCATCCATGAGAGTGCCCATTTAGGGTTTGGCAGATTTCAGTTCTGACCTTTGGCCATTTACTTTGGCCCTCACCTGTTACATGGGGATAATGACCAGTTTTGGGGTCAAAGACACTTAAATGGCCACATGAAGTTCCACTTCTGGAAAAGATGGAGTAACAGGAATTCAATTTGCCCTCCTACAAGCAACAAGCAGACCACACAAAATATATAAAACAGCAGCTTTCCAAATACTGGACAGGAGGCAATGAAAGACAGTGATCCTTGAGTGATGGGAATAAGTGATGAGGCCTGCAATGGCCCAGCATACTGCTGGGAGAGTTTCCAAGCCGCATGTAGAGACAGTGCCTGTGGAGCCTAGGGGTCTCCCAGATTTGACAAGGCTAGAGGGCTTGGAAGCCCAAGGCAGCTTGAGTTCAAAGGGAAAATACCAGAGAGGACACAGTGTTCTGGTCTCTTCAAGTCTCTAGTTGAGTACTGATTAGCAAAGGCTAGAGAAAGAACCATCTAGGGATTAGCACAGGTTAGGCAAAGGACTGTAGGGAACAACCCCCAAAGTTCATGCAATGCTGAGAATTGTTCCTGCCTCCACTGGCAAGAATAAAAAACCTTATAATTCACCAGGCATCAGGTAAAGTACTGA